>NC_000003.12:52131212-52434242 GCF_000001405.40 Homo sapiens
GAAAGATAAATCTGTATTTCTAGCACACTGCCCCCCACGCTTGCCACACATGGGGCTGTGAGGGCCTCACACGGGGCCTGAGGCTCTGAACAACCGTGGTAGTTGGTAGGGAAGCCCTTCCCTCTCCTGACCAGTGTTCCCTTCTATAAAATGAGGGGGTGAGATGGGATCATGAGCCTCCATTGCAGCTCTGACAACCCAAGTCTGTATGACATCCAGTGAGAGGCAGGGACTCCCTTTCCTCCTGCTTAACGTCACAGTTGTGTCACACCCCCTGACCAAGACTTTCCAGAGCCTCAAATAGGGCACTGGCACCAGTGCCACCACGCGGGTCTCCTGATCCACCAGCCATCCTCCAGGAGTCAGGCCCTTGAGATGACTGGAAGGACAGGCCTGACAAAGGGCAGTGCACATGGACATGTACACCAAGGCACCCGGCAAAGCAAACCCACGAGGGCAGCTGGTGGGGACACGAGTCTGGGTCGGGGAGTCTCCCCAGCCCCCAACCAGGGGACAGATTCCATGAGCTGTGTGACAAGAGAAGCCAAAGCAAAATGTTCTGGGGGAGACAACAACCCTAAGCAAAAGTAAAAGGCAGATGAACCCCTGAGAGATTCCGAAGGTGCACAGGAGAGGAAACGCGCGCCTCCAACCCTGGGGCAGAGGCCACAGCCCCATGCCAGAAATGGGGTGGCTAAGGCACCAGACACCCCCATGGACCCGTTTTTCTAACAAATGGACTGCCCACCCACTCAGCATCACCAGGACCATGTCCACAACAGAAACTTCTAATGCCCTTTTAAAGAGCTCTCACCTAAAACGGCATGACATCATTTTCCATGAGCTCAAGTGGAAAGGGATTAATATCTATGAGGACCTACTGTGTCCGGTGCTGGGAAATTTAGACACATCCTCTCCTACCATGAGGCAGACAATGGGATGTCAGTCTCACAGATAAGAAAAGAGACTCAGCAAAGTCAAGGTCTTGCCCAATGTCACATAAAAAGAGGCAACACTGGAATCATCTGACCCAGTGCCCAAGCCCATTCCTCCTCCCCTCCTGAAGCTCAGGCTGTTTCAGATGAACAAGATGGGAGAGGACCCATGGTTTTTCAAAACCAGAAATGGGTGGGTACAAACTGTTTGTTCCTAAAAATACTGGGGTTTTCCTGAGAAAGCTAAGTATCATCCCCCACCAGACAAGGCTGTGTAACCTCCCCAGCTGAACATATCCCAGCACTTGGCCTCAATCAAAGATGTTTGCAAAGGTGACCCATACAGGCTCTGGTGTTCCCAGGGCAAAGGCTGTGGAAGGAGGGCAATGCACCATAACCTGCAGGCAGCACCTCCCACATCTGTCCACTCTCCTCTCAGGATGGGCAGATTTGAGAGGCAGAGGGCCCTTTATCACCCAGAGTCCCCAAGCCAGGACTGCAGGAGAGAAGCACCAGAATTCTTCAGGGCCACAATAAACTTGTAACCAACATCCACCCCTGCTATGGTGTGAATGTTTTTGTCCCCAACAAAATTGATACTGAAATTGAATCCCCAGCCAGGCGTGGTGGCTCACGCCTGTAATCCCAGCACTTTGGGAGACCAAGGAAGGCAGATCACTTGAGGTCAGGAGTTCGAGACCAGCCTGGCCAACATGGTGAAACCCTGTCTCTACTAAAAACGCAAAAAATTAGCCGGGCATGGTGGCGTGCACGTGTAATCCCAACTACTCGGGAGGCTGAGGTGGGAGGATTGTTTGAACCTGGGAGACGGAGGTTGCAGTGAGCCGAGTTCACGCCACTGCACTCCAGCCTGGGCAACAGAGTGAGACTCCATCTCAAAAAAAAAAAAGAAAGAAAGAAATTGAATCCCCAAGGTAACAGTGTTGGGAGGTGTGGCCTTTGGGAAGTGATTGAGTCACAAGGGCTCCGCCCTCATGAAGGGGATTAGGTGCACTTATGAAAGGGCTTGACAAAGGGAGTTTGGTCCTTTCCGCCCTTCCACCTTCTGCATGTGAGGACAGTGTTACTCCCCTCAGAGGATGCAGCATTCAAGCCCCATCTCGGAAGCAGAGGGCAGCCTTCCCCAACGCTAGTACCTTGATCTGGGACTTCCAGCATCTGGAACTGAGAAATAACTTTCTGTTCTTGATAAGTTACCCAGTCTCCGGTATTTTATTACAACAGCACAGAACAGACTAAGATAACCCCTTACTCTCACAAAATGAGCCTGCGCAAACAAAAGGCCTCTCAAATGGGCCGATGTGTGCCACTCATGTGCCAGAGAGCTACCAAACCACCCGCACGCTGACTCCTGGCTGATAACCTGCCCTCAACACCAGCACACAGGTCCAGCCCAGGAGACCCAGGGCTACACTGGGTGATACTCATCTTAGCTGGCACTTGGCAAGTCCCTCTGTCCTGGCGCTCCTTGTACCTTAGGAGACAACTGAAAGGTAAATCAGGGTGAGTTTGGCCTCAACTCAGACAATAGAGTTGCAGCCCAACAGCACTGCACCCTGACCCTCCTTTTTCTACCCCAAACCTCCCCCACGGTTTCCCCAGAGGGCTTGCTGGGGCCCTTCTCCTGGCACCCGCAGAGCCCCCATGCCCAGGTCAAGGTCTGCCTCATCCCACAGCAGCTCCCTGTGGCTGACCTCACTGCTGCTCACCCCCAGCCTGCACTGTCCACTTCTCAGATGCAGAAATGGAAGCTGTCCCACTGGCCCTAAGATGCAGTAGCCCTCTCTCTCGCAGCTCTCCCAAGCCATCTCTGAGGACACAGCAGGTCCCCTGCGTCCAAACCAAAGTTTCATGGGGCTCCCTTCTGTTGGATCAGAATGGGGTCATGTAGCAGCAAGATGGGGACACAAGCCGACATAAGCCTGCTGGTACCCTACCTAGACCTGTGAGCTAAACACAAGAGTGACATCCGTGGGAGTTACATGGATCTCATGAAGATGGAGTAGAGTGGTGGTTACCAGGGCTGGGATGGGGAAGGGGAGCCAGGGAATGAAGGGGTTAAAAAAAAGAGAATATAAATGTATTTATTACCACTGAACTGTACATTTAAAAATGGTAAAGATGGTGAATTATACACATATGTTACCCCAGTAAAGATAAATAAGTAAATAAAAACAAGAAGGCTGGATGCAGTGGCTCAGGCCTCTAATTCCAGCACTTTGGGAGGCTGAGGCAGGTGGATCACCTGAGGTCAGGAGTTTGAGACCAGCCTGGCCAACACGGTGAAACCCCGTCTCTACTAAAAATACAAAAATTAGCCGGGTGTGGTGGCGGGTGCCTGTAATCCCAGCTACTAGGGAGGCTGAGGCAGGAGAATCGCTTGAACCCAGGAGATGGAGGTTGCAGTGAGCTGAGATCGCACCACTGCACTCCAGCCTGGGCGACAGGGCGAAACTGTCTCTGAATGAATGAATGAAAGAAACAAGAGTGAAATTACAAATAGAATTTTAAAAGTCACATGTACATGTGATAGAAACTGCATAGACACAGGTACTTGTCCCAGCTCTGGCACACTAGAAGTCATAAGACCCCCTACTAATCCAGACTGCTCTCATTTTCACCACCTGGACTCAAAAAAAAAAAAAAAAAATGCTTTCCAATCTGCCATCCTCCTTATCCATAGGACAGAAGCCCCAGGCACCCAAGACCCACTCAGGAGCCCCAGGCTGCTCAGCCACACAATTCAGGAAGTGGCTGATAGCAGCTGCGCTCCATCAGGCCCTTGGCCACCAGGACCCCACCACATCGCCACCTCCCAGAACAGAATGTGAAAGATGAAGTCACCAAAGAACCAGCTGCACATCTTCCTCGAAGGTCTGAGTGAGTGGGAGCCCATGAGGACTCTATACCTGCTGCAGAGTGCCCAGGCAGAACCCAGCCCCTTTGTCAGCAGGCCCCTGTGATGTGGCCTCCAGCCAGGCCCTCATCAGTAATGAACATCCTCGGAACCAGTTGGGTGACAACACAGGCCCAGCCCCTACGGATTTCTACCCCCAGCTGGAGCAAAGCCACCTCTGATCCTAGCCACAGATCTCCATAAGCACTAGGTATTCTGTCCAGCCAGTGGACCCCGTATCTTAACCAAATGCCCAAATTAAGGCTCCTCGATTGCACTATGCTCCCTTGGGAAGCCAACATTAGCTGAATCTGTTTTTTGGGGGGTTTTCTGTTTTGAGACAGTGTCTTGCTTTGTCACCCAGGCTGGAGTACAGTGGCACAATCACAGATCACTGCAGCCCCAGCTTCCCAGGCTCAAGCAATCTTCCCACTTCAGCCTCCCCCGAAAGTGCTGGGATGACAGGAGTGAGCTACCACACCTGGCCCATTAGCTGATTCTGAATCACTCCAAATCCAGGGGCAGAGCTAAGCATGACAAGGAGCCACAGCAAACGCTGGCAGACCTGGGTCCCAGGGGTGCCAGGCTGTGGTATGGAGGTGAGCTGGTCTTTGCTGGAAGTAAGTAAGGCCTTCTCCTGGGCATCCCTGCCCCATACGTACTCACACACTCACACCCCTACCTCAGCCCTCAGCCTGGCTCTTCAATCATGCTGCTGCACATCATTAGTAAGGACCCCAAAAGAAAGCCCTCTCAAGGCAGCAACCCCACAGTGCAGGTGGGAGGGGCGCAGGAATCAGGCCAGGTTTGTCCACATCGGGACCTTTCAACCCAGGCCAGCTGTAGAACCCGGTATTGACTTGCCACCACCAGTTGGAGTGCATGGTTGGTCTCACCATGGGTCTTAAAGAGGAGGGATGGGAGAGAATCAGCCTCTAGAAAGGAGCAAGGATTAAAGTAAGTGCAGAGGTGGGGAAAGAGGGTGACCCTGGGCAATTTGTCTTCCTGAATCAGTTTGCAGAACCCTGAGCAAGCCAGGCCCAGGGGTTCCTACACCTGGATACCTGGAGTACCCCACAGAGGGGCTGGGTGTCGTCGGTATCCCAGGACAAAGAACCCTTAAAACTTGTGGTAAATCAATCCTAAGTTCCTGTATTTGATAGGGAGTTTAGGGGGCTGGGAGAAGAAAATAATTTGAGCCTCACACGCTGACTCCCACCTTCATCTGAGCTGTACCCTGGGAGATGGGCAGGGCCTACCCACCTTCACCTGCCCTCCAAGTACTCTCTAAGACTCAGTCTACCTCTCAGCCAGCCTAACTCGTCTCATGCTGCCTTCAGCTCTGTCAGCCTCCCTGTGGAGTCCCCCTCTTCCCAGGCCAGGAAGCCCAGGAAGTAGAGCTATAACATCCATTTCCTATCCCTGGTGCCCAGCCCCGTGAGCTAGAGAGCCGATGATGAATGAACAAACAGACAGATGGCAAAATGAACAGAGGTCGTTGGTTCGTTTCTCTTCTTCTCCTTTCCTCTGGGCATTGTGAGCCTGGTGCCCTGAAGAAGAAATGACCCAGCCCTATCCACACCCCAAACCATCAGCTGTCCCTTGGCCTGGTTCCCATATCTCTAGATTTAATAGCAGACAAGTGACCACACAAGGCAATGCGCCATGGTCCTTGCTTCACTTCCCGGAGAGAACAATGTCAATAGCTTTCGTTTATGTGCCAGATGCGATGCCAGAACACCGGGAATGACATTTTAGATCCCACATTCAAGTGTTTTCAGGCTAAGCGTGAGTTAGCTGTTTAAAGAACACTCACAAAAAGAGGTGATCACTTGATAGGCATCTGTTTCAAACTGTTTCTGAGTTTTGTTTTGTTTTTTTTAGGGGAGCAGGAGCGGTAGCAGCATTCACATGATTTTCAAATGCCCTCCTGGGCATAAGATCCCAAACGGTTACACATGAATCTGTATAACTTGCTTGTCCAGGGGCTTGGCTTGTGAACAGGCTTACACCAGGGCCAGCAGCCACCCCCTCTGGATGTGCTGGCCCAGGGAGAACAGGCCCACTAGTCCTGCACACTGGATATGTCTCTGACAGGGAAGGCAAGGGGTCACAACAAGGCTGGGGGCAGCAAGCAGCCTCCAGACCTTGAGGAAGTAGAAGAAAAGGCCTATGTCCCCATCCCCTAGTCATAGCCAAATGGCCCCCAGGTACCCTAACTCAGATGGCAGTGGAAACCCAAACAACAGCTCAGAAAACACCAGGCTAGACACCTCAGACTTAGCTGATAGTCCAAGACACATAAGCACCCCCAGGGCCTCCCTCAGCATGGCAGGCAGATTAGAGACAGACTTGAATTCAATGGACTCCAGACCTCCCATCTCAAGTGGGCATGGTGACTACGCCCCAACAGGAGACATTCTGACGACCGCTCTGATCAGGAGGGCTCGGACACTACTTCCTAGTGGAAGTACTAGATGTGAAAGGCCCGGACCCAGGCCAGTTCCTGGGGAGAACTGCATGTGGCCTACTTCCCACAGCCGGCCCCCAGGGACCCAGCCCACCCAGGGAGACCAGGGAACCGGCTGCTTTGAAGCTCATTCAGAAAGGAGGCCTTTGCTTCCTTGATTCCATTCCAGGAATTCTCAAACGACAAACATGAAGAAGACTTCCCTTCTTTGTCCCAGCCTCTGCAAGACACCTGAGGTTGCCTCAGTCTCTAGACACACTGATGTCTGCCAGTCCGAGGGCCTCCAGGAAACCCTGATGTCAACTCAGAGCATGGGTTCCAAGGCTCAACTCAACCTCTGGACCAAGGGATGGCTGAGGCCATTAGGGGACAGATTCCATTCAGGCCCCTAAGGGGCGGCTTGCTAACCATGCCCAGATGCAGCCCCCAACCCTTGCCCAATTCAACTCTTATATACCCTTCTCAGCTGCACCAGTCCCAGGCCCAGCAATCTGCCCAGGTCACATGGAAATGCCTCCATCCATCTCCCTGCAGGCTGTGTGGGTGACAAGCCTGTTTCTGCATCTTGCCCACTGCCCAGACAGTGAAGGTACCACCACTCCACACCACTCAGCACCTGGCCGACACCTCTCACCTGATGCCCGTGGAGTGTGTAGAGCAGCCGGCCCTCCATCAGGTCCAGGATCTTCAGGGTTGAGTCACTGGAGGCTGTGATCAGGTAGTTTCCCGACGGGTGGAAAGAGAGCCCGTTCACTGCTGCACTGTGCACTGGGGGAAGGACATCAGTCAGGTGCTGGCTAGGAGGCACAGGGAGCACAGCTGAAGCCCAAGACGGGCAATCAGGGCCAATCGAGGCTCAGCACAGGCCTGATGGGGCTGGGTCAGGATGGTCATTGCTCAGAAGAGCTGTGGGGAACCCAACAAGGATTTCCCAGGAGAGGGGCACAATCGAAGAACAGGAAAAGGCCTGTTCAGAGCCAAGGGCAGGCAGTGGAAGACAGGCGGACAGAAACAGATGCAAAAACCAGAGGCAGCAGACGATTCCTCCATCCTCTCCCACAGCACCAAGCGGTCAAGCTGGAGCAGAATAGAGTACTCAAACATACAAACATAGCCTTTGGTCTGCCCGATATACTCTTTCTTTAAAGAAACCAATGGAAAACAAAACCCTTCAAATGTCAATACAATGCCACTGCCACACAGGAAGGACGTGTGTGGGGGCAGACGAGCAGAAAGCTAAGACACTCTTAGGAAGCAGTCAGGCCTGCATTCGGACCCCAAGCCTCCTGCCTGGGCTCACCCCATGACGTTTTTTGAGAGACAGAGTCTCACTCTGTCGCCCAGACTGGAGTGCAGTGGTGCGACCTCAGCTCACTGCAGCCTCCGTCTCCTGGGTTCAAGAGATTCTCCTGCCTCAGCCTCCTGAGTAGCTGAGACTACAGGTGTGCCACTACGTCCAGCTGATTTTTGTATTTTTAGTAGAGATGGGGTTTCACCATGTTAACCAGGCTGGTCTCAAACTCCTGACCTCAGATGATCCACCTGCCTCGGCCTCTCAAGGTGCTGAGATTACAGCCGTGAGCCACCACATCCATCCTGAGCAAGCATCTTAACCACATTGAGCCTCAGTTTCTCCATCTGTACCATAGCACCTATGTGTAAGAGGTACTGTGCGGATGCTACTAAGTTAAGCACATGAGGTCTTTGCAGAGTGAGCCATCCAATGCCAACATGGATGTTCCTCTCCTTTGCCCCCTGTGTTCCATGCAACTCAAGGTCCTGCCACTTCACCCACTCAACAGCTTGGCCCTGTCCATGACTCTCTTTTCCCTACCATCTCAGGCTAACCCCACCATCTTTTCTGGTGTCCCTCACTCTCCAAGAGCCGGCCACCCCAGCTCTGTCGATTCCCCCAGCCGTAGAACTTTTTTACCCCTTGTTTCCAATGGGCCTGGGAGACTCTTGCCCTTCCCTTTCCCTGACCTTAAAGCTCATTACTGGAAGCTGCCTTCTCCAGGAAGCCTCCCCTGGCCTCCCAATTAGGGCCACCCCCTTCATTTGTCCTTCCAAAGCAGCACAAGCCTCCCATCGGTTCACTCTTCACATTCACATGCAACTATCTGACTCACATCTGGATCTCCCATGAGACCATGAACTCCATCAGGCAGGGGTGGTAAGTCCCTGGCACCGAGCAGGACTCAGAAAGTGGTTGGTGAGCAGGTGCTTAAGCTGGGTATCCAGAAGCCCCAGCAGGTTACACAACTCTCCCTCAAGGTCAAGAGCATGTTCTAGGTGAAGCTGGGGGCACACCTGGGCAGTCTACGTGGGGACAGAGCAACTCCACAGCCAATGCATGGATCAGCTGTATCACAGCCTCCTAGGGTGCCTTCTGAGGAAAACCCCAGTGTCTTTCTTCCCATTACCAGAGGCCCAATGAGGAAAACCAGTGGGGCTAAAATAACCATGACCCTGCCAAGTCAGAATTGCCACCAACATAAAGGCAGATTCAAAACCAACCGTCATCTTAGCACTGAAAGGCTGTAAGAACCACTACTGGGTTGGTAAACACACCCAACACGAAACGGCCCTCAACAAGGCCCACAGGGTGCACGCAGTCCCTCAGATGCCAGCCCAGCTGATGTGCCGATGTGCCGGGGAGTCTGGATACGTGTTCCCAGGCACACTTAGGGGGAAACAGCCAAGGCTTTACGTAACATGATATTTATATCTCAACAACACCCTCCAAGCGCCAGGATCTCCAGGAGGCAGGCTGGAGAGGGACCAGTGGGGTCTCTGAAGCCAGCTCTTGGAGGCAGAATTCAGAGACCCCCCCACCAGAAAGTCTGCACTGGGATGAAGGCCACCTCCACCCCTCCATGAGCAGAAGCTGCCAGAGGAACAGCCGGTGGCAGGAGGGTGCAGAAGGGAGGGCATGCTCAGGGAGCTCTGGGCTTCCCAGCACCATCAAGGTGGCAGGGTCAGTGTATGGATGCCACACCAGGGGCCCCCACCTGGTCAAGCCCATCCAAGGGAAAGAATCTCTCCCAGAAGAAGGGCAACAGAATCTCCACTCCACATAAATGCCAGGAATACCCAAGCCTGGATAGAAACACCTAGAACCATTTACTCCAGAAGAGGGGCTGGCCTGGCATACCAGGCTTTGGGGGATACCCCAGACACCAGGACCCACCCCACCTTTCCCCACTTGCTCTCCTGCCTCACCTACTGGCCGCACCAGCCTCCACTCTCACTCCTCTTGCCTCTGTGGAGGTGGTGGGGAGCGGGTAGTCTATGGAGGCCTCATCGTAAGAACCACCCCTGCATGAGAGTCTACCACGAAGGCTAGGCTGTCCCATGAGGGCATGAGCCTTCTATCATGATGCCTTGAGCGCCAAATGTCTGAGCATGATCCACTTTTTTTCAAGTCCAAAGCCGCAGGCCTCTTCTTGGCTCCATGGCAGATATCAGTGATGACACATACTGCCACCTGGGTGGCAGCTGTGAGCTTGTGGCTCTTATCCCATCTCCACTCCAAAGAGAGAACTCTGACTCCAGGTCAAAGATACACCAACATCAAACTTCTACAGATCCTCAGGGACCCAGGGATGAGGCCACCACAGCCCCTGCTCCCAAATACCAAGAACTAGTCATGGCTTGTGGGCAGTAGGTGGTCTAAGCAGAGACCTGAGTACACCCACTCCATGCTGCTCTGCCTGTAGAGGCTTGGGCAAACCTAGGCCCACTACCTAACGGGCTGCAAACCAGCCAAGGGCCCAGAGAAAGCCTGGGTGCCCAAGCAGGAGGTTCCTCTCTAGAGGAGACCATGCCAGGGCCAAGCCCCATCCCAACATCCTTCCACAAAAGGACCGCTCATTTTCCCCAGGGTGGTCTCTTGCGATGCGCAACTGATGTTACTAGTGACACGGTGGCTCTGGGTTGACAAGAGGCTTTGGATTCATACCACAAAAGTGCTCTGATACCAGCAGCAAAGGACACCCAAAACACTCCTCTGTGTAAATGCCGTGTAAATGCTCACTTCAGGACAGTGGGAGAGTAGGTTGGCTAGATCAGGTGGGACAGCACCACTGTACCCCAATCAACCCTTTTAGTCTCAAAACACCCAGTACAGGGTACAGGCCTGCCCTGATAGCTGCAACTACTTAAAACCCTCCGGCCGGGCATGGTGACTCACGCCTGTAATCCCAGCACTTTGGGAGGCCGAGGTGGGAGGACTGCTTGAGCTCAGGAGTTCAAGACCAGCCTGGGAAATACAGTGAGACCCCAACCCCATCTCTGAAAGAGAAAAAAAAAAAGACAAAACCCTCCATGACAATGTATCAGGCCAGGCGGGGGTGCAGGGCTGCACTAAAGACCATCGGACAGAGAGCTTGGGACTCTATGAGTTCTAAGCCCTGCTGACAGCCAGCCAAAGAGACCACCTCTCCCAGGGAGCCTGAAGAGTAAATGACTAGAGTCACCGAAGTGCAAGGAACCGAGCGTGAGCCTGTCAACAGAATGCCAGACTCAAAGGCCCTGAGGTGGAGACTCAGACCCATAGCTTTCTAGCTGTGTGACTGTGGGCTGCATGCTCCGCATCTGTGAAATGGAGGGTAGACCTACTTTGCTGGCCACCCAGGCCTGTCACTGGATAATGGACCTGCACGTGCTGTAAGGCACGAAGCACATTACAGGTTCTGGGATGGGGGCTGCTGCTCAGATGCCTGAACAGTCTTAACGTGGGCTCAGAGCATATGGAGCTAACCCACCACCACAGGGATTGGCACTCCCAGGGCTCCACCAGCCCAAATCCTTGCTGAATTGAGAAATCAGAACTGCTCTCTGCAGTGATAGGCCAGAGCCAAGAAACTCCTTACCTAGGAGAGTCAGCCAGCGCAAGACAAATGGCTCCAGCTGCCTCCATAGCCCAAAGCCCCAAGTGGGCTTCAACTCCAACAACCCTAGCAGGAACAGGAAGTGCCCTCATAGAGCACAACTATGGACGGCTGGATGCAGGCAGGCTGGGGCTTGCTAGCCACACACTGCAGTATCATTAACCAAATCCTCTCACAAGAGCCCATCAGCGTCCAACACCCGAAGGCCATTCTGGAAGTGCCTGATGCCCATCCAGAGTCACTAGGGGAGACACTGCACGTCACTGTGTCCGTAGGTTTCCCTTGGGTTTCCTAGGGATCAGGGACAGAAAGCGGATCAGGCATCTGTTGCCAGAGTACTGGGAGCCCTTCCTGGGGAATGAGCCTCCAAAGAGATTCCACTGCACCTATGGGGGTGGGGGAGCCACTTGGGTAGAGGGTTTCCCCCTAGTTTCAGCTAAAGGTTTTCTGGGGAGCCCCAAGACCAGAGCAGACCTGGCCATGTCCTCCCGTCAGCAGAGGATGAGAGGTATGTTCCCCCTACCCAGGGAGCTCAGATCAACCTGGCTCACTGCACCCCTAAGGGTCAGCCTAGAGGCTATGGGATGACTCCGCTATCCTGTGAACACCCACCACTGGCCACGGCATTGAGCAGGGAGCTCAGGGGGAACCGGCTGTGTTTATGGGGTACTCCAAATCCTGCTAAGCCTCCAATCTACACTAGGGGTGGCTTAGGGATGAGACACTGCAGGCCCACTGAGAGGCTGTCATAAGAGGCAAGGCCAGAAGCACAAGCAGACTGCAATCTCCCAGCAGGGCCTGTCAGCCCACACACTCAGCTCCACTCAGGACTCAGCCCCTGGAGCTCATCTGAGTCCATCCACACCTCCCCAACCCTGCCATCATGGAGATCCGCCCCTGCCCTCTGCCAAGCCTGCTCCCTCCAGGTCCCCAGCTCCCTCTCCCCAGTACCCACCGCTCTCCTCGGCTGCTCTGCATTGCTCCACCTCCTGACAACCCTCTTCACAAGACCCCACTCTCCTTCACTCCCCAGCCTCTGCCCTCCTCAGCTCTCCCATGCTTGGAGACGGGGTTCATACCTCTCACTCTGGCTGCTTTGTGGACCTTTATCTTCTGTGGCCCCTCAATTATAGGGGCTCAGAATGTGACCTCAGCCATTCTCACATCCCAGATCCCTGGGTCCAGCTGGCCCCTCCACCCCAACAGGGTCAGCTTCTCTGCTTCTACTCAACCTCTGCAACCCATCCCCCACTCTGATGCCAGCCCCTACTTTGATACCAGGCACAGCTGGACACCTACCCATCACTGGGACACATGGGGCACACCAGCCCCCAACCCCAGCAGGCTCTGGACACCGCTATCCTCTCAGATGTCCTTCTTCCCTTCATACCTTAAATGACGAGGCTAGTCCTAGCACTGCCAATCAGGCCACATCTTTGGGACCCCGAGCCAGAGATGGCATCCAAGGCCCTTCCCAAGGGGTACCTGCTGTTATACCCATGAACACCAGGCCCAGGCTCCTGATCCATCAGAGATGGGTCTGGACCCTCCCAGGGTCACCTAGACATCCTCTCTGCCCAGTGTCAGGACTTATGTAGCACAAACCACATACCTAGCCCTGTGTTATAACCCTTTTGTGGCTTTTCCCATCAGAGCCTCACAAAGCCATGAGGAAGGCCTATTGCCACCCCCTTTACAGAAAGGAACCACAGCATGTGCTCCTGACCACTGTCCTGCCTCGTCGCCTTCCACTCCCATCTCTCCCTGTCCAAGTCCTCCCTCCTCTGCACCTGCCCACGTTCCCCAGGCAGCTGGGCAGATGTGCCCCATCCCCAAGCCCCAGCCCTTCACTCAGGCCTGGCCCAGAGCAGAAGGCTGAAGGAAGGATAGGAAAGATATGGGCTCCAAGTGGAGGCAAGCCCCACTGCTCTTCTGTTCCAGAAGCCTCTGTCTGAAAGAGCATTGGTAACAAACCTCAGGGCTTCCTATGGAGGGGGGTGGGGTGGGGGAACAGGTTCTTGTGGCTGGCCCCTGCCACCTGGTGGTGCTGTAGGGTACTACAGGCCTTAACCAACCAGGTTGGCCTCACCAGCCCAGACAGGACCAAGACAGTGTCATTGTCATCATCACTAACATTGTACCTCCTTCCCCCCATTTTGTGCCAGCCACCCTCTCAATTCTTGATATGAAACAACTCATTAAACCTCCCAACACCTCCTGTGAGACAGGCCCCATCATTGTCCCAGAGGCCCCACAGAGTCAAATGACCTGCCCAATATCACACAGCCAGGAATGCTTTAAAAGCCAGCTGCAGAGCCCACTCTCCACCATGTGCTGTTCAAGATTAGGATCTTCTCCCCATTCTGGGAAGGTGTGCTCACCTCTGTTACCCCAAAGAAAGTGCTGTACTTGAACACCAGGAGTCAGCTAGGAAGGGTGTGTGTGTGTCAGGGGTGGGTGGGGTCGGAACCCCACACCTGTGTCCAGCCATGTCCTTCCCATTTCAGGTGTGGCTTAAGGAAGCGAGCCCAAGAACTTTAAGCTTAGTCCCAGGTTAACAACCACGGTTCTTCAAACAACTCCAGCTCTGCCTCCTTCCTGGTCTCGGCCCTGGTCCAGTCTTGCTCATCTCTGTTTTGCCAGCTACACAATTCCCAGTTTCTCCAATGACCCCTCACCAGCTCCCTTCCCTGAGCCCATCCCTGGAACTGGGGCGCCTCATGGCCCTGCCCACTCATACTTGCTCTCAGGCCAGTTCCCTACCCAGTACTCTCAGCGAACTCATCCTGGGCATGTCTAAGTCTGCCCTCGCCCTCCAACTCCCACCTGGAGCCTGACATGAGCCCATGCCCACTGCCCGCCACCCTGCCTTCCAAGGGCTACCATCCTGGGCCTGGCCCCTAGCTAAGTCAACCCTCCCTATGACTCTACATCTGCGGAGGACACTGTAAGACCAGAGGTGGCCACGGTCCCACCAATGCTGGCCTCTACTGACAGCCCTGTTCCCTTTACCACAGGTCAAGGGCTGTCACCTTGGCCCTGGAGGGCAGAGCCTCCATCACCAGGAAAGGCAAGTGGCATGCCCCTGAGAAGTGGTCCTCAAGGGAAGCCCTGACCAGAGCCCCAGTGAGGACTCCCCATCTGGCCCTGCAGTATGTGTGAGATTCTGCCACTTCGGAGGTGAGCATTGACTGGCTCAGTGGAAGCCAGGTAGCACCAGGCTCCATCTCCTGGCCAAGGTTCCAAGCCAGGCCAGCCATGCCACAGACTCCCACCCCTGGAATCCCAACAAACCCAGGACACCTTCCTGCCCAAGGCCATCTCAGACCCATTTAAGCACTACAGCACAGGACAACATCCAACACCATCACAGTCCCACCAGGGCTGCCCTTGGGCCCAGGAGGCTGTTCACCACTCACACTGATAATGCTGCAGCAGCCGGTGAGTCCGCACGTCCCACACCTTCACTGTGTTGTCCATGCCGGCAGCGGCAATGCACGTCCCACTGGGGTGGAAGTCCACATAGGTGACAAAGCTGGAAAGACAGGGGCCACTATGCACTATAGGAGGTCTGCCCTGGTTCAGGACGGACCCAGAAACATTTGGTGCTTTCCCCATCCCTGTGTCCTGCCCACGCTGTTCCCTTGACCCAGACACCTCCTTTCTGTCACACTTGTTTACCAGGTGGCCAAGGGAGAGCAAGAAGAAGTAAAAGGTGAGAACAGTGGCCAGCAACAAACTAAGGTGGACTGACCAGGGAGCACATCCCACCGCCAATTTTCAATACAAGTTGAGAGAGCTATCTTCAAACCCAAAAGTTAGCCAGGCTCCCCTGGGATTTTCAAAGTTGGAGCTGGTACCCTTCCCAGGGGTGGCTGCAGGGCAGATCCTGCCAGCTGAGGCACAGGTGGGAAGGTCCAGCAGGACTACAGGGCCATTGGCCCACCCCTTTCTAGGAGACAGGCCAAGGACCCTCACCACACCCATATGTGATACCCAGGCTGGTACCATGTCCACCTCTCAAGGAGAAGCCCTTGTGGCTCCCAGCCCAACAAAGAAGGGCAGAAGCTGGGGTCTCTACTCAAATGTAGGCACCTCTCTCTCCTGATGATGTGGCACAATATGAACAGCCACCATCTGCTACAAGAACCCAACAAGAATTTTGTAAAGCCATCATCATGGATAACATACCAAGAGGCTTTAAAATGTAGTTTGGGCGACTGAGTGTCAACTGCTGCCAGACAGACATGTTGTAATCCTGACAACCAGAAAGTGAAGGAGAAAAAGAGGAGCACAAATAATTACACAGCTCCAAAGAATTGCATGGCTTGAGGTTAAGCACTCCTGCTATTTGTGGGATGGGGCCAAAGCTTCCATCCACACAGCAAAAGATACAATGCTAGGTTGCCAGACCTCGCAAAAAGCACCAGACAAGGGGCAGCAGTGATAAGGCTGCTGGTCCCACGGCTCCAGCCACTGAAGGCCACTGGGCCTCCTCATGCCCAGGTCTGTGCTCTGTGCTTGAGCGCCTACAGGTGGAGGACAGCATCTGGGGACTCACCCGCCATGCTCACAATACGAGTGGACACATTCCCGGCTGCTCTTGTCCCACAGCTTAACAGTCTTGTCATCACTGGCAGACACGATGAGCCGCCCGTCGGGGGAGAACCTGAACCGGGTGGGGCACAAGTCACATCACAGACTAACAGACGACATGGGCACCACACACCTTCTTCCACAGCCACTCTTCCCCGAGTGCCTACTATCTGCCTGCAGGAACCACCCGGGGTCACATGCCCTGCTGTGATTTTTTTTTTTTTAATTTGAATACCCTAATTTGTCTTTTCAGGAACAAATGCATTGCATCCTAGGAGGCAATGTTACTTCTGTTTATTTGGTCATATCTTAAATTATACTTTGTTTCTGAAAATAGTTAACTTTTAGCACATCATTTTTCTTTTTTCCTTCTGAAGAGTTTTTCAGGAAACTGTGACTAAATTTTGTTTTTGTTTTTGTTTTGTTTTTTAGACAGGGTATTGCTCTGTCACCCAGGCTGGAGTGCAGTGGTGTGATCTCAGCTCACTGCAGCCTCTACCTCCTGGGCTCAAGAGATCCTCCCACCTAAGCCTCCTGAGCAGCTGGGACTACAGGCGTGCACCACCACACCCAGCTAATTTTATTTTATTTTATTTTATTGTAGAGATGGGAGTCTCACTATGTTGCCCAGGCTGGTCCTCTAACTCCTGGAGTCAAAGGATCCTCCCACCTCATCCACCCAAAGTGCTAGGATTACAGACATGCACCTTCAAGCTCGGCCTATGACTTAATTTTAAATGTTATAAAAATGTTTCCTTTATTTTTTTCTTCCTGAATCTGTGAAACTTATTGATCTTTCCTGTTGCTCTTGTTTTCGTTTTCTTACGTAGCTTCATGAGCAAATAGCCCCTCTCCCATCCCAACAGCAAACTCTGACCAAAAGGGAAAAAGAGAAATTCTTCCTGACTTAGAGGAAAACCAAACATAAATAAACAAAAAGAAAAGAAAAAAAAAAAGGTGCCTGCCTCACGAGTGAGCACAGAGCAGCCTCATGCACATAAAGCCCCAGCACTGCCCCTGACGCACAGCACATGGCAACATGCAGCCGACTGCCTGCCGGCAACATTTGCATAAAGGTGGCCAAAAGCTCACCATCAGTGTCATTACTCTGGGACCAGGTCCTCCGAGTCTACATTTGACTCAAGTGCGGGTCAGCAAGACACAATCTGCCAACAAAAGGCATGAGGTCCTGGGGACTGCCACCAAAGGCCCAGTATGGACTTGACACCCCAGTTTGCTGGCCTGGCCCCTCCTGATCTCAGGACCCTAGTCATAAAGCCTCTAAGAGCCATCAGGGGTCTCCCAGGACAAAGGAATGGGGGTGCCCTGGAGAACAGTAACTTGTATGGGGTCCCCAGAAGAACACAGCTCAATAGTCCCCAACTTCTGACTCATGTGGTTTCCTAATGTCACCTGGCACCCCAACCCCTTCCTCTGAAGCAAAGATATTTGACCCATGGGGAAGCTCTGTTGAAAGGAATGAAATAAGCTAGAAGTAGGACTATCTGTCTGCAATTCTTGGACCTTGAAAGGTCCTTTGGGTTACCTGGCCCGCTGTCTGCACAGCACTGGCTCCCTGGCCAGCAGGAAGGCTAGCCTCCAGGCTAAGCCCCCCATCTCCGAAGCCTGCGCCCCCATCTGGGAGCTCTGGAGCAAAATCATCCCCTGAGAACATCCCAGAGGAAAGTAGGCAAGCCTTACTGTCAGAGAGAGTTGGGTTCAAACTCCAGCTCTGCCACAGACCCACCGTGTGCTCTGGGACAAGATACTACTGTTCTGAGCCCCCATTTCCTCATCTGCAAAATGGAAATGCACCTAGCTTGCAGAACTGTCTTAAGGAACAAAAAGAAAATGTGTAATGGTAGTACTGAAAGTACCTAATTGTTTTTGATAATAAATGGCCCCTGTTGACCCAGTTTGTGCTTTGCCAACACAGATGTCAGAGGGTCATCATGGCTGACTATGGACTAACTTACATGTCATGCATCAGCTCCATGAAGCTTCTCGACAACTTACAATGCAGGAGCTATTATTGTTCCATTTTACAGATAAGGAAACCGAGGCTGAGGAAGCTTAAACAATGCCTAAGTAACTTGCCCGAGGTCATAAGTTGGTACCTAGCAGCCCCTGGGCCAGCCCCCAACCCCCAGGGTTCCTCCAAGGGTCTCCAGACAGAACAATGCTCACTTGGCACAGCGGACCCAGTTGATATGCTGGCTCAGGGAGAACAGGAATTTCTGGCGATGAGTTGCCCACACTTTGACTGTCTTGTCGTCAGAGGCTGTCACGAAGGACTGGCCATCACTGCAGAAGTGGACACTCCTCACTGTGGCTGTGTGTGCACGAAACACAGTGGACTCACCTTTGCTACAAGGACAGGCATCCAAGAGTAAGGAAACCCATAACAGTGACATGAGAGCCCACAAGCACATCAAAGCTCTCCTACTCCTCAAGCACCCCTCCCAAAGTCAGTCAAGCCCGAGTACCCCAGTCTCCACAAGGGAAAGCCAGAGCCTCTCCTATATGAACAGAGCACCATCTCTAGGCCCCACCCACATGAACACAGCATCAGGTGGCATTTCTTTAGGGATAGATTGGGTAAGCCCAGAACTCCTCTTCCAACCCTGAGGGGAGGGCTCCAACTGCAGCCCCAGCCTCTGATGGCACCTCTTCCAAAGCAGAGTAGAAGTCCCACTGTGACCAGTCCAGAGCCAAGCTAGGGGACCTGGGTGGGGATGGCTCTGGCACCAGGGCCCCAGACTCCAACAAGCCTCCTCAAAGTGTACGACTCACACATTGGGTACCCAGATGCGGACAGTCTTGTCTCGGGAGCCGGAAGCAAGCAGGTGTCCCGAAGGAGAGAAGTTCACACAGGTGACGGCATCCTTGTGGCCAGTGAAGCGGTAGGCGCGTGACTGCGGCTTCATGTGCCAGACCATGAGGCATGAGTCCATGGAGCCACTGGCTGAGGACAGTGGGTGATGCTATGACCTACAGCTCTAACAGGCTTCAAGCCTCCACCAAGACATTGGAGAGGCAGGGGGAGCAACTGGCCCAGCTCCATCTTCCCTGGCATCCACAAACAGACCGTGAGAAGTCTCCCATGGAGCAGAGCACATCTCGAGGTATGGTCTGGAGGTGGAGAGCCTGTGGCCCAGAGTTCTCCAAGGAGCACACCCACATGGGAATAAGACCGAGGCCCTTCCCATGCTAGCCTTGGACTGCAATCCAGAGCTCTGGGAAAACTCATTCCCATGGGGCCCAGGGTCTCCCCCCAGACACATCCTGAGGGCACCAGAGAGCAAGTCCTCCCCAGCTGGGAAGCCAGCCCCTCCCATTGAGAGGGCCCAACTCAGTATGAAGCCTAAAGGAGGTCCCCAAAACTGATCAAAAATCACTTCAGTTCCCTCTTAACCTTTACACATCAGAGGGTCTTGATGACAGGATGAAGGGGCAAGCCTCCTCTGCAGGAACCAGAAAGCGCAGTCATAAAAGCTGTGTACGAAACCTCATGCAACCAAGGAAGGGGGACAGTCAGCTGCAGCATAAGAGCAGTGGGGTCGAGGGGGGTGCCCATCTCTGCTCAACAGCCTTCTCACTGACAAGGCTCTTCAACAAGGTGTGCCTTATTACTGTGGGCAACAGAATCAGTAAAGCTTCAAGGAAAAGGAGTCACTGTTTAGGGCCCACACCAAAAGACAGACCCAAAAGGTGGCTAGGGTGTGCAGAAAAGACCCAGATCCCAGTCCCACCCTCAAAAGCTCTGTGGCCTTAGCAAGGCCCCTAACCTCTCTGACCCTCAGGCTCTGCATGTAAAATGAAGCTCATGAAGCCCAGTGCCCAAAGAGCTGGCAAGCAGAAGCAAGACTAGAAGCAGGTCTAGACAAAGCTGTGCAGTCCTTGTGCTCTGCTTCCCACCCACCACCCCTCCGAGGTAAAAACTTGGCCTGTTCAGCTCATAACCTAGCACCTAGACAGGGTGCCTCTTCTTACCCAGCTGCTTTGTGTTGATACTGAAGTCCACACAGGTAACTGCATCTCGGTGGCCCTTAAAATGCCTTTCCAGCGAGGGGTCCTCCTGAGAGAGAGCCAGGGTCAAATGTGTGAAGCCTGGGTGAGGAAGGGGCTTCCCCAGGGCCAGCACTCTTCCTACAACAGCCGGGGGAGTAGGGTTAAAAATGCTCAAGGCATGATCTTATATAAAGAAAATCCTAAGGAATCCACTTAGGATTAGTTTTTACTAGGAATAGTTTTTACTATTTGAATTAATACATCAACTGTGGAAATGCTTCAACAAAAACAAAAAACAAATGAGTTCAGCAAAGTTGCAAGATACAAAATCAAGACACAAAAATCAATTGTCTTTCTGTACACTAGCAATGAATAATCCAAAAAATAAAACTATTTATGATACATAAAAAAAATAGCAATATTTTAAATTAGCCGGGCATGGTGGCAGGCGCCTATAATCCCAGTTACTCAGGAGGCTGACGCAGGAGAATGGTGTGAACCCAGGAGGCGGAGCTTGCAGTGAGCAGAGATTGTGCCACTGCACTCCAGCCTGGGTGACAGAGCGAGACTCCGTCTCAAAAAAAAAAAAAAAAAAAGGAATAATTTAACAAAAGAAGTGCAGGACTTGTACAGTAAAGACGACAAAACATCACTAAGAGAAATGAAAGAAGACTTAAAAAATGGAAAGACATTCCACATTCATGAACAGGAAGACTTACTATTGTTAAGATACAATACTACGATACTCCTCAGATTGATCTACCGATTCCACATAATTCCTATCAAAATCCCAGGTGTCTTTTTTGCAGAAACTGACAAGCTGCTCCCAAGATTCACATGAAAATGCAAGACACCCAGAAAAAAAAAAAAATCTTTAAAAACAAACAAACAAACGAACAAACAAAAAACACAGATACTATAGAAAGTAATTTGGCAGTTCCTCAAAAAGTTAAACATAGGTCAGGTGAAGTGGCTCACACCTGTAATCCCCACATTTTGGGAGGCTGAGGCAGGAGGATCACTTTAAGCCAGGGGTTCAAGACCAACCTGGGCAACACAGCAAGACCCTGACCCTACAAAAAAATTAAAGAATTAGCCACACGTAGTGGCTCATGCCTGTATTCTCAGCTACTCAGGAGGGTGAGGTGGGAGGACTGCTTGAGCACAGGAGTTCAAGGTTGCAGTGAGCTGTGATCACATCACTGCACTCCAGCCTGGGCAACAGAGCAAGACCCTGACTAAAAAAAAGTAGTTAGCCGGGCACAGTGGCTCACGCCTGTAATCCCAGCACTTTAGGAGGCCAAGGCGGGCAGATTACCTGAGGTCAAGAGTTCAAGATCAGCCTGGCCAACATGGTGAAAACCCCTCTCTACTAAAAATACAAAAATTAGCTAGGCGTGGTGGTGGGCGCCTATAGTCCCAGCTATTTGGGAGGCTAAGGCAGGAGAATCGCTTGAACCCAGGAGGAGGAGGTTGTAGTGAGCCGAGATTGCACCAGTGCACTCCAGCCTGGACGACAGAGTGAGACTCCTAATCAAAAAATAAATAAATAAAATAAATATAAATAAATAAAATAAAAAATAAAGTAGTTAAACGTGGTTAGCAAATGACCCAGCAATTCTAGGTAAATACCCCAAAGAGTTGAAAACATGGTTTACACAAAAACTTGTACACAAATGTTCAGAGCAGCATTTTCCTTAATAGCCAACAAGTGATTGAACCCAAATGATCCATCAACACATGACTGAATAAACCAAATGTAGCATATTCATACAACAGAATATTATTCAGCCATAAAACCGACTGAAGTGCTGATGCTTGCTGCAACATGGATGAACCTTGAAAACATGCTAAGTGAAAGAAGTCAAACACCAAAGGCCACATTTTGTCTGATTCCATTCATATGAAAAGTTCAGAATAGTCAAATCTATAGAGACAGAAAGTATTAATATATTAGTTTGCCAAGGGTTGGGAGAAAATGGGGAAAGAGAAGAAATGGTATGACTGTTATTGAGTATGGAGTTTCTTTTTGGGATGATGAAAATATTCTGGAATTAGTGATTACAGTTGCACAACACTGTGAATGTACTAAAAACTACTGAAATGTACACTTTAAAAGGTGAATTCTGTGGTGTATGAATAACTTAATAAAGTTAAAACACCAGAGAGAATACTCCGGAGACTCTCTCCATCCAATAGCAGCTTGTGTCTTAACACTTGAAGGGTTATAATTCAGCCATCCAAACATCTCCCCCTACTCTAAGTATCAGAAACCTCAAAGAAGCATTTTGGGTGCTCCAGGAAGCCCAAAGGCTCCTCCTGGGAAAGGATGTCCTTGGGGCACAGCAAAGCCACTGCCACCCTACAGAGCAGTAACCAGAACAAAGGCCCTATGGCCTTGTGCCCAGCTCCACCCCTAACGCACCTGTCAGAGTCTCCTTTCAACAACAGAGGGAGGAGCAGCTGGGGGAGGGTCCCCAACAGAGCCTTCTGCTCTCACCTAAGCTTCTTGAAAGAACATGCGTAAGAGAGTGTCCGCCCCTAGGCTCAGTGGGCAGAGGCAAGTTCAGGTCCACCCCTGACCAGTAGGTCCCATGGTATCTCTCAACACCGCCTCCCCTCTGTAGTTCCCTGCATGTGGGCCTCATCTCCCTCAACAGTGGTTTATACATGAGGGGACAGGAAGGGAGGTAGAGTACCAGATTAGGAGTCAAAAGGTCTGTATCCTAGCCTGGAATCTCCGTCCATGTCCTCAAGTGCCTCAGGGCATCACAGGCTACCACCCAGCCTCCCTGACTCTCCAATCAGCCAGAGGGCCTTGCCCGTTCAAAGGAATCTCTCGAAATGAGGACTTCTGGAGGAATGTGAACTCAGAGAGGGCGGCTCCGCCCCGCTCACACTGCAGGCCCGGGCATCCCAGCGTCCTGCTGTACCTACCTGCTGGAGCAGGGTGTACCCTCAACAAGACCCCACGCAGCCACCCACTGCTAAGGACGTGGAGAATGGCTAGAGAGGCCCGATACCGGCCCCAGGTCACACATGAGTCGGGACTTGGTCGTGTGTCCCTCGCTAGGATGCAAACTATGGAGGCAGAGGCCTGTTTGTTCGCTCCAGAAACCCAGCGCAGGGCCTGGCACGCAGGAGGCGCTCAGAAAGTGCCCGACCCAGCGCCCCCTGCGCAGACAGTAAACTGGACCTGAAGAGGACCACCCTGGAACCTGGCGCCCCGCCCGCCCCTCGCAGCCATCGCTCTGGCCATTAGGCGCCCAGTGTCCCAGCGGGGAGACTGAGGCCTGGGGAGTTGCTCTCGGCTGGGCTTACCGCGCAGGGCGCAGCCATGGCGGGGCTGGCGGCGCCGAAGGCAGCTGCGGTGGCCGTTGCGGCCCGTTCAGTTTCCGCGCCCCCAACGGCCACCAATAGCAACGCGGGCCGCGTCGGCACGCCCCGCCCACCGCAATTAAAGGAGAAGCGCCTCAGCTTTTTGCCCGACGACTGGAAGCAGAGCTGTATGACCGGCGGCCGGCGCCACGGTCTCCGTGCCCAGTTCCCCAAGCCCAGACAACCCACAGACAGCGCAGCCAAAAGCCTCTGTCCGCCGCCACTCGTTCCGCCTGAGAAATTAAAAGACCCAGGATGAAGGGTTCACCCCACCAGCCCGTCGTCCGGCTACTCTAACGGCGAGCGCAGCCTCCTGGGAAATGCAGTTCCAAGCCGCCCACGCCCCTATGTCTGGAGGAAGGTGGAGCTACACTTCCCAACATGAGATTGCACCATTGCATTCCAGCCTGGGCAACAAGAGGGCGGGCCGGGTTTTACCACCCGAAGCGACGGCCTTAAGGATCCCGGAAGCGGAGGACACGTGGGTTGCTGTAACCAGATTGCGTTAAAGCACCCGCGCGCGCCGGCGCAGCCAGATTTTCCCCGCAGGAACCTATTGAGAGCTGAGTATTCGCCCCTCGGGAACTCTCAGTGGTTCGCCGTCCGAACGTTCTTAAGACAAGTGTCGATTTAAAATAACATGAGTTACTCGGAATCACAATCATGGAGTGGAGAGATCAAGGTTCGATTCTCAGTTCTCGCCCTGATTGGCTGTGTGATCTCAGGAAAAACGCCTCTGCTCTGTGCCCCGGTTTCCCCATTTGTAACACGAGGGAGTGTGGTGCAGCCCGGCCCTGTCAGGATCCTTAAGGCCTCAGAAGCTGTTAGAAACCCAGTCTTTAAAAGAAGGAGAGGCCGGGCTCAGTGGCTCACGCCTGTAATCTCAGCACTTTGCCACTTTGGGAGGCCGAGGTGGGTGGATCACCTGAGGTCAGGAGTATGAGACCAGCCTGGCCAACATGGTGAAACCCCATGTCTACTAAAAATACAAAAATTAGCCGGGCGTGGTGGCACGCGCCTGTAAACCCAGCTACTCGGGAGGCTGAGGGAGGAGAATTGTTCGAACTCCGGAGGCAGAGATTGCAGTGAGCCTAGATGTTGCCGCTGCACTCCAGCCTGGGCAACAGAGGGAGACTCCGTCTCAAAAAATATATATATATATAAAATAAAATTTGAAGGCCACCAGCAACCATCTGAATAGACTCCCTGCTTGGCCAGGGCACTCAAATTTAACCTGAAAGAGTGGTTCAGGCCATGATGGGAAGTGGGGGTTGGACATGCCTCATTATACCCTCCAGCATTAACATCAACAAAAACCTTAAGTCTGATAAGAAACATTTACGATCTATTTTCTCTGAAACCTGCTACCTGGAGGCTTCATCTGCATGGTAAAACCTTGGTCTCCATAACCCCTTATCTTAACCGAGATATCCCTTTCTACTGATAATAATTATTTCAACCAATTGCCAATCAGAATATGTTTAAATCTACCAATGACCTGGAAGTTTCCCACTTCGAGTTGTCTTGTCCTTCCAGATCAAACCAATGTAAATCTTACATGTATTGATTGATGTATTTTGTCTCCCTAAAATGTATAAAACCATGCTGTGCCCAGGCCACTTGGGCACATGTTGTCAGGACCTCCTGAGGCTGTGTCATGGGTGTGTCCTTAACCTTAGCAAAATAAATTTTCTAAGTTGACTGAGACCTGTCTCAGGTATTTCGGGTTGACAGTTTGGCAACCACGAAAGGATTCTGAGTGGAGGTGCCCCTGACCTTTGACAGATCTCCTATCGGTGCTTGGTACCAGCTTGAGCTATCTTTATGGCTCAAATCTACAGGACAATTTGCTAAGGCCTGGGAGCCCCCCTCCACAAAATTCCTGATCTTCCCAAATTTGGTTAACATCTAAAGTTTATTTTACTGTACAACTCCTTTTTCTGGAGTTTTACTTGTTTCCAACAAGGAAGGCAGGTTTTCCTGCTTCCCTGACGATGGAAGGCAGGTAACTCCTTTCTGGAGTTTGAGCTCGCTTCCAACAGAGAAGGAAAGTTTGAGTTTTCCCTACTTCTGGGATGGTAGAGAGCAGTCTTTAGCCTAAGACCTGTTCTTAGGTAAGTAGCCGAATTGGGGATTTTCTTGGCTGAAGTTAAGGTTAACAACCAGCTGGTCTTAATTTTCCTTACCATTAGAGTGCTCAGTAATCATATAAATTGTACGATCAAGCCCGGCATGGTGGCTCACGCCTGTAATCCCAGCACTTTGGGAAGCCAAGGCGGGTGGATCACGAGGTCAGGACATCGCAGACCATCCTGGCTAACACGGTGAAACCCCGTCTCTACTAAAAATACAAAAAATTACAGGGCGTGGTGGCTGGCGCCTGTAGTCCCAGCTACTCGGGAGGCTGAGGCAGGAGAATGGCATGAACCCGGGAGGCGGAGCTTGCAGTGAGCCTAGATCAAGCCCCTGCACTCCAGCCTGGGCGACAGGGCGAGACTCCGTCTCAAAAAAAAATAAAATAAATAAAATAAATAAACAAATTGTGCGATCACTTTTTTTTTTTTTGCTTAACTGTTTTTTGTTGTTGTTTGTTTCTGTTTTTGTTGTTTCATTCTTTTTCCCATTGAGGTTGATGAATTATATCTGACTTGATCAAATCTGAAGGAAAGTTCCAAAGTTTGGGGAACAAGGCCTCTGAATTGGCTAAATTCCCACAACAGAAAAAGAAAAAAGCCTGGGCAAGGTGGCTCACGCCTGTAATTCCAACACTTTGGGAGGCCGAGTTGGGTGGATCACCTGAGGTCAGAAGTTCGAGACCAGCCTGGCCAACATGGTGAAACCCCATCTCTACTAAAAATACAAAATTAGCTGGGCATGGTGGTGGGCATCTGTAATCCCAGCTACTCAGGAGGCTGAGGCAGGAGAATCACTCAGAACCCGGGAGGCAGAGGTTGCAGTGAGCCGAGATCGCACTCCAGCCTGGGCGACGCAGCGAGATTCCGTCTCAAAAAAAAAAAAGAGAGAGAAAAACAGCCAGCAAAAAGAAAAAAATAAGGAGAGATTTTTTATTTTGATTACCTAAGGGGCTTTATTTACATAACAAGGCCACCTTTTTGCTAACCAAGCCAAACTGAAAGAGGAATGCTGTTGCCCCAAACTGCAGTTCCATAGCTAAGGTTCTGCCCACTTTTTTTCACCAGGACAGCCTGGGTTTGGTTCCTAAATCAAGCCCTTTTTGGTTTGATATTTGTGTTACTTTTGAAATATCAGTTATTTGTTCTAGCTAAAATATGGTAATGATATTTAAAAGGTTTTTTTTAAAGGCGCTTAATGGCTTAAAGTCAGCTTACTTAAAAGCTAACATCCAAGATGGTGGGGGTGTGTGTGTGTGTGTATTTAAAAGGCTTTCATGGTTTTTTCCTCTCCTAGTACTTTGGTTTCTTTCAGAAAAAAAATTATTTCTTCTCTATCAACTGAATTATTTTTTATTTTTATTATTTTTGTGTGTGTGTGAGATGGAGTCTCACCCCTGTTGCACAGGCTGGAGTGCAATGGAGCGATCTCGGCTCACTGCAGCCTCCACCTCCTGGGTTCAAGCGATTCTCCTTCCTCAGCCTCCCAAGTAGCTGAGATTACAGGTGTGCACCACCATGTCCAGCTAATTTTTGTATTTTTAGTAGAGACGAGTTTTTGCCATGTTGGCCAGGCTGGTCTTGAACTCCTGACCTCAGGTGATCCACCTGCCTCAGCCTCCCCAAGTGCTAGGATTACAGGCATGAGCCACTGCGCCCAGCCCTGAATTCTGTTTTCTTTTTTCTTTATTTCTTTCTTTTTTTTTTTTTTTTGAAAAGGAGTCTTGCTCTGTCACCCAGGCAGCTGGAGTGTAGTGGCTCAATCTTGGCTCACTGTAACCTCCACTTCCCAGGTTCAAGCAATTCTCCTGCCTCAGCCTCCTGAGTAGCTGGGATTACAGGCGTGCACCACCATGCCTGGCTAATTTTTGTTTTCTTGTTTGTTTGTTTTTTGTTTTTTGAGATGGAGTTTCGTTCTTGTTGCCCAGGCTGGAATGCAATGGTGCAATCTCAGCTCATCGCAACCTCCACCTCCCGGCTTCAAGCGATTCTCCTACCTCAGCCTCCCAAGTAGCTGGGATTACAGGCATGTGCCACCACACTCGGCTAATTTTTTTGTATTTTTAGTACGGACGGGGTTTCTCCATGTTGGTCAGGCTGGTGTCAAACTCCCGACCTCAGGTGATCCTCCTGCCTTGGCCTCCCAAAGTGCTGGAATTACAGGCATGAGCCACCATGCCTGGCCAATTTTTGTATTTTTAGTAGAGACCACATTTCACCATGTTGGCCAGGCTGGTCTCAAACTCCTGACCTCAGGTGATCTGCCCACCTCGGCCTCCCAAAGTGGGATTACAGGAATGAGCCATCGTGCCCAGTCTTTTTTTTTTTTTTTTTTTTTTGAGACGGAGTCTCGCTCTGTCGCCCAGGCTGCAGTGCAGTGGCGCAATGTTGGCTCACTGCAACCTCTGCCTCCCAGTTTCACGCCATGCTCCTGCCTCAGCCTCCTGAGTAGCTGGGACTACAGGCGCCTGCCACCACGCCCAGCTAATCTTTTGTATTTTTAGTAGAGACAGGGTTTCACCATGTTAGCCAGGATGGTCTCGATCTCCTGACCTCGTGATCTGCCCGCCTCGGCCTCCCGAAGTGCTGGGATTACAGGCATGAGCCACCGCGCCCGGCCTTTTTTTTTTTTTTTTTTTTTTGAGACAGAGTCTCACTCTGTGGGCCAGGCTGGAGTGCAGTGGCACTATCTTAGCTCACTGCAGCCTCCATCTCCTGGGCTCAAGCAATTCTCCTGCCTCAGACTCCCAAATAGCTGGGATTACAGGCATACGCCACCACGCCCAGCTAATTTTTGTATTTTTAGTAGAGATAGGGTTTCACCATATTGGCCAGGCTGGTCTCGACCTCCTGACATCAGGTAATCCACCCACTTCAGCCTCCCAAAGTGCTGGGATTACAGGCGTGAGCCACCACTCCCAGCCTGAATTCTGCTTTCATTTATTTCTGCTGTCTCTCCTTTCTCTTGCCACCCTCTGCTGCATGAGGAACCTAAAATAGTTTCTAACAGCCTGAGATTCATTAAGGAAAACAGAGAAGGTGTAAGACTCCCTTTTGGGGAGAAAGCTCTGTTTTTCCTTAGGGAACCCCAAGAGTGTATATGGACAAGTTCATCTCAGATCTTAAACTGCTTGCTTTTGTATTGTGTTACCTGATTTCTTTTCCTTCCTTCCTTTCCTTCTTTCTTTCTTCATTTCTTTTTCTTTCTTTCTTCCTTTCTTTTTCTTTCTTTCTTTCTCTCTCTTTCTTTCTCTCTCTCTCTCTTTCTTTCTTTCAAATAGTTATTACAAGAGAGGTTACTCTTGGGTGTTTAAAGTAAGGGAAAGTGTGTAGTTTAGGCACTTAGAGAAACGTCTTGTTTAAAAAAAAGGTGCACTGTAAATCATCATGTGGTCTAGCCTTATAGTAACACTCTTTTCGGAGACCCAGTATTCAGATTGGGCTCTTCCCAGAGCTCAGAGAGCCAGTTAAAAGATAAAGACTAAATTTAGAACTACCTGTCAAAATAAAAGTGGTTTCCTTATACAATCTTATGATAGATTTCTATAATTTTATGTTTGATTTGGCATCTTTTTTTTTTTTTTTTTGAGACAGAGTCTTGCTCTGTCACCCACAGCCTGGAGTACAGTGGCATGATCTAGGCTCACTGTAAACTCTGCTTCCCAGGCTCAAGTGATTCTCCTGCCTCAGCTGTGATTACAGGTGCGTACCACCACACCCAGCAAATTTTTGTATTTTTAGTAGAGATGGGGTTTTGCCATGTTGGTCTCAAACTCTTGACCTCAAGTGATCCGCCTGCCTTGGCCTCCCACAGTGCTGGGATTACAGGCATGAGCCACCACGCCTGGCTGGCATCCATCTTTAATCTCTTTAGTACCACTAGACTTTTCCTCTCTGTACCTTGAGATGTAAATTTAGCTATCCAATTTTTCACCTAAGAGTTTCCTTTATTTTTATTTTTATTTTTTTCAGACGGAGTCTTGCTCTGTCACCGGGCTGTAATGCAGTGGTGCGATCTCAGCTCACTGCAACCTCCGCCTCCTAGGTTCAAGCGATTCTCATGCCTCAGCCTCCTGAATAGCTGGGATTACAGGCACGTGCCACCACACCCAGCTAATTTTTGTATCTTTAGTAGAGATGGGGTTTCACCATGTTGGCCAGGATGTTCTCGATCTCCTGACCTCATGATCCACCCGCCTCGGCCTCCCAAAGTGCTGGGATTATAGGCGTGAGCCACCGAGCTAGGCCAAGAGTTGCCTTTAATATGCAAATTTAAGACTGTCTATCTGACAACTAACTGCCTCAGGTAATAAAATGGGTTATCAAGAAATTGGAAGTCTGAAATAGAAGGGAAAAAAGGAGGACTTATGAATCTATAAGATCTATTTCTGTCTACATGTCTAATACATCTAGGCATTTATGTGTCATGTAGATGATGTTTCACTGCTAAAAATATATAAAAGAGCTCTAATTAATTGGCTTAAAGGAAAAAAGGCACTTAAATCAAATACTTTATCTGAAAAAATACAGACTTTTTTCTTTTTTCTTTTTTGAGACAGAGTCTCATTCTGTCACCCTCACTGGAGTGCAATAGTATGATCTCAGCTCACTGCAGCTTCCACCCCCGGGTTCAAGCAATTCTCGTGCCTCAGCCTCCCAAGTAGTTGGAATTACAGGCATGTGCCACCATGCCTGGCTAATTTTTGTATTTTTAGAAGAGAAATGGGTTTCACCATTTGGCCAGGCTGGTCTCGAACTCCTGACCTCAGGTGATCTGCCCGCCTCAGCCTCCCAAAGTGCTAGGATTACAGGTGTGAGCCACCACACCCAGCCAGAATGACTTATTTTACAATGACCCATGATCCTATTTTGTGATATAATTACTGGATCTCTGGGATGTCAATTTTTCTGCCTGGAAGCCTCTGTGGCCACAGCAGCTTTGCCCAAATTCTTGTCCTGCAACCAGGAAGAATCAGGTATGCAGACAAATGAAGGGTGAAGAAGAGTTTTTGTTGTTGTTGTTGTTGTTGTTTTTGAGATGGAGTTTTGCTCTTGTTACCCAGGGTGGAGTGCAATGGTGCAATCTCAGCTCACTGCAACCCCTGCCTCCTGGGTTCAAGTGATTCTCCTGCCTCAGCCTCCCAAGTAGCTGGGATTACAGGCACCCACCACCACGCCCAGCTAATTTTTGTGTTTTAGTAGAGACAGTGTTTCATCATGTTGGCCAGGCTGGTCTCAAACTCCTGACCTCAGGTGATCCAACCACCTCAGCCTCCCAAAGTGTTAGGATTACAGGCATGAGCCACCAAGCCAAAGAAGAGTTTTATTTAATGTTAGAATAGCTTAGAGGAGTGGGTAGCTCCTCTCTGTAGGCAGGTCATCCTGTTGAGTGCTCAGCTCTCAGCAGAGAGGAGGACCTAGAGAGGGTGGCTCCTCTCTGCAGGCAAGTCATTCAGATGTCTCTGCAGGTCTCTGAAGCTCTCAGCAGAGAGGGTAGTTCCTCTCTGCTGGCAGTTCGTCTGTGAAGCTCTCAGCAGAGAGATTACTCCTCTCTGTAGCTGATCATCCCATCCTGTCATCTCTGCCCTACTCTGACTGAGCCCAGGGCTTTTATGGACCTCAGAGGAAAGGAAGTGTGTGCCAGTTGGTCCATGGGCAGCCATGGGTGGGCCCAGGAGAGGTACCATGAGTCCCTACTCCCCACCCTACGGGACTGGCAGCCTGGACCCCAGCCTTCAGGCCTTCTCTGCCCTGAAGGTGGGACCTTACTAGGGACCTTCCCCCTTCCATCCAGGACTCTGTCTGCCTCCCACTGCCATTCAAATCTCCGGGGCTTAGCCCCAACCCTGCTCTGAGATCAGAGCAGGCGCCAGAAGTGGAGGGAGGCTAGGCAGTGGGAGCAGACACCCCTGAGCCTGCAGGGATGGGGTCAGTGGGCAGGGGGAGGTCCTCCCTGGGGCCCCTGAGGGTGCAGGCTGCAAAGACACCCAGGTCCTGCACCCTAGAGGACAGCTGCACCCAGGAAGGCAGGTCCTGCCTGCTCCCAGCCCTCCCCCAAGAGCACAGGGAGGTTAGGATCCATAGCTGCAGTTTGGGTGGCTGTAGCCCTGCCCAGGAGGGTGGAGCTCCTGCCTGCTCCATAAAGCAGGAGCCCTGGGTCTGCAGCTGCAGTTTGGGCAGCTTCAGTGGCACCTGAGGAGCTCCCACCCCAACTCAGAAGAAGCGGGGCTCGCAGAGCTCCCACTAGCTCCACAGTGTGTGCAGCCCAAGCCGCGTCTCCATGCTGCAGCCAGCCTGATGGCATAGCCACTGCCATCAGTATCAAGTGTTTTAAGCTTTTTATATTTGACAAACTCCCCAAAAGCACATTCTAACTTCAGTTTGCATTTTTTTTTATTAGTCACCTGAAGTCCGGAAGAGATATATTAGACTTGTTTGAGATAAATAATAAAATCATACAGGAAGTACTGTCAAATATGAAATGGTGTTTAACCTTCTTTGGATTATATTTATATAAATGTGTTGTTAAGTGTTCCAGAATTGTGTGAAATTCCTGTGATTCTGATATGTCTTAGCATATGTTATCAGAAGTAATTATGGGTCAGGCATGGTGGCTCATGCCTGTAATCCCAACACTATGGGAGGCCTAGGTGGGTGGATCAGCTGAGGTCAGGAGTTCAAGAACAGCGTGGCCAACATGGTGAAACCCCATCTCTACTAAAAATACAAAAATTAGCTGGGCATCATGGCAGGCGCCTATAATCCCAGCTATTTGGGAAGCTGAGGCAGGAGAATTGCTTGAACCCAGGAGGCAGAGGTTGCAGTGAGCTGAGATCGCACCATTCCACTCCAGCCTGGGTGACAAGAGTGAAACTCCATCTCAAAAAAAAAAAAAAGAAGAAGTAATTATGGTTATTATGTAAAATTGTTGTATACCACAGAAGTAACCAAATCTCCTTGTCAATTGTGTCTTTAACTATGACTGCTCTCAGACTTTATCATCCATAGTTATTTTACTTTTATCCTTTTCAAAAGATGTTTTTTATAATCAGCTATAGGACTCTGACAGGTGCTCTTGAATGCAAGTTTCTGATAACTATGGAGACTGTGACAGTAGAACAGAGGAAAAACTTCCAAGACTCCCATGGAGAGCTGAAATGTTCATGAATATCAAACAGAACAGGGATTAACTGCATGGACTGAACTAATAGAAGACTGAAATAATCCTTTTATGATTTTTGCTTAAAACACTGCTTATCTGGCCGGGCACGGTGGCTCACACCTGTAATCCCTGCACTTTGGGTGGCCCAGGCGGGCGGATCACCTGAGGTCAGGAGTTTGAGACCAGCCTGGCCAACATGGCAAAACCCCATCTCTACTAAAAATACAAAAATTAGCTGGGCGTGGTGGCACATGCCTGTAATCCCAGCTACTTGGGAGGCTAAGGCAGAAGAATCACTTGAATCCGGGAGGCAGATGTTGCAGTGAGCCAAGATCGCACCACTGCACTTCAGCCTGGGTGACAGAGTGAAACTCCATCTCAAAAAAAAAAAAAAAGACTGGGTACAGTGGCTCATGCCTGTAATCCCAGCACTTTGGGAGGCCAAGGTGGGCGGATCACCTGAGGTCGGGAGTTCAAGACCAGCCTGACCAACACGGAGAAACCCCATCTCTGCTAAAAATACAAAACTAGCCGGGCATGATGGCACATGCATGTAATCCCAGCTACTAGGGAGGCTGAGGTAGGAGAATCGCTTGAACCTGGGAGGCGGAGGTTGCGGTGAGCCGAGATTGCGCCATTGCACTCCAGCCTGGGCAACAAGAGTGAAACTTCGTCTCAAAAAAAAAAAAAATTGCTTATCTTTTGTTTTTTGGAGCCAAGAAAACTTTCTTTTTCTCTTTTTTTTTTTTTTTTTTTTTTTTTTGAGACACTCTTCCTCTGTCACCCAAGCTGGAGTGCAGTGGTGCGATCTCGGCTCACTGCAACCTCCGCCTAGCAGGTTCAAGCGACTCTCATGCCTCAGCCTCCCAAGTAGCTGGGAGTACGGGTGCACCACCTCACCCAGCTAATTTTTGTTTTTTTGTTTTTTTCGTTTTTTGTTTTGAGACGGAGTCTTGCTATGTCGCCCAGGCTGGAGTGCAGTGGCGCGATCTCGGCTCACTGCAAGCTCCGCCTCCCAGGTTCATGCCATTCTCTCGCCTCAGCCTCCCCAGTAGCTGGGACTACAGGCACACACCACCATGCCTGGCTAATTTTGTTTTTGTATTTTTAGTAGAGATGGGGTTTCACTGTGTTAGCCAGAATGGTCTCAATCTCCTGACCTCGTGAGCCGCCCGCCTCTGCCTCCCAAAGTGCTGGGATTACAGGCGTAAGCCACAATGCCGGCCAATTTTTGTATTTTTATTAGAGCTGGGGTTTTGCCATGTTGCCCAGGCTGGTCTCGAACTCCTAGCTTCAAGTGATCCGCCTGCCTCAGCCTCCCAAAGTTCTGGGATTACAGGCATGAGCCACCCCACCTGGCCCTGTTTTGAGCTATTTGCAGCTTTTAACAATTGAGTAAAGTGTACTGCTATAAACAAAATTTGGAACATATTTCTCTCTACCTGATTTTTTCCAAATTTGGAAACTATTTGTGAGTATTCTTAACTTACGCTATATATTTATTTGCGTAAGTGCAATAAGAATCTGTTTTCTTTTGTAACAGGACACAGTTGGAGACACTGGTTACTTTATCAAGGCTTTGACTGGAATGGCATGCTTTCAGACAGAAACACACTCCTTTAAGGAATCAAAGTTGACTTATACAGCCAATAAAGCCCCTAAGGAAAACTGGCACCTTGTCTATACAGTACCTGTACAGGGTTCCTGACCTGTGGTAAGTAAAGAATGCCATTTTCTGACAGGCTTAGGAGCCCCAAGTTATCTTGGGACCTCAAGAGTAGACAAATTTACCCAAACTCACATAGGTATTAATATTTGACTGCACAAACTCAGGGCTGGGCTCGAGGCTTTAAAAAAGTCTTATCTGAGATTCCTTATAAAACAAAATTCCATAAAAGCCAATTACAAAAAGATCCTATGTGGTAAATAGTTATTCTTGCTGCACTTTATACAAATAATCAGGCCAAGCATAAGACTAAAGCTTATTTTTGCAGACAAATCAATCCTACCATGATTTGTCTTTTGTGAAAATGGGGACTAGAGAGACAGAAATTATGTTTCAAGATAAACTATAGTACACTTGTTATTAGATTCTAGTCTTGCCTAATGTTTTTCAATTTTTATTATTTTCTACAGTTTGGACTGAATTCTAAATTTGTCCTGGCTACAAGTCTCCAAAATGCTTTCCTTTTTTTTTTTCCTTCTTTCTTTTCCTTTTTTCCCCTATTTTCTCTGATTTGAAATCACTGAAAATTAAGCTGTGCTTTCTTAAAGCCCTGTGAACTGAAGCTAGACAACTTAAACTTCAGAACAAAATAGCAGCAACCTATTTACATACATAAGCCACTTTCATACCTGCCTACCAATGTATGGACTTCAGGGTAATATGGCCTATATCAGTTTTCCAGGATTGTTCTTTTTGTTGTTGTTGTTCGGTTGTTGTTGTTTTTCTCCCTTCCTCCCCCTATTTTCTCTTCGTAGGACATGAGCCTTCACAGCCTGCTAAAAATGATCTTTCTTAATAACGTGGGACCTACCCCTCTAGGAATAAACCATCCTACCAATGAGAGATCAGATGAAACCTGAGACCAGAGCCTTATTTTCTTTTTCTTCTTTTTTCTTTTCTTTTTCTTTTCTTTTTTTTTTTAAGACAGAGTCTGGCTCTTGTCACCCAGGCTGGAGTGCAGTGGCACGATCTCGGCTCATTGCAGCCTCTGCCTCCTGGGTTCCAGCAATTCTTCTGCCTCAGCCTCCCAGGTAACTGGGATTACAGGTGTGTGCCACATATACAGGCTAATTTTTGTATTTTTAGTAGAGACAGAGTTTCACCATGTTGGCCAGGCTAGTCTCAAATTCTTGACCTCAGGTGATCCGCCCCCTTAGCCTCCCAAAGTCCTGGGATTACAGGCAGGAGCCACCGCGCCCGGCCCAGAGTCTCATTTTCTTCTAAAATGCTTTCTCCGAAAGATTTTAAAAAGAAAAGGAGGCCGGGCGCAGTGGCCAGGTGCACTAAGGCATAAGTGACTATTTCCTCTACCCTTCTTTCATATATATTAATGAATTGTGTATTTAGTGAAAAGCTAATCAGAAACTCAAAGGAATGCAATCGTTCGTCTCTGATCTACCTAGGACCTGGAAGCCCCCTCCCTGCTTCGAGTTGTCCCACCTTTCTGGACCAAATCAATGTATATCTTACAAGTACTGATCGATGTCTCATGTCTCCCTAAAACGTATAAAACCAAGCTGTGCCCCAACCACCTTTGGCACATGTCATCAGGACCTCCTGAGGCTGTGTCACAGGCATGTCCTTAACCTTGGCAAAATAAACTTTCTTTTTTTTTTTTGAGCGGAGTTTTGCTCTTGTTGCCCAAGCTGGAGTGCAATGGTGCAATCTCGGCCCACTGCAACCTCTGCCTCACGGATTCAAGCGATTTTCCTGCCTCAGCCTCCCAAGTAGCTGGGATTAACAGGCGTGCACCACTACACCCGGCTAATTTTTTGTATCTTTAGTAGAAACGGAGTTTCACCATGTTGGCCAAGCTGATCTTGAACTCCTAACCTCAGGTGATCCACCCACCTCAGCAGGTGTCATGGCGCTGGCCAGGTAAAGGCCCATTTGCATAATAAAAGATTAAGGTGGGATGGCCAGTCTCTTCTCAGGCTATGCAAATAGAACACCTGGTCAAACCAATTCCCGGGGTCCTATGTAAATCAAACACTGCCTTGTCAAGCCTGTCTGTAAAATCAACCGCGTCTTGCCCCAAGCCCGGAAGCCCACTTGGGCACCCCCTTACTCTGAACAAGGAAGCTCTCTCTTCTTTCTTTTGCCTATTAAACTGTCCACTCTTAAATCCACTCTGTGTGCACGCTTGTGTGTGTGTCTCCACGTCTTTGTTCTCAACGAACCTCGGGTATTTCCCCAGACAATGACACCGCTTCAACTATACAAGCACCCTCCCTCTAGGCCCAGGGACTGTCATGGAAGAGGCAGATAACGTGAGATTGTAAGGGCCAGTTTTGAGGGATAGAATTTGGTCAAGGTCAGACTCTCCAAATCAAGGATGGGTACAAAGATGCCTAAACAGCTGGTAAAACAAGGGACTTAGCCTTCTAAGCTATTATGTGTCACCTTTGCATCCACTCCAACCGTAAATAATTTCCTGCTTCCTGTGAAATTAGAAGAAAAAAATTACTGATAGGATAATGATACCTCATAGCAAAGCCTTCTGGGTATAATACTCCCAGTTATGAGTTGTGCAGATTTTTTTTTTTTTTTTTTTGAGGCAGAGTCTTGCTCTGTTGCCCAGGCTGGAGTGCAGTGGCGTGATCTCGACTCACTGCAAGCTCCGCCTCCCGGGTTCACGCCATTCTCCTGCCTCAGCCTGCTGAGTAGCTAGGACTACAGGTATGTGCCATCATGCCTGGCTAATTTTTGTATTTTTAGTAGAGACAGAATTTTTCCATGTTGGCCAGGCTGGTCTCAAACTCATGAGCTCAAGTGATCCACCTGCCTTGGCCTCCCAAAGTGCTGCGATTACAGGGGTTAACCATCACACACAGCCAAGATATATATTTCAGATTTTTTTTTTTTGTCGCAACAATGCTTATGTTTTGTATAGCTAATTGCTATAAGCCTGTAACTAAAACCAAGATTATAGTAGTTTAGCTGGGCGCAGTGGCTCATGCCTGTAATCCCAGCACTTTGGGAGGCTGAGGTGGGTGGATCACTTGGTCAGGAATTCAAGACCAGCCTGACCAACATGGTGAAACCCCATCTCTACTAAAAATACAAAAATTATCTGGGTGTGGTAGTGCATGCCTGTGGTCCCAGCTACTCGAGAGGCTGAGGCAGGAGAATTGCTGGAACCCCGGAGGCACAGGTTGCAGTATGCTGAGATCGCACCACTGCACTCTAGCCTGGGCAACAGAGTGAGACTCCATCTCAAAAAAAAAAAAAAAAGATTATAGTAGTTCAACATACAGAAGTTAAAAATAAGTCAGTTTTGTAACCTCACCTTTAGCTTTTGTTTGTTGGCTTTCTACTTAAAAATAATAATAACATTAATAATAATTTTAAGGAGTAATGAATGCTTGTTCATGTCCATTCATATCTGGCCTAAAACAATTAATTGGCTGTAAGACTTGTTGGTTCTAAGTCCCTTAGCCATAGGGAGTCCCACTGAGGGACAGGATGGACCCAGGGCAAGCAGCCATGCCACCCCAGCAATGCTATGGGAGAAAATTAAAATCTGGTGGCCATTAATGTTGCCTCTGGCAAATCTTGGCCAGAATGGGGAGAATGCAAACCAAAAATAAAATTTGGGCCGGGTGCAGTGGCTCATGCCTGTAATCCCAGCACTTTGGGAGGCCAAGGCGGGAGGATCACAAGGTCATGAGATCGAGACCATCCTGGCCAACATGGTGAAACCCCATCTCTATTAAAAATACAAAAATTAGCTGGGCATGGTGGCTCATGCCTGTAATCCCAGCTATTTGGGATGCTGAGGCAGGAGAATCGCTTGAACCAGTGAGCCGAGGTCACTCCACTGCACTCTAGCCTGGTGACAGACTGGCAAGACTCCGTCTCAAAAAAAAAAAAAAAAAGAATAAATAAATAAAATTTGACAACCATCAGATGTTGAAAACTTGAAACCATCTGAATGGACTTCCTTCTTGGCCAGGGCACTCTAAAATTTAACCTGAAAGACTGGTTCAGGCCATGATGGGAAGTTGGGGTTGCACATGCCTCACTATATCCCTCCAGCGTTAACATCAACACAGACCTTAAGTCTGATAGGAAACATTTACAATCTATTTTCTCTGAAACCTGCTATCCAGAGGCTTCATCTGCATGGTAAAAGCTTGATCTCCACAACCCCTTATCTTAACCAAGATATTCCTTTCTACTGATAATAACTCTTTCAACACATCACCAATCAGAATATGTTTAAATCTGGCCAGGCGCGGTGGCTGACACCTGTAATCCCAGCACTTTGGGAGGCCAAGACAGGCGGATCACATGAGGTCAGGAGTTCAATACTGGCCTGGCCAGCATGATGAAACCCTGTCTCTACTAAAAATACAAAAATTAGCTGGACGTGGTGGCACGCACCTGTAGTCCCAGCTATTCAGAAGGCCGAGGCACGAGAATCACCTGAATGCAGGAGGCGGGTATCACAGTGAGTCAAGATTGTGCCACTGCATTCCAACCTGGGCAACAGAGCAAGACTGTGTCTCTGAAAAAAAAAAAAAAAAATTGAATTTAGAGAAACTCTTCTGTAAATGGTTTTCAAACGTTAGATTTATTCAAAGTGAGAGTCACTAGAAGATTTTACTTACCCGTCTAATCTTTCCAGATCCTTCTGTCTTCCATCCCTATTCACCTGGGAGGAGGAGCTGAAGGTGCCCCACCCCCTTTTGCTCATTTCTTCGCCAAAAAATGCAAATTCTCTGACAACATGTAAACAGCCCAGGATCTGCTGCTAGTACAACCTGCATAAACCAAGTGCCTCTATTCCCTGACTGGGCAGGCCCCTACCCCAGTACTACCTCCATTCGATTGGACTCCAGTTCTGACTGAGGCCTCCATGTAGAGGCAGAGCTCAGTTTTGAAGGAGCCTCAATGTTGGGGGGACCTTCTTATTGAGGAAGCTGGAAGAGAGCTATTTTAGCTATCTTTTTCTTTTTTTATTTTTATTTTTAAATTTATTTTATCATTATTATTATTATTATTATTATTATTATTATTATTATTATTATTATTTGAGACAGAGTTTTACTCTTGTTGCCCAGGCTGGAGTGCATTGGTATGATCTCAGCTCACTGCACCCTCTGCCTCCCAGGTTCAAGCGATTCTCCTGCATCAGCCTCCCAAGTAGCTGGGATTATAGGCACCCACCACCACACCCGGCTAATTATGTATTTTTAGTAGAGATGAGGTTTCACCATGTTGGTCAGGCTGGTCTTGAACTCCTAACCTCAGGTAATCCATCTGCTTCAGCCTCCCAAAGTGCTGGTATTGCAGGCATAAGCCACCACGCCTGGCCATAGCTATCTTTTTCAAGTCCCCTTGTGGCAGGAAGGTGTCTATCCTGGTGCAGGCCCACAGGTGGACTCCCCTACAAGAGGCTGTCTTCACTCCCCAGCCTGCTGACCATGAGCCAAGGCCACCCAGGGTGGGGCAGAGAAAGAAGTGGGAAAGTCGGATATCCCATCCACCAACTTAGCCCAGCCAGCCCGAAACCAGAAAGCCCCATCAATGCTATCAGTTTCCCCTGCCTACGCCTGCTGGTGGCCTGGGTTTGAAACTCTGAGCAGGGCAGCTCAGGGCTTGTCCCAAGGTCAGGCAGGCCTGCGGATGAGCCCAGGCCCTGCCACCTTTGAACTGGTGATCTAGCAGGAGTCATACCACCTCTCCCCGCTGCAGTGTTCTCAGTTGTAAAATAATCGTAATAATATGCCTGCCATGATAGAGGAGGGGAGATTCCATGAGCTCTTCATTAGTGTCAGAGCTTGATGTTGAGCTGACACTTAATATGAACTATGTGACTTCATACTTCCCCTGCTCCGATGATCTGGCCCACACCTCTCTGCCTCTGCTTCCACTGCTCTGCCCTGCTCTCCCTGCTCCAACCACATTGAGCTTCTTGCTGTTCCTTGAATAAGAATGTGCCAGCCACTCTCTCATCTCAGGACTCTTGCACCGGCTGTTGTCCCAGTGTCCCCATGGCTCTATCTGTCACTTCCATCAGGACTTTGTTCAAACATCAGCTTCTCAGTATAGCCTTCTCTGACAACCCTACTTACAAATGTCTGCCCACTCCTTCCCTTTCCCTGCTTTATTTTCCTGTGGTGACTTAACACCATCTGATGCACTGGACCTGTTATCTTCTCCCCATGAGAATGTCCACTCCAGAGACAGATGTGACTGTGCCCCTGCACCCAGCAGAGGGCCCAGATAGAGTGGGGTGCAATAAACATTTGGTGAATAAATAAATGACTCATTCCAACATTGCTCATAGATTGCAATGGAATCTGTGATGCACAGGACTGGTTCTTGGCTGGAGAGAAGGCGAAGGGATTAAGGTAATGAAGGAAAGCTGCTCTATAGGAGATAAGCTTTGGAGCACAGTGAGGGGTGCAGATGGACAGGAGAGAAGAGAAAGGGTGGTTCGGGTGCAGGGCACAGACTAGGAAAAGGTCTGGTAACAGGACTGAACATGTGGTGTCTGGGGAGTGGGACAAAGCAGATGAGGACCAGGAGTAGGGCCAGACTGGAAGGGCACATGTAGGCAAGGTCCCTGGGGATCCGCCTCAAAGGGTCAGGAGGCACATGTCCCCTCCTAGGACTGAGATGAGCCAAAAGAGACCCCCCACAGATGGGGCTATTGCACTAGGCCCACCTGTTGTGGGAGTGACCCCACCTGTTGTGGGAGTGACCCCTGCAGAGTGCCCCTTTCCATGGAGTCCCATGGCAATTCTGGGCCTCAGTGGTACCCACTGTGGAACTAGTGTGCCCCTGTGGGTCAGCTTTCTCTAAAGGCAGGCCACACCCCAGAGTGAGGAGAGGTCTAATGGGATTATAGCCTTCAGCCTGGCCGAGCCCTGCTCCTCCATCCAATCGCAGGGGCTACTCTGGCAAAGCTCACACTGGTGGAGACAGGAAGTCCCCCTGCATAAGCATCCAGCTTGGACCTGTCCTCCCACATTGCAGGCAGTGGATGGCATGACTGGCGCTGCCATGCGATTCCTGGAGACAGTGATTCAATGGACCCATGGGTCCCTGGGACCAGTTTCCAAGCAGTGTGAGAACACATAGCTGGCCAGTAGCCACACTCACCCCATCCACTCAAGTCAGATAGGGAAGCCTCTGTGTGCTGAGTTCTTCTACCCACACCCAATGAGCATGACCCATGCCCCTCCTCCACTACTGCAGAATACCCCTTTGAGAGATGCCAGGCCTCTGTTTCACATCATCCAAGGAGAGGAGAAGGAGCTGGGGCAAAAGATCCCACAATATCGAAGGCCCCCACCTTGGCCTTGCACACATGGGCTGACAGCGAGGCGCAAACACTCCTATGAGGTCTGAACTCAACACTAAGAACCTTTCCAGTAGATCATGCAGACAGAGCTTCAGAGCAGCGGTTCTCAGCCCCAGCTGCTGTTCAGAACCCCTGCAGGTGGAGCTCAGACACTCGCATTTTATAAAAGCTCCCCAGGTGAGTCCAGTGGGTACCCAAGGCTGAGAACTGCTGCTTCTAGACCAGCATTGACCACAAGAGTTTTCTGGGAGGATGGAAATATTCTATCTATCTGGGTTATCCATAATGGTAGCCACTGGTCACATGTGATTACTGAACACTTGAAATGTGGCTAGTGTGAGTGAGGAACTGAATTTTAAATTTTATTGAATTTTAATTAATTCCTGTGCTATATGTGGCTAGTGGCTACTGTATGGCCAGTGCAGTTCTAGACTATAGACCGGCTCTGTGGCTGTGGGCAAGTCACTGAGCCTCTCAGACTTCAGTCTCCCAGTGAGGCCATGGGGGGGCATGAGGCCCAGTCCACAGTAGCTGTGGCAACCCTTTGTCCCTGTGCCCCACTGCCTAGCTGAGGGAGTTTTGGAGACAACCCAACCCCAGGGACCTGAGGCAAAACAGAAGGATGCAGGCCACAGAGCTGTCCTCAGAGCATTTGGGGAGAGAAGATGGGGCCAGATGCCCAAGAGGCCAGATCATGGGATTTCCCTCTTCCATTGAGCCCTGAATTGTGCTGTGAACCAGCCCAGAACAGTGCCAGAAAGAAAATAACTGACAACTTTCACCTACTGCAGAGTCACCCTATACCAAAGGCCACATGAGTCTTAACCACAACCCACAACAAGGAGCAGTGCATTTTACTGATGGAGAAACTGAGGCACAGAGTTAGTAAGTGAGAAGCCAGGATTAAAACCAAGCCTGTCTGTCTGCAAACCTGAACCATTAATCCTAATGCATCCATGAAGAAGGACTAAAAACTCTGAAATAGTTCAAGCCCCAGAGGAACTTAAGAGGGCCTCAAGATTTTCACCCCAACAGCAGAGATGGGGGCCAAAACTGTCCCAAAGTAGCCAAACCCATACCAGAAAATCCTTTATTGTCTCATATTTCATCTTTCATCTTTTTTTTGTGTGTGTGTGGCAAGGTCTCACTCTGTCACCCAGGCTGGAGTGCATTGGTGCGATCTTGGCTCACTGCAACCTCCGCATCCTGGGTTCAAGCAATTCTCCTGCCTCAGCCTCCCAAGTAGTAGGGATTACAGGTCCATGCCACTACACCTGCTAATTGTTTTTTTTTTGTTGTTGTTGTTGTTGTTGTTTTTGTATTTTTGGTAGAGACGGGGTTTCACCATGTTGGCCAGGCTGGTCTTGAACTAGTGATCCGCCAGCCTCGGCCTCCCAAAGTGCTGGGATTACAGGCGTGAGCCACCATGCCCGGCCTGTCTTGTAGTCCATCTTAAACAATAAGTAAGTTTAGCATCTATTTCATAGTGCAGCTGCGTCTTTTTTTTTTTTTTTAAGAGAAAAGGTCTCACTGTGTTGTCCAGGCTGGAGTACAGTGGCTATTCACAGGCGTGATCATAGCACACTACAGCCTCAAACTCCTGGGCTCAAGTGATCCTCCTGCCTCACCCTCCCAAGTTATCTGGGACTACAGGTATATGCCATTGCACCAGGCACAACAGCCTCTTTTTAATATCAAATTAATGTTTTAATGATGGACTAGTTAACTCCAAGTTAGGCTGATACTCAGGAACATGCACTATTTATGCTTTTATGGTTTCATGTCCTCCTCTCCATGAGTTTGAGAAGCAGGGTCACAGCTGGTCATTAAATGGGGCAAGCCAGTCAGGTCCAGGCCCATAGGGGGCTTTGAGCACAGGGTTTCCAGAATCTAGGGAAGAGCTGGTATAAATGCCCATTGCCAGGCCTGTCAGAGTCTGATTTGGTGGGTATGGGTGGGGCCAGGAGTCTGTATTTGTAACATGTCCCTTCAGTGAAAAAAACAGCTCTGCCTTGCCCTCAAGGAGCAAGGGGACTGTCACCTGGCTATGATGCCCTGGCCAGGGACACAAGACTAGACAAGTCCCAACTCTGACCCCAGCTTGCTGGAGCCCTTCTGGTTTCAATGAATGGATGTGGTTAGGGGCCTCCCTGGAGGAAGCGCCTGGAGGCCTCCTTCGCCTCCCCTTCCTCATCATGGCACACTGGCCTCCTCACTGCCCTCCCACAAGCCAAGCTCAGGCCCTCCTCAGGGCCTTTGCACAGCTATTCCCTCTGCTTGGGCTGCTCATCCGCCGTGTCATCATTCTGCTGGCTCATGATATTTCAGGCCTCAGCCTGAACGTCACCTCAGAGTCGCATCCTCTGACCCCGCCCCAGCACCCTCTCATGCCTCTCTGCTCCTCACTCCTGACATGTTGTGAGTTTATCATTCATTTCCCCTATGACTATGAGCTCCCTGAAAGCAGGGACCACACCCTGCTGGTCACCGGTGAATGTGGAACACTTGGCCCTGGCCTGGCACGAAGAAAGATCACTCAGATTTGTCTGATGAATCAATCCCCAAAACCAGTGAGCCTGAGTGCACCAGGGAATCCCTCCCACCATCTCCAGCGATGCTTCCACTCAGGGACTTTCTGTAGGGTGAAGAACAGGGGATTCAATTCCACAAGTGTTCGGGGAATGCCAGCTGTGTGCCGGGGCCTGTGGTGGGGTCACCAGGCTCTAATGGAGTGGCAGGTGTATACCAGCCCCTGAGCCTGCCTCAGCGGGAGAAGCAGGTGACTAGCACCAGAGTCCTTGCTCCAAGGAAGCCAGAGAGGAAAAGGACCACCAAGCAGGTTGAGCTCAGGGAGTGTCCTCACGGGGGTTCAAGCCCAGCACCAGGGGTGCCCCTCGGGTGGCAGGATCAGGGGTTTCTGAGAAGAGGAGGAGAAAGCATTTGGTGTGTTGAGGGGGTATTGAAAGACAAGCAGGTATTCCACAGTGACGTGGGTGCCCCAGACCGTGGAAGGGCAAGTGTGGGACAGAAGAGATGCACAGCTTTTTGGGGCTGAGACAGGCAGTAGCAGGCCCGTCTGGTGCAGACTCACTTCCGCTGCCTCCTGCCCATCAGCTCCCTTACCTCTCAGGGACTGTCCTGCTCCCCACAACCCAGCTCAGCTGCAAGGAAACGAGGGGGTCATTCAGGTGACAAAGGCCCCCTCTGATGAGTCATCCTTGGGTCTCAGGTAAGCCTAACCCCCACAAGTCACTCACACACTCAGTGCCAGAGCAGCCACCCTGTGCAGGGGCGAGACTGATCCCCAGAGAGGAGGGGCCTTGTCTTCTGGTCCTGGACGAGCACAAAATGGACTCGGACAGATGTGGGGTGATTGTACTTGTCAGCCTCCCTGGGGATCACTGTGTGCTCCCTCACGCAAAGCCCCTCTATGGTTCCCCATGCTCCTGGGATGAGGTCAGACTCTCCATTGCCTGCCTGCCCCACCACCTCTTCAGCCTCGCCTTGCACCCCGCCCCACCAGGATCACCCCATGGGCCAGACCTTTCCAGCCCATTACCTGCTCTAAGCTGTTCCCTCTACCTGGGAGGCTCCTGTGTCTGGGATCTTTTTGAAAAATCCTGCCCCCAACGTTGGTTCAGATATCCTGACCTCCCATATGCTGCCTCTCCTCTGGATCCCACAACCCCACTCCAGGGCTCTGGCTGCTCAGCCTCCCCCAGGCCAGCTCCTCCTCCACTGTGGCTACAGGAGCCAGATCTTAATCCAGCTGAGGATCCCTGTTGTCCTGGAGGGAGGGTCCTGTCAGTTCACTCTGCTGCCCTCTTTATCATATGTGATGGATGAGGGCGTGTGCACCTGTGTCTGCATGCATGGCTGAAAGGGCGTGCATGTCTGTGTATGTGAGTGTCTGTGTGCATGCACAGGTATGCGAGTGGGGGTACAGCTGTGTCTGTGTGTCCATGGCTGCGCCTCTGTGTGCACACGTGTGGGTGTGTTTGACTGTATCTGTATGTGCATCTCTGAATCTGTGTGTGCATGGCTATGTCTCTGAGTGCTGTGTGTGGTTCATGTGTGTGTGCCTATGTGAGACTCTGTGCATGATCCTGCGCCTGTGTATCTTGGTTTGGGTTCCTCTAGAAGCCAACCCTGGGAAAGGATTCAAGAATAATTGTAATTCATTTATCTGGGAGGTGATTCTAGGCAACAACCGGAGGGGGCGTTATGAAGCAAGTGACTTCTGTGGGAGAGCCGGGCTCAATCCTGCTGGAGAGCTGTGGGACAGGCTGCAGAACATGCCAGGGTCACCCCAGCTGAGGCATGAGGGAGTCGAGAGGTTTTTCCACCCATTCTTAGCAGCCCTGGTTGAGACCTGGCATTTCCTGTCTGCCCTACACACAGGCCTCAAGGCCCCCTGGGCAAAGAAAGCCCTCAGGCACAGGGTCTCCAGTACTGGCAGCTGGAAGTCAGGCTTGTGTCACCCAGATTTGTCTGACAAATCAATGGTGACACATTTTTTTTGTCCGACAAAAAAATGGTGAGTGGGAGGGGCCCAGGCGCAAAGTCAACACAAGCCTCTCCACCGTGTGTCCATGTTTATGTGTATGCGCTGTGCCCCGTCATGCCACCTGGACGCAGGGACTCCAGTGACCTCTCCTTGCACAAGCCTCTGCTGGTTTGGGAAAGATTGGCATGACATCAGCCAAGCTCTGGCCTTGCCTTTTTTCCCTCCCGGAACCCGGCTGGCTCAAGATCTGAGCCGTGGATCTGCACCCACTTTGGGGAGTTCCTGCCCTTGGGCTAGAGTAGAGGCCAAGAGTCAAAGTGTGGTGGGGGCTGAGGCAGCAGGATCGCTTGAGCCCAGGAGTTCAAGGTTAGAGTTATGTTTGCATCACTGCATTCCAGCCTGGGTAAGAGAGCGAGACCCTGCCTCAAAAAAAAAAGAGTGGTGGGGGTAGGGACAGGGAGATGAGGAAGGCCCTACAGTGGAGAAAGCACCAGGACCAGAACCCAGCCCTCCCTTGTCTGAATCTTGCTGCCCACAGGAGCCTGGACAGTGACCAGGGAAGGTTCGAATGCCACACAGGTGAGCTTGGCCTCTGCTCTGTAGGCAGTGGGAAGTGCTGGGAGTTGGGCATTCCTGTGAGGCGCATAGTCAACATTGTGAGTAGGGCTGGATGTCGAGCTGTGAGAGGGAAACTAGAAGCTGGAACATCTACAGGAGGCTTTTAAGAGAAGCAGAGCGGCCAGGTGCAGTGGCTGACACCTGTAATCCCAGCACTTTGGGTGGCCGAGGGGGTCAGAACACTTGAGGTCAGGAGTTCGAGACCAGGGTGACCAATGTGGTGAAACCCCATCTCTACTAAAAATACAAAAAAATTAGCCGTGTGTGGTGCTGCATGCCTGTAGTCCCTGCTACTCAGGAGGCTGAGGCAGGAGAATTGCTTGAACCCAGGAGGCGGAGGTTGTAGTGAGCCAAGATCGAGCCACTGCACTCCAGCCTGGGTGACAGAGCAAGACTCTGTCCCCAAAAAAAAAAAAAAATGGAGCAGAGCTGGGCAGATTGCGCAAAGCCCTAAGTGTGAGAGGTGACTAGCCCAGGGCCAAAAGGGGTGTGACTGGGATGACACTGGCAGGGGGTTAGTTCTCCTCTTTGGGGAGGGGTAGTGGCCAGTTACCACTGTCTCAGCAAGGTTTAGAAATTCAGGAGCTATGGGACAGGGCCAATGACAAGGGGCCAAAGAATGGGGAAAGGGGGAGCTGCCAGGTCTCACTGGGAAGATCTAATGGTTATTGGGCCAAGGGGAGTGGAAGGGGTTACAAAGAAAGTGTGAGAATAAATTGGGGAGGGTGTCAAGGAGCAGCAAGGACAATAAGGAGGAGGCTGGGGTGACACTGGAGCACCCTCAACAAAGAGGGAGCATGGAGGCTGCCAGGCCTGGAGACCTGAGGAGCAGCAGGCAGAAGGGGGCCCAGCCCCAGGGAGATGGTGACAGCACAGAGATGCAGCAGGGGCACTGGGCAGTGCCAGGCTGTGAGGCACCAGAATATCCAAATGCACAGTTGGGAGCAGTATCAAGGACTAAGGCAGCTGTGGGGTTTAGGGAGACAGTGAGAGGCACCCCCGAAGCCTACTGGGGCAGAGCAGGAAGGAGCTGGGGCTGGAGCCTGGGGAAGCCAGGACCCTGGGGGAGTCTTTAGGAGCTAGCACGGAAGGCTTGGGGTCTCCCCTGAGGTTTACAGGGCGGGGTGCTGTAGAGGGTCAGGGGATGGGATCAAGAGAGAGGGTGACAGGTCAAGGGGGTCCATAGGGGTGAGCTGAGCTCATGGGCTTAGAGTTGCGTAGATAGACTCTAATCCCAGGTGCAACATTAGCTTGCTGTGTAACCCTAGGCAAGATCTTGAACTCTCTGAGCTGCAGTTGCCTCATGTGAAATGAAGATTGTAACTGAAGCCAGGTGTATCATTTTCCAAGAACTGGGTGGCTCGAAACAACAGAAATGTATTGTCTTACAATTCTGGAGACTGAAAGTCAGAAATCAAGGTGTTGCCAGAGCCATTCTCCTTCCAAAGGCCCCAGGGGAGGACCCTTCCTTGACTCTTCCAGCTTCTGGTAGCCCCAGGAGCTCCTTGGATTGTGGCAGCATTACTCCAATCTCTGCCTCCTTCTTCACATGGCTGTCTTTTTTTTTTTTTTTATTTTTTTTCAGTATAGGGTCTCGCTCTGTCACCCAGGCTGGAGTGCAGTAGTGCAATCTTGGCTCATTGTAGCCTCCACCTTCTGGGCTCAAGCGATTCTCTCGCCTCAGCCTCTCGAGTGGCTGGGATTACAGGCATGCGCCACCATGCCCAGCTAATTTTGTTTTTTTTCTTTTTTTTGAGATGGAGTTTTGCTCTTGTTGCCCAGGTTGGAGTGCAATGACGTGATCTCGGCTCACCGCAACCTCTGCCTCCTGGATTCAAGCAAGTCTCCTGCCTCAGCCTCCCAAGTAGCTGGGATTACAGGCATGCACCACCACCCCGACTAATTTTTTTGTATTTTTAGTAGAGATGGGGTCTCTCCATGTTGGTCAGGCTGGTCTTCAACTCCTAACCTCAGGTTATCTGCCCACCTCCGCCTCCCAAAGTGCTGGGATTATAGGCATGAGCCACTGAGCCCGGCCAAATTTTTGTATTTTTTAGTAGAAGCGAGGTTTCACCATGTTGACCAGGCTGGTCTCAAACTCTTGACCTCAAGTAATCTACCCGCCTCAGCCTCCCAAAGTGCTGGGATTACGGGCATGAGCCACAACGTCCAGCCTATAGTAGATTGATTTATAATCCTTTATACTCGGTAATGGGATTGCTGGGTCAAATGGTATTTTTGGTCCTTGAGGAACCACCACATTGTCTCCCACAATGGCTGAACTAATTTACACTCCCATCACCAGTGTAAAAGCGTTCCTATTTCTCCACATCCTCTCCAGCATCTGTCCTTTCCTGACTTTTTAATGATCGCCATTCTAACCGGCGTGAGATGAAAAGAAAATTTCAGGCCAATATCCCTGATGAACATCGATGCAAAAATCCTCAATAAAATACTGGCAAACTGAATCCAGCAGCACATTAAAAAGCTTATCCACCACGATCAACTCGGCTTCATCCCTGGGATGCAAGGCTGGTTCAACATACGCAAATCAATAAACGTAATCCATCACATAAACAGAACCAACAACAAAAACCACATGATTATCTCAACAGATGCAGAAAAGGCCTTCAATAAAATTCAACACCCCTTCATGCTAAAAACTCTCAATAAACTAGGTATTGATGGTATCTCAAAATAATAAGAGCTATTTATGACAAACCCACAGCCAATATCATACTGAATGGGCAAAAGCTGGAAGCATTCCCTTTGAAAACCAGCACAAGACAAAGATGCTCTCTCTCACTCACCACCTCTATTCAACACAGTATTGGAAGTTCTGGCCAGGGCAATCAGGTGAGAGAAAGAAATAAAGGGTATTCAAATAGGAAGACAGGAAGTCAAATTGTCTCTGTTTGCAAATGACCTGATTGTATATTTAGAAAACCCCACTGTCGAAGGGCATGGTGGCTAAGGCCTGTAATCCCAGCACTTTGGGAGGCTGAGGTGGGCAGATCACAAGGTCAGGAGATTGAGACCATCCTGGCGAACACGGTGAAACCCCGTCTCTACTAAAAATACAAAAAAATTAGCCGGGCATGGTGGCGGGCGCCTATAGTCCCAGCTACTTGGGAGGCTGAAGCAGGAGAATGGCATGAACCCGAGGGCGGAGCTTGCAGTGAGCAGAGATTGCGCCACTGCACTCCAGCCTGGGTGACAGAGTGAGACTCCATCTCAAAAAAAAAAAGAAAACCCCACCGTCTCAGCCCAAAATCTCCTTAAGCAACTTCAGCAGTCTCAGGATACAAAATCAATGTACAAAAATCACAAGCATTCCTATACACCAAAAATAGACAGAGAGCCAAATCATGAGTGAACTCCCATTCACAATTGCTACAAAGAGAATAAAATACCTAGGAATACAGCTAACAAGGGATGTGAAGGACCTCTTCAAGGAGAACTACAAACCACTGCTCAAGGAAAGGAGAGGACACGAACAAATGGAAAAACTCTTTTTAATTTAATAACAGCTGCAAAGCACCTATTTCCAAATAAGGTCATATTCACAGGTACTGGATGTTAGGATTTGAATATATCTTTACAACAACCCTAGGGCGTAGGGTTGCTGTAAGGATTTAACCACAGGCCTAGAACATGGTAAACTCTCAATAAATGGTAGCTTTAAAAAGAAGGGCAGGCTAAGGGAGGCTGAGGGAGCTCAGGCTGGCAGACTTTCCCTGCATGTGTCCACATACTCACACACGCACAGGAGGCAAAGGACCACCCATGGAATCCACCCAGGAGGGCCAGGACAGGGGACTCAGGGGCCTCAGCCTGCACTCACCTGCTCAGCAGAGCTGAGCTCAGGGCATAACGTCAGCTTCCTGGGCAGAAGAGCTGCCAAAATCAAAGCTTTGCTAGTCAGAAAATTCCTTGGGAATGTTGAGCAAGGCCACCACTGACATCATGTGCAAATTCGCAGACAGCCTCTGCACCTAAGGCTACTCAGACCCACAGCCTTGGCTCGATGGGGTGGCAGACTCTGTATGCCACCAGCACACCCACCCACAGGGCAGAGGGGTCAGGACATAGAATCAGACAGGCCCCAGGGACCCCAGTGAAGATTATAGGCAGCCATTCCCCACTCAACAGAGGAGAAGGTCAGAGCCAAGTCTGACATTCCCCCATCCCCTCTCCATAACACCCATGCATCTGGCAGTCAGACAGGCCTAAGCTAAACCTTTCCCCCCCAGCTACCCACCAGGGTCATCCCCAAGCCAGGTCAGGGCCAATGGAGGTTGGGGTGGAGAAGACAGGCTTGGCCCTATTTCCTGCCCAACTCAGAACCTTCTGGTTTCTGCCACAGGATGCCTTGCAAGCTTATCGGGGTCACTGTGGGCAGCTGGGTGAGCTAAGTTCATCTGTGCTGCCGTGACCTCTGTGCAGATGCATCAAGAACACAGAGTGCTCCGGGGTTAGGATGAGGGCAGCGCTGATAAGGTTCATGGAACCAGTGACAGAGCACACAGCTGCCCACAGAGTCACTCCCCTGTGCCCCAGCCTGGACACCTCAGCTCCCTCTCAACCCCTTCCCGAGGTGCTAGATGTATATGGGACCAGAAAGCCCCCTCTGTGTCCTCCTGTGTGAGAGCCCAGCTGCTTAGGTGTTTGTGACTCTGGGCACCTGTGGGCCTGAGATTATGTGTATCTGAGAGATATTCAGGGCGTGCATCTATGAATGTGACCAACAGGCTGCCCTGCCAGGGCAGGCAGGGGTACAAGAGTAGGGGTGGAGGAATTGGGGGATGGGAACAGGTTGCCCCACCAACATCTGGGGCAGGACCATTATGGGCAGAAGGGAGCAAAGGCCTGAGGTGCTCTTGAGGATTTGCAGGGTGGGTTTAAGGGACAGAAAAGTGAGTTGTGAGTGAATGTCAAAGAGGTCGGTGGGCCTTGTGGACTCCTGTAAGAACTTGGCTTCTACCTTGAGTGACAGTGAGCCCTGGGGGTGCTTTGAGCAGAGAAGGAACTTCACGCAGCTTAGCTTTTAAAAGATCACTCTGGCTGCTCTGAGATAGATCAGTGGTTTTCCAAGTGTGGTCCAACAGCAGCACCTGAGAACTTGCAGAAATGCAGATTCTCAGGCGCCCTGCTAAATCAGGACACCAGGGGCAGGGCACAGAGATGGCGTCACAGGAGCCCTCCAGGGATGGCTTATACCCCTCCAGCAGCCTTGCTGCAGGGCTCCTGGAGAACTCCAACCCCACCAGACCCCACCAGATAGCTGCTATGAGCAGAATGAGTTCTGTGGTCAGCTGCATGTGGGAAATGAGGCTCCTGCACTCACACCCCCTAAGTTCTCTCAACACACAGCTTTTTTTTTGTTTTTTCTCTCTTTTTTGAGACTGAGTCTTGCTCTGTCACCCAGGCTGGAGTACAGTAGCGCCATCTTGGCTCACTGCAACCTCTGCCTCCCAGGTTCAAGCGATTCTCCTGCCTCAGCCTCCTGAGTAGCTGGGATTACAGGCGCCCGCCATCACATGCTCAGCTAATTTTTGTATTTTTAGTAGAGATGGGTTTCACCATGTTGGCCAGGCTGGTCTTGAACTCCTGACCTTAGGCGATCCACCCACCTCGGCCTCCCAAAGCGCTGGGATTACAGGCTTGAGCCACCAAGCCCAGCCTAAACACACTGCCTTTTAAAGCTTCTCCAAATCCCACGAAAAAGAAACCAGGTCACCTTTGCTCAGGCCAAGTGAATTATATAATACCCTTTCTTAACTTACTTGACTATGGAATATTTTTTCCAGAGACCACTTCATGAACATAGACCACACTGAAAAATGCTACTTCAGGTACATTTTGGTTTATTTCTCCAGGCTCCTACACTGCGCCTAACACAGAGTGACCACCCAACAACTGCCCTTTGAAAAATGCATGAAGCTCCCCCATGGTGACCCTGATGAAATTCAGGTGATTTATAAACCAACTGACCTTCCCCCAAGCTCTGGAAGGACTTGGCTTCAGCACCTCATACACTGACTCCCTGGGCTCCCCTGGGAGTCCAGGGGTCTGGAGGTTCCAAGCACAAGAAGGGGAAGAGGGAGGGGTTGCCGCCTTGGCTTTCACGGAACAATGACCTCTCTGGTGCTCAGGGTCCCCACCCTGCCTGAGCTCAGGGCCAAGTCACAAGGCAGCTTCCGTAGAAGACTTTTTTTTTTTTTTTTGCCCCGAGAACCCCCCACTCAGCCCAGATGATGTGTTGTTTGTAGAAAGCTTAAGTGGGTCCCAGGAGGTCAGTCCAGCCAGCACCTGCCTCCAGGCTGGGCAGCCACTCCTCTGGTCCTTGCACACAGCCGGGCATCAGGCCTGCCTCAGGGGCCCCTTTGAGGCCTCAAGAACAACTGAGCTCTCCTTTGTTCCCAAGGAAATCTCAGTGGAGGCCCTTTCATTAGTGAGAGGCACCTGGCCATGAAGTTCAAATAGACTCAGAAGCCCGAAGGTCCAGGAAATGCCAGAGGGGCCACAGAATCACAGCTTTCCTCATCACGGGTGCCAGAAGAGCCTTGAAACCACCAGGTCTATGCCTGTATTAACAGATGGAGAATATGTACAACTATTATACATCAATAACATTTTTTTTAAAAACAGGTGGAGAATCTGAGGTCCAGAAACAAGACATGACTGTTATGGTCACACAGCTTGGCTCTCATGCCCTTGGGATCTCCCTGGTCCACGCTCTGGTCAGTTTAATAGTTCTCAGGGGTGTACAGAGCCATCGGGACAGACCTGAGCAGGATGGCCACAGAGGAGGCAGGCAGAGGGAGGGCCAGTCAGGGGCTCTTGATAGTCCTGACTTCATCAGGAATGAGCGCAGGGGAAGGGATCACGATCCCAGGGAGCCAGGCTGCACTTGCGGTAGGGAGGTGGAGGTGAGGGGTGAAGCAGAGCAACCCTGCGGCCCTGCACAGCTCAGCCCGTGTGTGTGACCCTATGTATGATGACGTCCCAATCATGGCACACCATGGCTGCACATGTGTGCCTCTGTGACAAGGTCACAGCCCCCGAGGCACGCTGTGACTACACCATGTATCTAACTGTCACAAGGTGCTGCTATCCCTATGACCAGAGTGGTTGGCCATGTGGCCATGTGTGAAAGGGTGTTTGTGACCCTGGGCAGCTGTGGGCCTGGGATTCTGCATGTATTTGAGAGACCTTCAGGGTGTGCACGTAGGAATGTGACCAGCAGACCACGCTGCCAGACACTAGGCCCTAAGAACTTCCAAACTTGAAATGTCACTTCAGAGTGGCCAGCAGTCTTCTGTCTGCTAAGACACAGGCAGGCTGTGGAAAACTATTTTCTAGATGTTGTTACACAAATATAGAGTGAGAGCCCTTCTGCTGCACAGCTATGGTCATCTTCTGAGGTGGTGGTCAAGGAAGAGAGCGGGAGAGGGACCAGGAGGGGGAACGAGGGTCTGACTGCAGCCTCCACCCCAGCTGAGCTTCAAGGGGCTTCAGTTGACTCCTGACCACACCGTCCACAGACCAGGCTGAGATCAGAGGTGGCCTATCCCAGGGTGAGCTTAGGGAGAGCCATTGGAGAGGATGACATAGACACCCGGGAGGGCCCATGGGAGCTTGCGTATGCATGGGTGGCAGTGGAGTGGCAGAGTGTCGGGACATGGACACTTACAGATCTCCCCAAGGAAGGCTCCTGAAGATGCTCAACTGGGCCCCTAGTAAATGGCCTTGCTCCATTTCCCCTGGCCTTCTCCAGGCCATCTGCTGACCAGCCATCTGACCCTAGCTTTCCACACTCACCTCTTTGCTGACACAACCTGCCCACAAATGGCCCCATCTCTGGGCCCACAAACGGCCCTATCTCTGGGGCCTAAGGACCCACCCACACACACTCACTTGCACATAGTTCACAGATAATCCTCATTTATTTACCCACTCCATTCATTCATGCATTTATTCATATGTTCATTCATTCATTCAACAAATGCTCATTGGGTACCTCTTGTGAGCCACCAGCCCTGCTGAACTTCTCCAACTCCCCAGGTCAGAGAAATGAAGGCACAGTCCCAGTGGACCCCGGTGTGAGTAGCTCAGCAAAGAGGAACCTGGAGGCTGAGTGGGCTGATGGCCGTTAGCTAGGGGGAAGCACTGAGGGGTGTCACAACCAGGCCACTGCATCAAGCTGGATGGGCTTTGGAGATTGGGTAAACACTGTGGCTGCCTTCCCCCAACCCCAGGCTGGATCTGGCACCTAATGAGTCGGGGTTGAGTCCCAAGGCTTCAGAGCTGTCTTCTAATCCCAAAGCCTACAGAACAAGACCCATCCCTTGGATGGTTCTCAGGGCCCCCTCAGTTGGGCCCAGATTGCCTTAGCTGCCCCCATGCCCCCTTCCCACCAGCTACACCAGATAATGTAAGTTCCCTGAAGGCTTGGAGGACTATGGCCTTCCAGCTCCTCCGCATTGCCCCCTCCCAAGGGGGCCTGGAGCCCAGCTTCCAAGGCTCCCCATATCCCCCCAACTTCTCTGCCATGCCTCCTTGCTCACATTTCAGTCATGATAATAGTAATCATAATTAGATCTATCCAGCACCTCCTTGGCACTGGGCATGGATGGGTGATTATTTCCAACCCTCCCATATTCCAAAGCATAGTGGCCAGAGCTGGAGGTGACCAAGAGTGTTGCACTAGATCCCCCAGCCTGGGGCACTGGTCAGCTCCTGGCCTCCTCCACCCCAAATCATCGCCAGCTTGGCTCCTTCTCCTTCAGGACTCACCCTAAACATCCTCTCCTCAGAGAGGCCTCTCCAAGCCTCCAAACAGAGCAGCCACTGTCCTTGTCACTCAGAGCACCATGTGAGCTCTCACCCTCACAAGATTATGTGTCTGGATGGCGTGTCCTTCTGGACATCTGTCTCCCCCACCAAAGTGTCCACTCCGCGAGAATAGGGACTACATCTACCTTGTTCATAGCTGCCATCCCGGAACCTAGTTCAACACTAGGCAAACAGTAGGTACACAGTAAGTATTTGCTGAATAAAAAAAGCCTATTGATCCATTTCCTGGAAGCTGCCTCACTCCATCAAGGATCTGAGGCCACTCACAAGAACACACTCAATTCAAGAGGAGAGAAAAAGAAAAAAAAACATAAAGTTGGAATAAAAGATTCTGACCTGGCCGGGCGCGGTGGCTCACCCCTGTAATCCCAGCACTTTGGGAGGCCGAGACGGGGATCACGAGGTCAGGAGATCAAGACCATCCTGGCTAACGTGGTAAAACCCCGTCTCTACTAAAAATACACACACAAAAAATAATTAGCTGGGCATGGTGTGGGGCGCCTGTAGTCCCAGCTGCTCGGGAAGCTGAGGCAGGAGAATGGTGTGAACCCGGGAGGCGGAGCTTGCAGTGAGCCGAGATCGTGCTACTACACTCCAGCCTGGGCAACAGAGAGAGACTCCGTCTCAAAAAAAAAAAAAAGATTCTGACATTTGACCTGGTGGTTTTGTTTCTTCTTTTTTTTTTTTTGAGATGGAGGAGTTTCACTCTGTCACCCAGGCTGGAGCACAATGGCGTGATCTCGGCTCACTGCAACTTCCGCCACCCGGGTTCAAGCAATTCTCCTGCCTCAGCCTCCAGAGTAGCTGGGATTATAGGCGACTACCATCATGCCTGGCTAATTTTTGTATTTTTAGTAGAGACACGGTTTCACCATGTTGACCAGGCTGCGTTTTGTTTCTAAATACCCCACAGAAGTCCTCACCCCACATAAGGAAGCAGGTTCAAGGACACTGATAGGAGTAACCCATTGGAAACTACCAAATGAACAGTAAGAGGCTAGACAAGTGAATCATGGTGCATCAGCACAGCGGAATACTATGCGGCTGTCAAAAAGGATGCAGCCCTCTTCAAGGTGTAGTATTCAATGCAAAAAGCAAGGAGCAAACAAGAAAGACTTTTTTATATGTTCAGTGCTGGACTTGTAGTAGGTGAGCAACTGATAAATGTTGAATGAATAAGTAGAATCTTTCTGAAAAGACCTATGAGAACTCAGGAGCAGTGGTTGTGTATGGAAAGAGACCTGGATAAGGGAAATCTCTTTTACTCTGTTACACTATTTGCATTATCATATGCAAATATCTATTCAAATAAATAAGCTTTTGTTATTTAAAAAACCATTAAAATTCAAAGTGCTCATATAAAAATCTGGATGTGATTAGGCCAGGCCTAGTGGCTCACGCCTGTAATTCCAGCACTTTGGGAGGCCAAGGTGGGAGGATCACCTGAGGCCAGGGCCTGGCAACATAATGAGACCCCATCTCTACAAAAAAATTAAAAATTAGCCAGGCATGGTGGTGCGCATCTGAGTCCCAGCCACTCAGGAGGCTGAGGCTAGAGGATCACTTGAGTTCAGGAGGTGGAGGCTGCAGTGAGCCATGATTGTATCACCACACTCCATCCTGGGGGAGAGAGCGAGACCATGTCTCTTAAAAAAAAAATCTGGCTATGAGTCTCTTCTAGAAATACAAGAAGAAGCCCTGGACACACCAGGCCCTGTTTCTAGGGATAACAATGGCCAGAGCTGAAATGTGTCTGTCCTTCAGCCCAGGAGTCCAAGGTGCCCACTGTCCTCACCTATCTGGACCCTACAGGCCTCTGCACTGCTGATCCCAGGTCTATGCTGAAAAGCTAAGGCTTATTAGGTCTGCAGAGTGAGGAGCAGGGCTGAAAAGGCTTCCCCAAGATAAGGGGTTGTTACTTAGCTCTCCTTTGCTGATTTCACTCTCAACTCCAAAGGCCCCATCAAGGCCATGACAATTCTAAGGCAGGTGAATGTTGGTGTTGACATCACAAGCCTGCTAATCTTGCATAAGAATCTGTTAACTCAGTGTCAGTGGGGACTCAATGGCCTTTGGTCTCACTTCCCATACCAGGGCCTGAGGGTTTTAATTAAATTCAAAGGCAAGCCCTGGAGAGAGGATGCCACCAGTAGCCCCTTGGGCAGCTTGGTCCGAGGGTCTTGACAAGGAGGTGGATGACAAGGTGAGGACCCAGTGATTGAGGTGCAGCTGCAGGTAGGCAGGCCAGCTTACATCCTGACTCCAGCTCCGAAACTTTGAACAAGTCACCTTCCCAATGCTCAGTTCCCTCATCTGTAACCCACAGCTAATATTACCTGCATGCTGTTTCCAGGAACAGGTGCCTCTACCAATCACAGCAGCAGCGTCTCACTGACCTTTCCACTCATTGAGTGGAAAGTATGTCAGGGTTCTCCAGATAAACAGAACCAATAGGAGAGAGAGAGAGATGGATTTTAAGGAATTGGGTCACATGATCGTGGATGCTGATAAGCTGGAACTTGGTAGGGCAGGCTGGCTGGCTTGAAACTCAGACAATATCTCTACTTTACATCTTGTGACAGAACTTCTCCTTTTCCAGGAAACCTTGGTTTTTGCTCTGAAGGCCTTCGGTTGATTGATTGAGGCCCACATTACTGGTGATAATCTCCTTTACTTAAAGTCAACTGGTTTTAGATATTAATTGCACGTACAAAATACCTTCCCAGCAACATCTAGACTAGGTTTTTTGTTTGTTTGTTTGTTTTGTTTTGTTTTGTTGTTGTTGTTGTTGTTTTTGAGATGGAGTTTCACTATCGCTGAGGCTGGAGTGCAGTGGCTTGATCTTGGCTCACTGCAACCCCCGCCTCCCGGGTTCAAGTGATCCTCCTGCCTCAGCCTCCAGAGTAGCTGGGATTACAGGCACATGCCACCATGCCCAGCTAATTTTTGTATTTTTAGTAGAGATGGGGTTTCACCATGTTGGCCAGGGCCTCGGCCTCCCAAAGTGCTGGGATTACAGGCATGAGCCACCGCACCTGGCCTAGACTAGTATTTAATAAAACAATGGGCACCATAGCCTTGCCAAGTTGACACACAGCATTTAGCCAGTATAGAAAATATCACTCCCTTTCTGTGCATGAGGAAACTGAAGCTCAGAAAGGCTGTGCCAACTGCTTAAGGACATAGAGCACACAGAGGATGGAACGGGGAGTCGAACCCAGGCAGCGCACTGCCTCCACACTCTGAGAATGGGGCTGCAGGTAGCTGCTTCACAGGGGGCCTATGAGAGTTGAAACACACAGTACTTGGTACCACACTACAGTAGAGACACAATTCAATTTGGTAGTGACTGTTATTACTACTACTGTTAACACAGATCATTCAATAAGGGGGTGGCTGTGGGAGCAGGGAGAGGAGACAGGGAGGAGGGGGCTGCTGTTCCCCACCATTGGAGATGGGTTTTAGGGTGACAGAAAACCCTTTCCTCTTTCCAGAAGGGCCCGCTTTCCTCCTTCTAGGAACCTCCAAGGAGAGAGCCAAGGAGGGTGGGAGGCCTCTGCCAGGCTGTGGGCCCTGGGTGCTGTGCAACTGGGCCCAGAGCAGCTGGCCAGGTCCAGGGGAGAGAGTGAGCAGTGTCCACCAGTGTGTGGGGTCTGGAAGGAGTCCTGCCTTCTGAGGATGTGGCTGGTTGCCCAGAAGTTCCCGGAAGTGGGCAACCTCTCCTGAGTTGGGTGGCCGGCAGCTGGCCAGAGCCTTGGCCAGCCTCCTTGGCTAAGTGCTCCCATCTGCCTGCCCGAACTAGTCCTGTCACCCAGAAACAGAGAAATGCCTCCCCTGAGACCCAAGACCCTTGAAGCTGCCCCAGCCTCATTCCTCCCAGCTTCTTCACCCCGCCCCCACAGGGTGGAGTGCTGGACCAGAAGCCAGAAGGGCCAGGAGGTCAGCCACTCTCCCCACTTGCTGGCTGTATGACCTTGTGCAACTTAACCATTCTGAGCCTCTGTTCCTTGTATGGGACTGACATCTGTAGGGTGCACTGTGTGGGGGGTCTGGGGTTGTGCACTTAATCACAGAGCCAGGTCAAACATTTGCACACAGCGGCTGCTGCTACCATCTTTGCTCAGCAGATTCTCATGCTCCCTGGCCTTCTCCTTACTGGCCCTGCCCAGCCGATCCACATTCACTCTCTTCTCACTCCTCCTCCCCTTTGTTCCAGCTCCCTTGTGTCCGGGCAGAAGGGGTGCTGGGTAGGCCTTTAAATGCCAACAGGGCCAGAGAGAAATAAGGTCCCTGAATTGGTGGATAATTGCACTGTTGATTATGGCGAGATTCTAATGTCTCCCGGCCTGGATCTGCCACCCCCCACCCCCGCCCCGTTCTCTTGACTTCAGCCTCCCTGTCTTCCTCCATGCTCCTTCTCCATATCAGGCTCCCTCTAGCCTTCACTGGGGGCCCCTCAGCCTGGTCGCTCTGTCCTAGGTGGCATCTGCTTGACACCAGGGTGCAGCCCTGAGGTGGGTCCCCCTTCCCATCCCGCCATTCTCTAATCCAGCACCCTTGTCCACACTGGTCACAGACTGCTACGGCTTCTTTGCTGATGTCTGTCTGCCCAGCAGCTCAGGAGGACAGGGAGGGAGGCTTCCCCGCACTGCACATCCTCATCCCGCCAAGCCCCTGCATGTGGATCAGGCAGACCAGGGCCCCTTGAAGGTGATGAGGCAGGGGCAGGCACAGCCGGCCATAGGAGAGGGCTCAGCCTGTGCCTGCCCCTGCCCCATTATCTTCAAGGGGCCCTGATCTGCCTGATCCACATGCAGGGGCTTGGGGGGAAGATGACAAGCATGGAGGAATCCACCTCTGGGCTAGTCCCTTCCAGGAGGCCCCTTATAGCTAGCCTGATCCTTCCCCTAGCCACTGACCCCAGACCCTCCTCCAGAAGCTGTGAGTGTAGTGTGGAAGACATAGAAATCAGGACACCTGGGTCCCCCTACAGCCCAACATCACTTTCTGTGTGACCTCGAGCAAGTCCTCTCCCCTCTCTGAGTCTTAGTCTCCCTGGCTGTAAAATGGCTTAGGGCTGGGAACACACACTGATGCCTACAAGGCCAGGGAGGTGTCGCTGCTTGGACATTACATTCCTCAGGGTTGGGGACGCACTGAAGGGAGAGCTGATAGAGAAGTGGAGAGAGCACACCCTGCCTGGGCTAGCCCAGGGGCTCCAGGTCTACTGATTCCTCAAAAGAAGCTGAACATCTGAGGCTTGATGAGAAAATTCCTGCTGGTTAAATGTTGACAATGCATTCACATTTTATTATAAAACAAGAATGCCGGGCGCAGTGGCTCACGCCTGTAATCCCAGCGCTTTGGGAGGCCGAGGTGGGCGGATCACGAGGTCAGGAGATTGAGACCCTCCTGGCTAACATGGTGAAACCCCGTCTCTACTAAAAATACAAAAAATTAGCCGGGCATGGTGGTGGACGCCTGTAGTCCCAGCTACTTGGGAGGCTGAGGCAGGAGGATGGCATGAACCCGGGAGGCGGAGCTTGCGGTGAGCCAAGATTGTGCCACTGCACTCCAGCCTGGGCGACAGAGTGAGACTCTGTCTCAAAAAAAAAAACAAAAAACAAAAAACAAAACAAAACAAACAAACAAAAACTACGTGGGCCACACAGAACTTATCTGGGCCACAGTTTGTGGGTGCTAGGCTGGAGGGCTGGGTTCAGGGGTCCTCTGGGGCTCTCTGGGCATTTTCTGCTCTCTAGGATGGGGGCTGCTGCTCCCTGCAAAGCCCCCCCACTCCAGACCTATCTCCTGAAGCATTTATTGGCTTTGCTCCACTCCAGCCCCTCTCTCTCTTCTCACAAACCAGAGCTCACCCCTTGCTCTGCAACCACAGTCTAACGGGATTCCAAAGACAGGGTTAGGACAAGGCCAGCGCCAGAGACCTCAGAACCCTTTTGCTCTGCCAACCCCGAAATTCCATCTCACATGGTGGCTCCTGGGCCCCATCATGGTAAACTGGAGCTCATGCCTCCAACTGTTCAGGGCAGAGCTGGGCTGTTTCCAGATCCTCTACCCACTGTGTGCGGCTGGCCCCCATCTACCACTGTATAGAAGGGCACTGACACCCCAAGGAGCAGCAGCAGCACAGGTTGGAGCTGTCCTATGTCCACCTGGGGTCTCTTTGAGAAGGATGCAAGATTTCTTGCTTGACTGACAGATGTGGAAACTGAGGCCCAGAAGAAAGCAGCAGGTTTGCCAAGACTGTGCTACCTCACCTTCTTGGAGGAGTGCTACTACAAATAGTTCCTGGGAGAAGGGGTCCTGGTGATGAGTGCTGCGTTCTCTCCCTGAGTCCACTCGCCCGCCTGCCACCCTCCACCGTCGCACCCTGCAAACCCACCCCTCTCCTGTGCTAGAACTTGCTAACACCAGTACCATGCCCTACCAATATCCATTGCTGACCCCGGAGCAGAAGGAGCTGTCTGACATGACTCATCGCATCGTAGCTCTGGGCAAGGGCATCCCGGCTGCAGATGAGTCCACTGGGAGCACTGCCAAGTGGCTGCAGTCCATTGGCACCGAGAATACCGAGGAGAACCGGTGCTTCTACCGCCAGCTGTGGCTGACAGCTGACAACCGCGTGAACCCCTGCATCAAGGGTGTCATCCTCTTCCATGAGACGCTGTACCAAAAGGCGGATGATGGGCGTCCCTTCCCCCAAGTTATCAAATCCAAGGGCAATGTTGTGAGCATCAAGGTAGACAAGGGGGTGGTACCCCTGGAAAGGGCAAATGGTGAGACCACCACCCAAGGGCTGGATGGGCTGTCTGAGCGCTGTGCCCCATACAAGAAGGATGGAGCCCACTTTGCCAAGTGGCATCATGTGCTGAAGATTGGGAAACACACCCCCTCAGCCCTCACCATCATTGAAAATGCCAACATCAGCTGGGCGCGGTGGCTCACGCCTGTAATCCCAGCACTCTGGGAGGCTGAGGTAGGTGGATCATCTGAGGTCAGGAGTTCGAGACCAGCCTGGCCAACATGGTGAAATCCCATCTCTACTAAAAACACAAAAATGAGCTAGGCGTGGTGGCACACACCTGTAGTCCCAGCTACTTGGGAGGCTGAGGCAGGAGAATCGCTTGAACCTGGGAGACAGAGGTCGCATGAGCTGAGATTGCACCACTGCACTCCAGCCTGGGTGACAGAGTGAGACGCCGTCTTGAAAGAAAAAGAAAGAAAAGAAAGAAAAAGAAAGAAAGAAAGAAAGAAAGAAAGAAAGAAAGAAAGAAAGAAAGAAAGAAAGAAAGAAAGAAAGAAAGAAAAGAAAGAGAAAATGCTAGTGTGTCAATGTCCTGGCCCACTATGCCAGCATCTGCCAGCAGAATGGCATTGTGCTCATCGTGGAGCCTGAGGATCCTCCCCAGTGGGGACCATGACTTGTAGTACTGCCAGTATGTAACCGAGAAGGTGTGGCTGCTCTACAAGGCTCTGAGTGACCATGACATCTACCTGGAAGGCACCTTGCTGAAGTCCAATATGGTCACCCCAGGCCATGCCTGCATCCAGAAGTTTTCTCATGAGGAGATTGCCATGGCAACTGTCACAAGCACTACACTCTGGGGAATAAGCGGCCTAGAAGGATCACAACTGGGCCAGAACAGGGCCCACCCAGACTCATCACTGAGGCAGGTGGGGTCATTCTCACTTCACAGACACAAAAACTAAGTGCTGCACTGCACAGTGTCCCCCACTGTCCCTGGGATCACCTTCCTGTCTGGAGGCCAGAGCAAGGAAGTGTCCATCAACCTCAATGCCATTAACAAGTGCCCCCTCCTGAAGCCCTGGGGCCTGACCTTCTCATATAGCTGAGCCCTGCAGGCCTCTGCCCTGAAGGCCTGGGGCAGGAAGAAGGAGAACCTGAAGGCTGTGCAGAAGGAGTATGTCAAGTGAGCCCTGGCAGATAGCCACGCCTGTCAAGGAAAGTATACTCCAAGCGGTCAGGCTGGGGCTGCTGCCAGTGAGTCCCTCTTCATCTTTAACCATGCCTAGTAAGCGGAGGTGTTCCCAGGCTGCCCCCCAACACCCCAGGCCCCATCCCCTCCCACGCTCTCTTGAAGAGGGGGACTCCTCTTCGGGGCTCCAGGCTGGCTTGCCCGCGCGCTTGCCTCCCTCGTGACAGCGGTGTGTGTTGTCTGTGAATGCTAACTCCATCACCCTTTCTAGCACATTGCTAATAAACAGCTATTTAAGGGAGAAAAAATAAAAATAAAAATAAAAATAGTTCCTGGGGCCCAGAATAAAAAGGGGGAATTCTAGGGGCTGGGGTTGACATTTTCCTTTTGCCTTGACCATTGGGTGGGTACTATGTGCAGCAGCCCCGGACGGTGATAGTGATGGTAATGATGACCATGATGCAGACTGGGTGGGAGGGAAAAAAGTCCCCAGCGTCATCCCTGGGATGGGGCCTGACCTTGCCTCAACTCCAGCTGCCCAGGGCCAGAGCGAGTGATAAGATGAGTTTATACTGTAGCTCTGAGAAGGAAGGGAGGGAGGGAGAAGGAGGGAAGGAGGGAAAAGGGAGGGAGGGGTAAGGGAGAGAGAAAAAGGGAGAGAAAGGGAAAAGAAGATGGGGAAGGAGGGAAGGACAAGGGAGGAGTGAGAGGCGAAGAAGGAGAAGGAAAAGAAGAAAAAGAAAGAAGAAGAGGAGGAGGGGGCGGAGGGGAGAAGAAGAGGCCCCGAAGGATCACAACTGGAGCAGAATAGTGCCCACCCAGACTCATCACTGAGGCAGATGGGGTCATTCTCATTTCACAGACACAAAAACTAAGATTTAAGGCATGAGGCAATTTGCTCAAGATCTCAGAGTTAGGACTAGAACTCATGGCTTATGCCTTGCTCTTCAAGGTCTCAAACCTTGAACCACTCAAGAAACATATTCCAAGATACCTCACCCTTACCTCATCAGAAAGGGGAGCTGGTTAAAATGCAGATTTCTGGGTCAAAATCAAAGGTGTGTGGCACAGGAATCTGCATTTTGACCGGTACCCTGGGGGTGGTTCTTTGGGCCCTGACACTGGGAAACCCCGTGGCTCATTTAGGGCCTTTCTGGTCTGACCTCTTGGCGTCAGGTCCTGACCATACTCCCGTTGCCCAGCTATTTGGGCTGACTCACGCTGACCCCCCAACCGCCACCCCCACAGGGCTGAGCCTTTTCCATCCAAGGCTTCACCCACAGTCTCCCAGTCGCATGTAGATCCACCCTTCCAACCAGCACCCGCTTCTCTTCTGGAAGCCTTCCTCGTGGTTGGGATCCTCCTCTTTCAGCGCCTGTTGGAGTAATAGCCTCCTCCTCTTCCTCCATCTGGAGTTGCTTACAACACTCTATTTCACTTTCCATGTGAGTCGGCCTTGTTTCCCAATCTTTCTCTATATTAAACAGGAAACTCCCAGAGGGCTAGGGACTGGCTGGTTTAAACAATAAGCCTCTGAAATACAGGACTTCACCTGACCCTCCTGCCAGCCACAAGTGGCAGGGCGGGAGAGCTTTACAAATCAGGAAACCAAGCCTTGAAGAGGTTGTGGCCTGCCCAAGTCTATGGCCAAGTAAGATTCAGAGCTGGGTTTGAAACCCATGCCCAACTCCACTATCCAGTTCTTTCTGCTTTGGCTTTGGCTCTGATCACCCCCAAAAAAACCCTATGAGGGCCAGGCGCAGTGGCTCAAGCCTATAATCCCAGAACTTTGGGAAGCTGAGGGTGATCACTTGAGGTCAGGAGTTCAAGACCAGCCTGGCCATCATGGTGAAACCCCATCTCTACTAAAAATACAAAAATTAGCTGGGCGTGGTGGTGTAATCCCAGCTGCTCAGGAGGCTGAGGCAGAAGAATCGCTTGAACCTGGGAGGCAGAGGTTGCAGTGAGCCGAGATTGTGCCACTGCACTCCGGCCTGGGCAACAGAGGGAGACTCTGTCTCAAACAAACAAACAAAATAACAACAACAACAAAAACAACCTGTGAGGCAGGCATTTCAGGGATTATGATCCTATTGCCCAGATAAGGAAAGCAAGGCCCAAAGATGAGCAAAGCACTCAATATCATCCTTATTCTGTTCCCACTTCCAGCTGCACTTGGGTCCAAGTCCAAGTGCTGACCTTTTCTCTCTCATCTTCTCTGGGTGATGGGCACTGCCCAGGATCTCTTGGCTGAATGGCACAGAACTGGGTCTCGAGCTCTCAGACCAAAGCCCTCATCCTGGACTGGTCCCACTGCCACTCTGAACCCAGGTGCCTCCTCTGAAGGTGGAGACTCACCTCACCTGCCTTGCAGCCAGCTGGGTGCTCAGAGACAGAAATGCAAAGTACCTGGACACACCCTGGTCACCATCATTCTGGACTTTGTCCCTCTTGTTAATGCTCAGCTGGGAAAGGAATACCCTCAAAGGCCCTTTCCTCAAGAATGGAGGAGAGTACCTCTGAGCCTGGCACAGGCCCAGCCCAACACAGCCCAAGCCAAGCTGGGAAGGGTGTGGGGCAAGGAAGCCAGACTGACATTCCTGAGACGGGTTTGCCAAGCCCTACACTTTATGTGTTGTACCCGGGAAACTCAATGGAGGTATGGCCCAACGCTGACCTTTGGCATGGAGGCCTAAGCCACCCTGCTGGTGCCCAGGGTGGCCAGCAAGGGGCTTCAGACAACCCTGGATGGAAAATAAAAATAGTGGCTAATATTTGTTACACGCTAACTATTGTCAGGCCCTGTGCCTTCCCCTCCTCCCCAAGTGCTCAGAGCTGTGGAGTGGATGGGTTCCACCCTAGCCCTGTTCCTCTGTCCCCTCTGGATCATCTTAGACCAGAAAGTGCCACAGCTGAGTGTCCCGCTTCTTCCGCATCCTGCCAGGACCACTCCATTTGTGGGCGATATAGCCAGCTCCACCTCCTCCGGGAAGCCCTTGTTCACAGTTTCCAAAGCAAGCCGCAGGCGGGATGGATCCTGCTTAACACCCCGGCCCAGAACCCCTTGGATCTCCTTCTTCCTCCATGTCCAAGACACCCAGCTTAACAACCCTGTAGCCCCCAACTTGGCCCTAGCGGCACCTCGCCTCGACCTTGCCATTTTATACTCAATTGGGGCGTAGGGTTCTGAAGCCCAGGGTAGTTGGTGGGGAGGCAGCACGAGGGTGCAGGATGAGGTCGGGAAAAGAGACCTCGTCCGCCCACCGCCTAGCGCTTCCTCCTCCCTGCAGGCGAGCCGGGGAATCCCCGGCAGCACCGATATCCGCAGAGCCCAAGAAGTGGGCCTCTCTGCCCCGCCCCCCCGGCTCGCCGAGGGCTACGCGGCGCGCCTGCGCAGAAGAAGGCAGCGCCCAAGGCGCATGCGCAGCGGTCACTCCCGCTGTATATTAAGGCGCCGGCGATCGCGGCCTGAGGCTGCTCCCGGACAAGGGCAACGAGCGTTTCGTTTGGACTTCTCGACTTGAGTGCCCGCCTCCTTCGCCGCCGCCTCTGCAGTCCTCAGCGCAGGTGAGGGCCCGCGCGGTAGGTGCGGCGCCGGCCGAGGAAGCCCCGGGGTGTCCTGCCAGCCGTGGCACCGCTGCCCCGGGTGCTGGGACCCCATCCCCCACTGTCCCAGTCACCCGCCGCCTTGAGGTCAGCGTTTATCCTCCAGATCTTTTGCCTAGACGGCCGCCTCAGTTTCCCCCTTTCGGCCCCTTCCGGCTATTCCCGGTTGAACCCGCCGCTTTAGAATTCCCTTCTCATACCCCTCCCGTCATTCTCGAGACCTCGACCGCGGGTCACCTCTGACCCCCACTGCCGGAGGACTGCCTTCTTTCTCCAGACTCAACTCCCTCGACTTTATAAGCCCCTGCGCGTCCCCAGTGAGGCCCAAGGCGCTGGCCCTCATACCCCTACCCTCATTTGTGCCCCTCCTTTCTCAGTTATGCCCAGTTCTTCCCGCTGTGGGGACACGACCACGGAGGAATCCTTGCTTCAGGGACTCGGGACCCTGCTGGACCCCTTCCTCGGGTTTAGGGGATGTGGGGACCAGGAGAAAGTCAGGATCCCTAAGAGTCTTCCCTGCCTGGATGGATGAGTGGCTTCTTCTCCACCTAGATGTAAGCCAAGATGTCTTATCTGCACTGTGCATCTCCCTAAGAAACCTCTGGCCTCCCAAACCTGTTCTTGACCTTTCCCTCATCCTTCCGCCCCCTTGATTATGTACTGTCAGTATTCATTTGGTGAAGTTGCTTTGCAGGTGCCTTTGTGTAGCGCTGGAGAATGAAGAAGTTGGTGACCCGGGTAAAGTGTGGTCACCATTCCTTAGCTCACATCAGTGCTGTCCTTAGGCATTTTTGAGGGAGAAGTGTTAGTATTCCAGGGTACCCTTTATATAAACTGCGGTTGACACCTGAATCCAGTGAGCTTGCAGTGATATTTGCCTGATTATTAACAACTGTTGATGTCACTCTTCATCAGTCTTTCCACAGGAGCCAGCATACTTCCTGAACATGGAGAGTGTTGTTCGCCGCTGCCCATTCTTATCCCGAGTCCCCCAGGCCTTTCTGCAGAAAGCAGGCAAATCTCTGTTGTTCTATGCCCAAAACTGCCCCAAGATGATGGAAGTTGGGGCCAAGCCAGCCCCTCGGGCATTGTCCACTGCAGCAGTACACTACCAACAGATCAAAGAAACCCCTCCGGCCAGTGAGAGTAAGTGTCATTGACAATGAAGGAGCAGGTATGGGTGTTTGTGCTCATTGGTAGACTAGAAGCAGTCCCCACAGTGGTGGTGAGGGTCACACTCACTCACAGAGGGCTGCTATGTGCAGGCTGGGCTCTGAGCACAGATTATCTCATATGATTGTCCCCCCAAGGGTAGGCACTTTTAGCTTTTCCATCTTTAAAGGTGAAACAGTGGCCAGTGTTGCACATTACAGGTTTTTGGATTGCACGTTAGTGTCTATAGGGGTTTTAGTGTTTCCTCAGTGCCTCGTTCACATAAATATTAAATTGGAATGTTCTAATTTCCCTCATTAAACATTTAGCCTTCTAATTTCCCTCATTAAACATTTGGCCTTCGGCTTTTTATTTATTTAATTTTTCTTTTTTGAGACTGAGTCTTGCTCTGTCGCCCAGGTTGGAGTGCAGTGATGCAGTCTCGGCTTACTGCAACCTCCACCTCCCAGGTTCAAGTGATTCTCCTGCCTCAGCCTTCCAAGTATCTGGAATTACAGGCATGCACCACCACGCCCAGATAATTTTTGTACTTTTAGTAGGGTTTCACCTTGTTGGTCCGGCTGGTCTCAAACTCCTGACCTCAAATGATCCACCTGCCTCAGCCTCCCAGAGTGCTGGGATTGCAGGCGTGAGCCACCGTGCCCGGCCCCTTTGGCTTTTTAAAGTAGTGATTTTTTTTTTCTTAAAAGTTTTTGTTCTGTTGTGGTAAAATGCCCAAGAAAAATTACCATTTTAAGCACTTAAAAATGTGCAGTTCAGTGGTACATTCATATTGTTGTGTCACCACCACCATCCATCTCCAGAACTTTTTTCATCTTCCCAAACTGAAATTCTATACCCATCAAACAGTAACTCTCCATTCCTCTCTCCCCAACCCCTGACAACCACCATTCTGCTTTCTGTCTCTATGAATTTGACTATTCTAGGTACCTCATATAAGTGAAATTGTACAGTATTTATTAGTGATTTTTAAAAACAAATTTATCTTGGCTGTGTGCAGTGGCTCACTCCTGTAATCCCAGCGCTTTGGGAGGCCGAGGTGGTTTGATCACCTGAGGCCAGGAGTTCGAGACCAGCCTGGCCACATGGTGAAACCCCACTGTTACAAAAAATACAAAATTAGCTGGATGTGGTGGTGTACGCCTGTAATCCCAGCTATTTGGGAGGCTGAGGCATGAGAATTGCTTGAACCCGGGAGGTAGAGGTTGCAGTGAGCTGAGATCATGCCATGTATCTTTATTTGTATATACATTTGTTGTTGTTGTTTTTAACAAAGAGACTAGAGTTGAATTTAGTTTGCTCTGCTTCTGATAGGAGAGAACAAAGCTTTTCAGGTTCCACTTAATCCCAGAGAATATTTTACAGGTTTTTCTTAGGCGTGTTCTCTGGGTGTGGGCTTGTAAGAAAATAAGTTTTTTTTTTCTTTAAGCAGAAAGGATTTAATCCTTTGTAGGGTTTATTTTCAAGAGTTAGTTACGTCTTTTTTACCAAAATGCTTGCAATGGCTATGTTTTAAATGATAGGATTTTTTTCTTTTTCTAGACTTTAATGAATATGTATTACTTTTATAATAAATGAAATTAACTTCAAAATAATTTTTTTGGCCTTCCGTTATAGAAGATTTTAATGAAAACTGTATTGAGACACTTTACCCAAGTTATAGGAAAGGCTAGCCAGTGACTCACAGGAGTGTTCCAGAATGATGAAGAAAGACTTTTCTAGAAAGAAGGTGAATGAATTTGCTCAAGGGGAGAGGGAAGTCACTGTAGCTAGAAGGATAATTACCAGCCAACGGTGTTTAGTCAGCAGACTTTGATGAATTTAGATGAGAAAGTAGATGAGGTATGTGAATGTGATATACCCCTATTTTTTCTTACTTTATTAGCAATCTAAAGACCTAAGTCTTAGTCTAATTTCTGTTGTTTAGATGAAAACCAATAGCTTTTATGTTAAGCAACAGCAAGCCTCTTTGTCAAGAATCTGTTTAGAAAATGTCAGCAGAGACAGGATGTGGTGGCTCATGCCTGTAATTCCAGCACTTTGGGAGGCTGAGGCGGGAGGACTGCTTGAGCCTAGGAGTTTGATAGAAGCTAGGGCCACATAACAAGACTCCGTCTCTACAAAAAATAAAAAATAAAAAGAATTAGCTGGGCGCAGTAGAACACCTGCAGTCCAAGCTACTTGGAGAGCTAAGGTGAGAGGATCACTTGAGCCTGGAGGTCAAAGCTGCAGTTAGCTATGATTGCACCATGCACTCTAGCCTGGTTGACAGAGTGAGATCCTGTTTCAAAAAAAAAGGAAAGGAAAATGTTAGCAGAGAAAAAAATGTGTGTGAATATTTCCCGTTACCTTACAGAGTGTGTCCTCTCATAAAATAAGCTGAGTGTAGTTGGGGTAGAAATTACTGGAAATGATCCAACTCAAGGATTCCGGGTTGTCTAAAACTAGAAAATGGTACTTTTTTTGGATTTATGACGAGAAATACTGTGGGTTTAAGAGGCAACTGGAATGTGCCAGTTAACTCTTCATAGACGCATTGTTTCCTGTGAAGCAGATGAAAAACTAGAGAGATTAGCAGAACCTAATAAAAATAAGCTTGTGGCTGAGTGCAGTGGTTCACGCCTATAATCCCAGCACTTTGGGAGGCCAAGGCAGGTGGATAACCTGAGGTCAGGAGTTCAAGACCAGCCTGGACAACATGGTGAAACCCCATCTCTACTAAAAATACACAAATTAGCCAGGCATGGTGGCACACACCTGTAACCCCAGCTACTTGGGAGGCTGAGGCATGAGAATCACTTGAACCCAGGAGGTGGAGGTTGTAGTGAGCCAAGATTGTGCCACTGTACTCCAACCTGGGGTACAGAGCAAGACTCCATCTTAAAAACAAAACAAAACAAAAAAAACACTTGTGTCTGGATGGTGGGGTACAGTAAGTATTAAGTTTATCTTTGAGGCAATAAAAGAAAGAAATAAGTGGTTTTCTTACATACTGTGCAACCAGATCTGATGCTTCACTTTTTCCATTTCCTCCCTCAGAAGACAAAACTGCTAAGGCCAAGGTCCAACAGACTCCTGATGGATCCCAGCAGAGTCCAGATGGCACACAGCTTCCGTCTGGACACCCCTTGCCTGCCACAAGCCAGGGCACTGCAAGCAAATGCCCTTTCCTGGCAGCACAGATGAATCAGAGAGGCAGCAGTGTCTTCTGCAAAGCCAGTCTTGAGCTTCAGGAGGATGTGCAGGAAATGAATGCCGTGAGGAAAGGTAAGAGATGAGTTGTGAACCATTAGTGGTAGTGAAGGGGTCCTTTTAGTTCTTTTGGGCCCTCAGATTTGTGTATGAGCTATTATTAGGGCAGTATTTATGGAAACACCTTCCTCTTTTAGGGCCAGAGAGGAAGGTCTTCAAGATAGACAGTCAAGGGACTGTATTGCGAAAGTGGGACTTTCTTTCTGGTGCGTGTGTGGGATGTGACCAGCTTTTATAGTTACTACTTAATTTCTGAAAATAACCTGCAGTCTTGAGCTGCCACCAGCTGCCTTTTGTCCCTTTGGTCTTTCCCATCATCTGCTAGGATAAAGATAGAAAATAATGGTTTTACTGCAGTAAGTGCTGGTCCTAGGGCTCCCAAGCCGTGTGTCTTACTGATGGTCATTGAATTGCAACCTTAACTCCACAATATATAGGTGTGGCTATATCTGCAGAGAACTCAAGGCTCCCCAAAAGCCTAACCAGCAGAAATTATGCATATGGCCAAAATTGTTTTCTATGAAGAAAATTGAGATTAGGACCAGGCCCAGTGGCTCACACCTATAATCCCAGCACTTTGGGAGGCCGAGGCAGGTGGATCACTTGAGGCCAGGAGTTTAAGACCAGCCAGGCCAACATGGGGAAACCCCATCCCTACCAAAAATACAAAGATTAGCTGGGCATGATGGCGCATGCCTATAGTCCCATCTTCTCAGGAGGTTGAGGAGGGAGGATCGCTTGAACCCAGGAGGCAGAGGTTGCAATGAGTCGAGATCGTGCCACTGCTCTCCAGCCTGGGTGACAGAATGGGACTCTGTCTCAAAAAAAAAAAAACAGAAAATTGAGATTAGGATTGGGGTGGGGATGTAGTGGAGTGAATAAGACATGCCAACCAGCAAGAAAGCTTTGGACTTTATTGTTCATTAAAGCTGGCCAGTAGCTCTGAAAACAACACCAAGAGTCTGCCATTACAGTAACTAAAATAGAAGAGATGCTTTGTACACTCAGTTATAACTAACTTTGGTTATGCTTGGCCTTTTTTGTGAACTAGGCCATAAGCCATTTTTGACAATATGTTTGGAAGATATTGTGAACTCAGAATAGAAAGTTGGTCCCATTTGTTTCTTGTTACTTTTGTTCCAGAGGTTGCTGAAACCTCAGCAGGCCCCAGTGTGGTTAGTGTGAAAACCGATGGAGGGGATCCCAGTGGACTGCTGAAGAACTTCCAGGACATCATGCAAAAGCAAAGACCAGAAAGAGTGTCTCATCTTCTTCAAGATAACTTGCCAAAATGTAAGTCTCATTGTTATTTGCCTGATGTAGAAAAGAATTTATAATTCAAATGTACATTAGATTAAATATAAAATTGCATGGTGAGGCTGGGCACAGTAGCTCATACCTGTAATCCCAGCACTTTGGGAGGCTGAAGCGGGAGAAGATCACTTGAGGCCAGGAGTTTGAGGCCAGCCTTGGCAACATAGCAAGACACTATCTCTACCAAAACAGTTTTTTTAATTAGCCAGGCATGATGGCTTGCATCTATAGTCCCAGCTACTCAGGAGGCTAAGGTAGGAAGATTGCTTAAGCCCAAGACTTCAAGGTTCAGTGAGCTATGATCACGCTATTGCACTCCAGCCTGAATGACAGACAGAGACTCAGTTTCTAGGAAAAACAAAAAAATGTATGGTGAGTTGAGGCTTGAAAGCCATATCCCTTGCTTGCGTGAGCAGGTGCTTTTGGTTGTGGTGACTACAGGTGCTGTTGGTAGCCTGCCTTCTGTCCTTTAATACTTACCGTCTACACATGGCACTGAGCCAAACACGACATACAGTCTTATTTACTTACAAGATGAGGACATCAAATAACCTGCCCAGGATCTCCCTCAGTTGCCAAGCTGAGACTTGTTGTATTTCACCAAAATGCAGCTGTGTTTCACAACCACCATTCTGTACTGTCTTTTGTTCAATTTTTAGCTGTTTCCACTTTTCAGTATGATCGTTTCTTTGAGAAAAAAATTGATGAGAAAAAGAATGACCACACCTATCGAGTTTTTAAAACTGTGAACCGGCGAGCACACATCTTCCCCATGGCAGATGACTATTCAGACTCCCTCATCACCAAAAAGCAAGTGTCAGTCTGGTGCAGTAATGACTACCTAGGAATGAGTCGCCACCCACGGGTGTGTGGGGCAGTTATGTAAGTAGCCCTTGGCTTTCAAATATTACTGTTGTTATTTGGCAAGCCAATGATGATGTATAGGGGTTGGATCTTTTATGGAGGGAACATTCAGTAGCTGAAAGTGTGCCATAGCAAAATACTATTCTTAGCTTCTGAAAAATATCTACAGATTACTTTTAAAGGAACTCTAATATGCAGGTAGCTGCTGGAGCCCCTTAACTTGTGAGGGTTCAAGCTTATAGGCTCAATGACCACACACGTCAGTCCACTTTCTATCACTCTGCAAGTGAGTGTGCCTTTAACACCAGGCAGTCTTTCACAGAGACATCCTTGGTTGTGGCTGTGAGTGGAGAAATACGAATCTAGCAGCGCTAGAGAAAAAGCTACTCCAAAAGACATGTTAAAAAGGATGGTAGATCCCATCACTCGTCCTTCAGGAGGCTCACCATCCTAGGGATGCTGGAGAGAGTTGCTGGCCAGATTCTCCAAAGGCTTGCTAAAGAGGGTCCCGGTTTGAGGTTTAATGATAGTGATATATCCAAACATTACATGACTGGCTTGCAGAGGGTAACCACCATCCAGGATGTCCCTCTAGAGTTTGCTTTTTCTTAAGCTAACATGTTATTGGAAAGAATAATGTTTCTCAGAAAATAAACCTTAGTTTCTTAGAAAAGAAACTCAGCTAATACCAAGCACTTACTGACTGTTAAATGAACACTTGTTCTTGATGATTCCTGGAGGTATCATCACCCTAGCATTGACACCTTCTCCCACCTAGTCTGAAGATGAAATCAGTTGAAATTTCTGACCCCAGGTTTCACAGTGAGAGAGTTGCTACATCAACATGTTTCAGTCTCCTGGATCCTAGAAAGGGGAAAAAATTCACATGGTGTTGAGAACCATGAGCTTTATTTTCTGGTTTTGTTTGTATTTTTAAACAGGGACACTTTGAAACAACATGGTGCTGGGGCAGGTGGTACTAGAAATATTTCTGGAACTAGTAAATTCCATGTGGACTTAGAGCGGGAGCTGGCAGACCTCCATGGGAAAGATGCCGCACTCTTGTTTTCCTCGTGCTTTGTGGCCAATGACTCAACCCTCTTCACCCTGGCTAAGATGATGCCAGGTAAGGAAGCCTGGCATGAGTGCCTTCGAGTTTTTTGGGTTTCTTAGTAATAACAAGAATATTGGCAACAAAGAAGCCTTACCAGAACCTCTCAATTGAAAATCATAATCCTATCTGGGCATTTGTTCTGGGGTCAAGCATGAAATGCTGACTGTACATTATGGGTTCCAGGAGAACGTGATACCAGTGAAAATTCAAACTTGAAACGTCTCATCCTTGAGCTAATTGCCTCAAATATGTTTTGTATTCTAAGATGATCCTTTGGAGAAGTCTCTTAATCATTTAGTTAGCTCTTGATTGAGTTTGGAGTGAGGCAGTCAGATTTAAGAGCAGATTAATGGCCTGCCACAAGGTTATTCTACACCTTTGGGCCTTCTCACAAGGGAAGCACTAACTAGTTATTTTGCCAGGAAGAAACTGGCACACAGTGTCTTTTTCCTACTAGGCATTTTCAAAGCATCATTTCCAAGGAAAAGTCTGTTGTCTTTCTCTAGGAAATAATTTGTCTTCGATGCACATGGCAATAAATAGCATTTTTGTTGTCTTAGGCTGTGAGATTTACTCTGATTCTGGGAACCATGCCTCCATGATCCAAGGGATTCGAAACAGCCGAGTGCCAAAGTACATCTTCCGCCACAATGATGTCAGCCACCTCAGAGAACTGCTGCAAAGATCTGACCCCTCAGTCCCCAAGATTGTGGCATTTGAAACTGTCCATTCAATGGATGGTAAGTGTGGATAGAGGTTCCTCTGAAACCTAAGATGAAAAACTATGCCTGAACTCTTTAAAAGTATGGTGTTTTGTTGTGTTTTTTAATTTTTTTTTTTTGTGACCGATCCTCGCTCTGTTGCCCAGGCAGGAGTGCAGTGGTGCGATCTCGACTCACTGCAAGCTCCGCCTCCCGGGTTCACGTCATTCTCCTGCCTCAGCCTCCCGAGTAGCTGGGACTACAGACACCTGCCACCACGCCTGGCTAATTTTTTTTTTTTTTTTTTTTGAGACGGAGTCTCCCTCTGTCACCCAGGCTGGAGTGCAGTGGCGTGATCTCGGCTCACTGCAAGCTCCACTTCCTGGGTTCACGCCATTCTCCTGCCTCAGCCTCCTGAGTAGCTGGGACTACAGGCGCCTGCCACCACGCCCAGCTAATTTTTTGTATTTTTAGTAGAGACAGGGTTTCACCATGTTAGCTAGGATGGTCTCGATCTACTGACCTTGTGATCTGCCCGCCTCAGCCTCCCAAAGAGCTGGAATTACAGGTGTGAGCCACCGCACCTGGCCTAACTTTTTGTATTTTTAGTAGACGGGGTTTCACTGTGTTAGTCAGGATGGTCTCAATCTCCTGACCTTGTGATCCGCCCACCTTGGCGTCCCAAAGTGCTGGGATTACAGGCGTGAGCCACCGCGCCTGGCCTGTTGTGTTTTTTAATTTTCTTTTCCTTTCTGCCAGGATTTTTTTTTTTCTTCTTCCAACTTTTAGGTTCAGTGGGTACATGTGCGGGTTTATTATATGGGTAAATTATGTGTCACAGGGTGTTGGTGTACCAATTATTTCATCACCTAGGTAGTAAGCATAGTACCCAATGGTAGTTTTTGATCTCACCCTCCTCCCACCCTCCACCCTCAAGTCGGTCCCTGGTGTCTGTTGTTCCCTTCTTTGTGTCCATGTGTTCTCAGTGTTTAGCTCCCACTTATAAGTGAGAGCGATATTTGGTTTTTCCGTTCCTGTATTAATTCACTTAGGATGGCCTCTAGCTCCATCCGTATTGCTGTAAAGGACATGGTCTCATTCTTTTTTTATTGCTGTGTAGTATTGCATTCTGCCAAGATTTGTAATTGGTGGACTTTTTTCTAATAGATTTGGGTGAAAGTGGATTTTCTATTCTGGCTTTTACTAGGCTCTGGGACCCCAGGTAACCTAGAAATTAGAGGAAGTTCATTTTCTTTCCAATATTGAAAATGATACCTTAGAATAGAAGTTTACGTTGTTCTGACTCTAACCAAAACAGAAATTTCTGAAGCGGCAAAAGCTCTTCAGAGCAGTCTCTGGTCTTTCCTCAGGGGCGGTGTGCCCACTGGAAGAGCTGTGTGATGTGGCCCATGAGTTTGGAGCAATCACCTTCGTGGATGAGGTCCACGCAGTGGGGCTTTATGGGGCTCGAGGCGGAGGGATTGGGGATCGGGATGGAGTCATGCCAAAAATGGACATCATTTCTGGAACACTTGGTATGTATACATTGTATTACATACACTAAAATTCCATTATCCTAACAAGGCCAAGGACTAACTAGTCTAACTGGGATCAGGTGAGGAGACAGCCTGACAGCATATGAAGCCTGGGCCACTCTTTCTTTTGGCCCAGCTTAGTGGAATCCCTTGGGTCATGGAGGCATGGCTCTTAGAATCAAAGTAAATCCCACAGCCTAACACACTGATAGACCATTTATTGCTATCTGAGCTCATTTCAGACATAGTTGTGGGTCTAGCCCCATGCCATGGCAAGAGCCTGTACTCTCTGTGCCTCAGGCTGTTCTTAATTAAAAAGAAAAAGGAATTCTAGTACTTTTCTCCTGGAGCACTTGTTAGGTTCAGGTGTTGTGAAGTGCTGAACTCCGTGCCTGCCACGTGGGAACATTCTAATTCATCCTGGTTTTCCTCTGCTCTTCCTCATACAGAGGCTATGTCTCGTGGTAGATGGGAGCTAGACTTTGGAGCCCTGCCACCTCACTAGTTGTGTGACCTTGAGTTGGTAGTTAACCTTTCTATACCTCAGTTTCATCATCAATATAATGGAGAAAACAATAGGACCTAAATCAAAATATATGTGGAGAAGGTAAATAAGTTGTATGCAAACAGTTATTATAAACATTCCCTCTGAGAACCTATGAGAACCCTAAAGAGACGAAAATTACATAAATTTGAAGAATTTTTGTAATTTTGAAGAATTTTTTTAAGCCTTCAGAAGTGGGTAAGGCAGTTGGAAACCCATCTAGCAGTTAGCTAAAATGCCAGTTTATAGCCTATGCTTGGTAAAGGAAGGGCAGGCTTTTTAAAAAGCGTCCTTCAGCACTGTCAAGGGGTATGAGAACCTAGTGCAGACCCAGAAAGCCTGGGAGTTCTAAGGGTGGAACCACTACCAGGAGAAAAACACCTGATCATGTGTCTTAATTCAAGAAGCTCTTTTCTTTTTTTTCTTTTTTTTCCGAGATGGAGTGTCACTCTGTTGCCCAGGCTGGAGTGCAGTGGCGCGATCTCAGCTCACTGCAAGCTCCACCTCCCAGGTTCATGCCATTCTACTGCCTCAGCCTCCCAAGTAGCTGGGACTACAGGCACCCGCCACCATGCCTGGCTAATTTTTTGTATTTGTAGTAGAGACGGGGTTTCACCGTGTTAGCCAGAATGTTCTCAATCTCCTGACCACGTGATCTGCCCGCCTCAGCCTCCCAAAGTGCTGGGATTACAGGCGTGAGCCACCACACCCGGCCAGAAGCTCTTTTCTTTTAAGGATGTCTCCTGATGTGGGCTCTTTGAAGGTATGGTCATTGTGAGATGGAAAAGGCTGGAGAGAGAAACTTTATACCATAGGAGATTGAACCAACCCAGCTTTGCATGTGGTTTTAGCAAAAACATTAATTATAGAATGTTATGTTAAGATCTATGAAGACTCTTCTGGAGTTCTTTTTGTTTTTTGAGACAGGCTCTCACTCTGTGCCCAGGTGTGATCACAGCTCATCTGCAGCCTCCACCTCCTGGGCTCAAGTGATCCTCCCACCTCAACCTCCTGAATAACTGAGACTACAGGTGTGCGCTAGCATGCCTGGCTAATTTTTGTATTTTTAGTAGAAACGGGGTTTCACCATGTTGGCCAGGCTGGTCTCTAACTCCTGAGCTCAAGTGATTTGCCCCCCTCGGCCTCCCAAAGTTCTGGGACTATAGGTGTGAGCCACTGCACCTGGCCTCTTCTGGAGTTTTTAATCCTGAAACTTGAGATGTAGATCACACAAAAGGACTCAATGAGAATTGAAAACCAAGTCTGGCCCTAAATCAATCCTAATGCATTAATTGTCAAGAGTTTTGTTCTTAAGTAGGAAATAACACCAGTCATACCAAAACAGTTAATGCCTTAGCTGGGTAAAATTCCAGCCTCTGGGATAATGTTCCCTGTGGGAGGATGGTACAAGCACTGCAGAGCCAGTCTTGTTCCAAAGAGCACATGCAGTGCAGACATGGGGAGTGGAGCTGTGCTGGCTGTCAGAGCAGCAAGCCTGGGTGAGAAAGGGAAAGGAGAATAAGATGGTGGGAAGGGAGGCAGCAGCAGGGTATTTGGGCACACTGGGACCAGTCACTGAGGTGTCAGGTCTGATTGGAAGACCTGCATTTTGATCCTGGTTAGACACCAGCTTGGCCATATGACTTTGGGCAAGACCCTTTTGTAACTTTCCTTAGCTTTTTTACCCTTTTAAAAGTGAGTAGCCAGGCACGATAGCTCACACCTGAATCCCAGCACTTTGGGAGGCTGAGACAGGAGGATCACTTGAACCCAGGAGTTTGAGACCAGCCCTGGGCAACGAAGCATGGCCTCCTCTCTACACAAAATAAAAATTTAAAAAATCAGCCAGGCATGGTGGTGTACACCTGTCCTAGCTACTTGGGAGGCTGAGGCGGAAGGAATACTTGAGCCCAGGAGGTTGAGGCTGCAGAGAGCTATGATCATGCCACTGCACTCCAGCCTGGGTGACAGAGCAAGACCCTGTCTCTAAAAAAAAAAGGAAGATTAGATATCCTTTTATAGTCATGCATTGCTTAACGATGGGGGATGTGTTCTGAGAATTGCATCACTAGGCGATTTCATCATTGTGCAAACACCATAGAGTGTACTTACATAAACCTAGATTATATAGCCTACCGCACACCTAGGCTTTGTGGTATGGCGTGTTGCTCCTAGGCTGCAAACCTGTACAACATGTTACTGTATTGGATACTGTTGGCAACACCATGGTATTTGTGTATCTAAACATACCTAAACATAGAAAAGGTACAGTAAAAATACAGTATTATAATCTTATGGGACCACCATCATATATGTGGTCGTCATTGACTGAGACATCATTAATGTGGTGCATGACTACTCCAATCAGTCCAGGAACAAATTAAAAAGATAAGGAGAAAAGTCAGTGCTTTGAGGCTCCACAACACCTTGCTGTGTCCATTTAGAGCAATTTACAGCTGTTGCTGTAATTAATGAAGCTATCTCCTCCCAGGCAAAGCCTTTGGTTGTGTTGGAGGGTACATCGCCAGCACGAGTTCTCTGATTGACACCGTACGGTCCTATGCTGCTGGCTTCATCTTCACCACCTCTCTGCCACCCATGCTGCTGGCTGGAGCCCTGGAGTCTGTGCGGATCCTGAAGAGCGCTGAGGGACGGGTGCTTCGCCGCCAGCACCAGCGCAACGTCAAACTCATGAGACAGATGCTAATGGATGCCGGCCTCCCTGTTGTCCACTGCCCCAGCCACATCATCCCTGTGCGGGTAATGGCCTGTCTCTGATTGGACTTGCCGTGGGGTGTGCCTCTACACATGATGTACGGATGTTCTGCTTCATACCTTCCTGAAGTTGGGCTTGAGCGGGGTGACTGCCAGGGCAGGGGTTGTAGCCAGCCACCCTCTGTCATGTTTCCGCCATTGGCTGACTTCACCAAGAGAAGAAAGCCTTTGAACCCAGCAGGCTGGGGCAGAAGTTCCCTCTCCGGAGCACTGACCTTAACAGGGTAAACACAGAGCTTGTATCTAGAAAGCTCCAGAAGCCTGAGCTTGGCCAGCTTTGAAGTATGGCTTTCTACTTAGTAAATTTCAAAATAGGTTTTGCCCTTCCCACTACAAATGGTAGCACTGTTGATGTCACAGTTGAATTAGTGTAATGAATACAGCTAGTATAACTGAATCTAGATTATACATCGTGGGTATGAGAGTCTGCTGGTACGAACAGAACCAGTGTTTTCTGATTAAAAATGTATTTCTTTTTAATAAGGTTTTGGTTCCCTGGTGTTCACGAAACAACACTGGCTTCTTTTAAATGACAGGTGTTTGGGCAGCGCTTTCCCTCTGCCCCAAGCTTGCATGTGTTGCTACAGTCTGGTCTTGAGCCTGAGCGTTGTGGGGACTGCGTTCGTTAGGATCTCTGCTAAGAGGTAGTCCTTCCTGTTGTGACCTTACCTTCTGCTCTCATTGAACTTAGGTTGCAGATGCTGCTAAAAACACAGAAGTCTGTGATGAACTAATGAGCAGACATAACATCTACGTGCAAGCAATCAATTACCCTACGGTGCCCCGGGGAGAAGAGCTCCTACGGATTGCCCCCACCCCTCACCACACACCCCAGATGATGAACTACTTCCTTGGTGAGTACCTGGGGAGCTGCTGGTGCCTCACTGAGGAGTTGCATAAAGCTGTCTTTGCAGTGTTTATAATTGAAGCCCTTCAGAGGCATTCAGATTTGTTTCTTCTTCTTTTTTTAGTTTTTTTTTTGAGACAAGAGTTTCGCTCTTGTTGCCCAGGCTGGAGTACAATGGCACAATCTCGGCTCACCGCAACCCCTGCCTCCCAGGTTCAAGCGATTCTCCTGCCTCAGCTTCCTGAGTAGCTGGGATTACAGCCATGCGCCACCACGCCTGGCTGATTTTGTATTTTTAGTAGAGATGGGGTTTCTCCATGTTGGTCAGGCTGGTCTCGAACTCCCGACCTCAGGTGATCCACCCACCTCAGCCTTCCAAAGTGCTGGGATTACAGGTGTGAGCCCTGGTGCCCGGCCTGTTTCTTCTTTTTCCAAGTAACTAAGCATGCCCTCAAATGGTTCAAAACCCTAAAAGGTATTTATTGTCTGATTCACATCAAGAGGGTGGAGAGTCATTTTGGGAGCTCTGAGGGAGCCTGGGAATCCGCTCAGTGTTTCCAGTGCCCCCTTGTCTACGTGGCTGAAGGATGCACAGTAATGACTTGCAGGGAGAAGAGGCCTCTGAAGGCTTGAGTCCCCGCTGTCCCTCCGGAGTCCACCTCACATTTGTCTTCACCACTGCCCTCTACTCCATGATGTTGTATAATCCTTGAATAACCCCACACCTAATCGCCTCTGATAAGAGGAATTGCTCAATATTTTCAACTGCCCCGTGGTTCTATACTGCTCCACCCATGTCCAACCTAAAGGCAGAGATGGAAGGGGGCTATTAGCCACAGGTCACCTCTGCCTCGAAGGTACATTGCCTTCCCAAGCCCGCCCAGCGTGGCTCAGCTTCCTCACAGGCTCTCTGTTCTGTTGGAAATGCTGGGTTTAAACTGTCACGTGGCAGTGTTGGAGCAGCTTCTTCCCTACAGGCCTGTGAAATCAAGCCCAACTCTGGGTTTTATTTTTCTCTTTATTTATTTTTATAAAAGCCTTAAAATTTTTATAAAAGCCTTATCTCAGTAGAGATATAGCTCACTTACCATAAAATTCACCCTTTTAAAGTATCCAAGTCTATGATTTTTAAGTACACTCCCAGTGTTATGCAACCATCACTTCTATCTGATTCTAGAACATTTTCATCACCTCAGAAGCCCCTACCCATTAGGAGTCACTCCTCTTTTCCCCATCCCCAGCCCCTGTCAACCACGGCTCTTTCTGTCTCTATGGATTTGCCTTTTCTGGACCTTGTGTCTAAGTGGAATCATACCGCCTGTGCTCCTTTGTGTCTGCCTTCTTCCAGCATCATGTCTGCAAGGCTCATCCATGCTGTAGCATTCATCAGCACTTCATTTCTTTCTGTTACCAAATAACCTTCCATTGTACAGATTTACCACATTTTGTTTATCCGTCTATTGGTGGACATTTGGTTGTTTCTCTTGTTAACTATTATGAATAATGCTGCTATGAACATTTGTGTACAAGTTTTTGTGTGGACATATGTTTTCATTTCTCTTGTGTATATTACTCCCTTTAATATTTAAAAACTGTTTCTCCTCAGAGAATCTGCTAGTCACATGGAAGCAAGTGGGGCTGGAACTGAAGCCTCATTCCTCAGCTGAGTGCAACTTCTGCAGGAGGCCACTGCATTTTGAAGTGATGAGTGAAAGAGAGAAGTCCTATTTCTCAGGCTTGAGCAAGTTGGTATCTGCTCAGGCCTGAGCATGACCTCAATTATTTCACTTAACCCCAGGCCATTATCATATCCAGATGGTCTTCAGAGTTGTCTTTATATGTGAATTAAGTTATATTAAATTTTAATCTATAGTAAAAACATAGTCCTGGAAATAAATTCTTGCTTAAATGGTGGTTCTTTCTGCTATTGGCTACTGGATAACATTCTTCATTGGCTAGACACAGTGGCTAACACCTGTAATCACAACACTTGGGAGGCCAAAGCAAGAGGATCACTTTAGGCCAGGAGTTTGAAGCTGCAGTGAGCCATGATTGCTCCACTGCACTCCGGCCTGGGTGACAGAGCAAGACTGCCTCTGAAATAAAAAATAATAATTGTCATCATCCCTTTAAGTTCAGTCTGTATTCTAGGAATGAATAAACTGAATGAAGTACTGGAGCTCTGGTAATGGCTTCAGAGGAGGAGCAGCAGAACCTCCCACTGCTTGAGCCCTGCTACCTCCTTAATGCCTACTGTATCCAGTGGCTGACCCAGCCGCACCCGGCAACTGAACAGTTTTGAAAGAGTGACACCACCTTGGCGGCCGGTTTCACTTTAAACTTCTCACTTCACATCTTCAATGGACAGTCAGTGCTGCCCAGCAGTCCTGCTACAGCTGCCTCCCCCTGACTTTCCCTTTCAGCTACTGCCTTGACCCCATTCTTCCCTGTGAAAGTCTGGGCGTCAGAAGACTGGCTTGTCTGTCACCACCCTGTCCTCCAGCCTGTCAGCTTCCTGCACCTGTAGTTGTGTCCCATCCAGCAAAGGCAGAGGGGTTTGTGCTCCTCATCCTGCCTCTCTCCGTTTGTATTTCAGGTCCTGTTGTTTCTTGCATGGTCCTGCAGCCATCTCTTTGCTGCAGAATTTCTCCCCCTCTGCTGGTTCATTCTCCTTGGCCTGCAGAGGCTTTGTCCCCCTTCTGAAAAATAAGCTCTCTCTGTCCAGACCCCCTTCTTGCTGCCCCTGCCCCTCTGTGCTGCCCCTGTTCTAAGCAGTTGCCCTTTCATCCCTGTTCTCTAGGAAGGCTGCTCGTCTCTCACATCTGTCTCTATCTTGCCAAGTCCGGTGGCCAGTTCTGTCTTCCTTTGGTGGATCTCAGTGGTATTTGCAGTGGTTGTCCTTGGCCTTTTTGAAGCTTCTCCTCTAAGCGTCTGTGCCACTAACCTCTGCCGATTGTTCTCCCCCTGCCCCATGAGCTGGTTCTTGTTCCATTTGGGTGGGTCTTGCTGTGAATGTTGACGGCCCCACCAGGCTCGTCTCTTAACTGTACTCAACTCCCCCACCCCACAGAATCTCTCGCAGCCTGGGCTTTGAGCTGCATCTGTGCACTGCCATCTCTGCCTGGGTGTCAAACAGGTACCTCCAACCACACAGGCACGGAGGGCACCCAGGGTCTGCTGCCCCTCGCTGCCTGGTCTTCTTCTTGCCTTCTCATCTGCCCAGGCACCCAGACCTCTCCTGTGGAAATCAGCCCTTTCCCTCACATGCACACTACTAGCAAGTCCTGTAAGTTCCACCTCTGAAGTGCATCTCAGGCCCGGCCACATCTCATCCCCTCCTCTGCCGCCACCCTCATCATGCCACCATATGGCATCTGCCCAACTCACCCCAAGAGCAGCCTTCCTAGAGAAGATCTTTTAAAAATAAAATCAGATCATGTCCCTACCCTGCAGAAAACTTTCCTGGGTCTTCCAGTCACAATCCGGTTAAATTCTAAATTCAGGCTGGGCATGGTGGGCATGGTGGCTGATGCCTGTAATCCCAGCCTGTAATTCCAGCACTTTGGGAGGCTGAGGTGGGAGAATTGTTTCAGCCCAGGAGTTTGTGAGAGCAGCCTGGGCAACAATGGGAAATCCTCTCTCTACAAATAATTTAAAAATTAGCCAGGTGTGGTGGTGCACACCTGTAGTCCAGCTGCTCGGGGGAGGCTGAGGTGGGAGGATCGTTTGAGCCCAGGCAATCGAGGCTGCAGTGAGCTGAGACTGCATCACTGCACTCCAGCCTGGGAGACGGAGCGAGACCCTGACTCAAAAACCCTAGGCCAGGCATGGTGGCTCACACCTGTAAGTAATCCCAGCACTTTGGGAAGGCAAGGCAGGTAGATCACTTGAGGTCAGGAGTTCGAGACCAGCCTGGCCAAGATGGTGAAACCCCATCTCTACTAAAAATACAAAAAATTAGCCAGGCGTAGTGGCATGCACCTGTAATCCCAGCTACTCGGGAGGCTAGGCAGGAGAATCACTTGAGCCCAGGAGGTGGAGGTTGCAGTGAGCCGAGATCATGCCACTGCACTCCAGCCTGGGTGACAGAGTGAGATTCCATCTCAAAACAAAACAAAACCCTAAGCTCCTCACACAGGCTGACAAAGTTGGGATCAAGGTCCCATCCAGTTCTCCAGACCCGTCTCCCATCCTACCCTCGTTTGTTCACTGTGGGCCTCAAATACCTAGGTTCTCTGCAACTTCCAGGCCCTGGTGTGAGCCATTCTTTCTCTGCCAGTATGCTTCTCCCCTGGATCATGGTGTGGCTGCCTCTCTTCACTCAGACAAGGGTCCCCAAGGAGACCATGCTGAGCATGCCGGCTAAGGCAGACCGTCTTGCAGTCTCACCATTGCTTGGCCTCTGACATGATGCCCTTCAGAGCTCTGGTCACCACCCACAATGACTTTTCCCCTGCTGGCCATTTGCCCTGTTGTAATGTCATCTCCCTGAGGACAGGTGCCCTGTATTCTCACTTCCGTGTCCTTAAAGTCCAGCACAGTGCCTAATACATAGTGGATGCTAAACAAATGTGTACTGAATGAAAGAAAAAGAAACCCAATGGCAACAGGTCAAGTTTACTAGAAAGACTGAGACAGCTGAAGCAAAACCAAGCAGCTGGAGTTGAGCAGAGTCCTTTGACCTCGCCTCCCTTCTCGTAGCTCTAGAAACGGCAGCTGTGTTTTCTCCTCTCTGTACAGAGTTGGGCTGGCACCCCTTCCCAGGAAGCTGGCAGTGGGCCTGGGGCACACACCCTCAGAGCTCGGCTGAGTCACACTCCCATCAGATAAAACCATACACCTAGGCAGGCTACAGGGCTTGATGGAAACCACATCACCTCGGAATCATGATTCAGTTCCTTCCTGCTCAGGAAACGAGCCTCGCTTAGCATTCCTGGCTCTGCTGCCTCACAGGAGCTTTCAGGGCTTTCCATTGTCCCTGTCATTCCCACGCCCAGGACTCCATCACCTCCCTTCCTTCAAATGGGATTGTTCTCCTCCAGCTGGGGTAATGTTGCTACCTGAATGCTTAGGAAGATCCACTCTTCCTTCGTAAGACCCAGAGCCAGCAGAAGCAAGGCCCTCAGGTGCATGTGCCCCTCCCTGCTTCTTGGGGTTATGAGAACGAAGGACCGGGTGATCTGCAGGAAGTAGGCGGGATTCGTGAACTGCTTAAAAATGGAAGTTTGGGCCGGGCTCCATGGCTCACGCCTGTAATCCCAACACTCTGGGAGGCCAAAGCAGGTGGATCACTTGAGGTCAGGTGTCCGAGACCAGCCTGGCCAACATGATGAGACCCCATCTCTACTAAAAATACAATAAATTAGCCAGGCGTGATGGTGCGCACTTGTAATCCCAGCTACTTGGGAGGCTGAGGCAGGAGAATCGCTTGAACCCGGGAAGCGGAGGTTGCAGTGAACCAAGATCACACCACTACACTCCAGCCTGGGTAACAGAGCGAGAGTCCGTCTTACAAAAAAAAAAAAAAAGAAAGAAAAGAAAGGAAGTTTGGCTTTTATAAGCAACTCTAGTGTGAAACTACGATGTCATGAAAGTTCTCTAAGGATATTTAGAAGCTGACGGCATTAAATAAGGTGTCCTAAAGGGAAAAGGGCAAACTGTATTTGAAATCTTAGTGAACAGACATTCCTCTCCTTGAAGTTTTCCTCTATCAGGTTGCCTGAGTCTCATGCCTGCTCCTCTACTTCCTTGTGCTGGGAAGCACTCTCTGCTCCCCAACACGAGGGGATAACACCAGGTCCATGGACTTTCCCAGGAGCCCTGGTCCTGCTCCCAGAGACAGCTACTGTCCCAGCTGCATGTGCCTCTGATGCAACCACATCTGAACCCTGTCAGTGCCCTGGGAGGCACTGGGTGGAGAGAGAAACACTGAAGCCACATCAGTTGAGGGTCCTGCGTGTAAATCCCATCACCTAATAATAACTGAGGCCCTGCTCAGTGTTTCAGACCCTTACCCATAGTGTACGAATCCCTCCAACGTCCTGCAGAGTGGCGCTGCTCATTCCCATTTATAGAGCGAGCAAGCTGAGGCTCCAGTAGGGGAGGTCACCTGCCTGAGACAATCCAAATGGCAGAACTGGCAGGCAAGCCCAGGCAATCTGGCCTGAGTCCTGTCTCTTTCCTGGCCGTGCTGATGGGCAAGGATGGCCGCCGTGTGGAGGAGAGAACCTGGAGCCATCTCTGAGTACCCTTCCTGACTACAATGCAGAGGGCGCCGCCTCCCACCCAGCCCCACCCTGGCCCAGCTCCAACCACTTCCTGCAGGACCTGAGATAGTGGTGCGCGGCTTCTCTGATCACGTAGACAGCACAGAGCCAAGTGCCACAGACCCCCAGACTCACCTGAGCCGAGCCCAACAGCCCCCTACCATGGCCCGTGTGCTTCCTCTCCAAATGCTCTCCTGAATCTCCAGCCCCAAAAGCATCAGGGCTGTGAGCGTGGGTGGGGGGTGGGGAGATGGAAGGTCCACCAGGAACTGCTGGAGGGTGGGCCTGGCAATCCCAAGACAGGCAGGTTTGCCTTGCCTCCCACATGCAAAATATGGTTCCCTGAATGGGATTCTGTTTCCAGCTTCCTGTCCCTGCCCCTGATTGTGGCCAGAATAGTCTCAGAGCCACTCAACAGTGGACTTCCCTAGACTCCAGCCAGGGGGAAAAGACTATTGTTTTCTTTTCTCTGCAGGCAGCCAAGGAAGGATGACAGGTTGGGTCAGAGCCCACGTGGGGCACAGGGCTTCCGATTGGTAGGTCAGAGACCCTCCTTCTTTCAGATGAGCAGATAACAGGGATCTACAGCCCACCACAGGAGCCCCTGTACCCAAGTCAGAAAGAGGACGGCAGCATAGACTTCCCCCACAGCCATGCCCTGGGGAGTAGGGCAAAAGCAACCCTCCAAGGGCTGCCATGATGAGCCCACCAAGTTAGCTGTCTGCTGCCAGCTCTAGCTCTCCCCTCCAGAGGCCCTGAGTGGACAAGCAGATCTCAAACTGGCCTGGACCGGCCAAACCGGGCCCCAGCTCCAACCTGTCAGCCTGCATATTTCTCCCCTGCTCCTCAAAGGGCAGTTTTGGCTGTGGTAATGGTGTAGGCTGCCAGCCCAAGAGAGGGCCCCTCAGGGGCTCCAGGCCTGACGCTCCTCATGGCTCCACACACAGTGTGGAGGAGATCCTGCTGAGGACAGACCCTGACCTCTCCAAACACTGGTCATTGGGGCTCCCAGCTCTATCCTGAAATGTACACTATCACATATAGAAGCCGGGTGCAGTGGCTCACACCTGTAATCCCAGCACTTTGGGAGGCCGAGGCAGGAGGATTGCTTGAGCCCAGGAGCTTAAGACCAGCCTGGGCAACGTGGTGAAACCTGGTCTCTACTAAAAATATAAAATTTAGCTGGGTGTGGCCTGTAGTCTCAGCTACATGGGAGGGTGAGATGGAGCACCTGGTCCCAGAAGGTTGAGGCTGCAGTGAGCTGTGATCCCACCATTGCATTGCACTCCAGCCTGGGTGACAGAGCAAGACTGTGGCAAAAAAAAAAAAAAAAAAAAAGGTCAGGCTTGGTGGCTCACGCCTATAATCCCAGCATTTTGTGGGGCTGAGGCGGGAGGATCACTTGCATCCAAGAGTCTGAGACCAGCCTAGGCAACATAGTGAGATCCTGTTTCTACAAAAAAATAAAAAATTCGCTGAGTATGGTGGTGCACCCCTGTGGTCCTAACTACTCAGGAGGCTGAGGTGGGAGGATCGCTTGAGCCCAGGAGGTCAAGGCTGCAGTGTTCATGCCACTGCACTCCAGCCTGGGTGACAGAGTGAGACCTTGTCTCAGAAAGAAAGAAGAGAGAGAGAGAGAGAGAGAGAGAGAGAAAGGAAGGAAGGAGGGAGGGAGGGAGGAAGGAGGGAGGGACGGAGGGAGGGAGGGAGAGAGGGAAGGAGGGAGGGAGGGAGGGAGGTGGCTTGCCTAGGTGTCCCTTTAATATCAGAATGGAGAGACCCAGCAAGCACCTGTAGGTGGAAAGAGAAAGGAGTGGATTCTCCTGTCTGTGGCTCCCAGCTCCCTGCTGCAGGGATGCACCCACAGGCCTTCCCCTCCCGACCCTGAACCAGCCTTCTCCGCTTGGCACAGGCATGGCCACCAGAGGGCGCAATCACCCCTCCACCTTTGCTGCAATTCATTCTACCGTTTTGGAATGAACAGTCCCCATAGCTGCTGCCACTCAAGACTTTGCTGAGCGCCAGAAAGGAACCAAGCCTGCAGCTTCTCTGCCCTCAAGGCATTCCAGTCCAGTAGGCGAGGGAGACAGACAACCTGAGACCCATACACAACAAAGGGGTGCTGCCAAGTCTGTCAGGTGCTGCCCGGTTCTGCATGGGAAAGGTAGGGCAGGGCATTCTGGGAGGGGCTAAAAGAGGCCCCTACTCTCTGGGAAGGACCAAGACCACATCCAGTGACCATCATCAGACTCCCCAGAGAACAGAGCTTAGCAGCTTCCTCCCCTGCAGACCTCTGTCCCGTCTTTATGGCAATTTTCCCTAAGCTGCTTCGTGGAGGCCTGGAGAATTCTCCCTTCCCTCCTCCTGTCCATGCCTCCAGTGAGCTCAGAGTTAGCCATCTAGCCTTCGGTAGCATTTATTGAGTGCCTGCTCTGTGTCAGGTGTGGGGTGAGGGAGGCGAGCAGGGGAGGGTCAGACCAGGCAGGCAGAGGTGAGGTGAGTGTGGAGGTGGCACCGTGCAGGATTCCGGCTCACGGCTATTCGGCCGTGGGTCCCTGGCAGAAGTTCCGGTTATAGAAGTGGTGGTTGTCCCTGGTCAGGGCCATGCCCAGCTGGGCCCAGAAGCTGCGCTGACCACTGGGCTGGTGGGGCCAGAGGAGGACACTCTGGCGGCAGAGGCGCTGGCGCAGCCGCACGTAGCGGGAGCGGCGGCCGTCAGGGCTCAGGATCACCAGCACCACGACGTCCTTGCGGTCCTCCAGCAGGCGCTGCTGGGCCAGCAGGAAGCTGGCGCGCAAGAGACCACTGACCCGGTCCGTGTGGGCCAGCACAAACAGCGTCTTGCGGCTGCCATAGACCGAGGCCCACAGGTTCTCAAAGAGGGTTTTGCCAGGCAGCCAGTCGCGTTCCTCCAGGCACAGGCGGAGTGCCCAGCGCCCACGGCACTCCTCCAGCTGCCCCCGAAGCTCGTTGTACACCCAGTCTGCCACTGCGCTCTGCGTTTTGTCGAAGACCACGAAGGCATCGTAGGGCAGGGCATCCTCATCTCGCCCACTTTGCCGCCCCCGCCAGGGAAGCCAGGCCAGGCACAGGTGGAAGCAGTACCAGAGGTCCCAGCCACAGAGGTGATGCAGCATGGGCACACCCAGGCCCAGAGCCACAGCCAGCAGCGAGAGGGCGAAACAGTCCCAGGAGAGGGCCTCATCCAGGCAGAGGCGCAGGTCCTGTGCAAAGATGCTGAGGCCCTGGAGCTGGCCCGGACTGCCACACTTCACCCGGCTGGGCAGACCGGGCACGGCAGCCTGCACCTCCAGCAGGAAGTCCATAAAGGCCGCCCCACAGGCGCAGTGCAGAGGGTTGGCGCTTACATCTAGTATTTGCAGGGCACTCGCCAGGGGCCCAAACCAGGAGTGGTCCACTGTCTTGAGGGCGTTGGCGCTAAGGTTGAGCTCTCGCAGCTCCTTGGCCTTGGAAAAGAAGCCGGGGGCCACGAAGCTGATGCTGTTGCAGCTGACATCCAGCCTCCGGAGCCGGGTGCCAGCAGGCAGGCTGCCATTGGTCAGGGCCTTCAGCTGGTTTCCTGCCAGGTCGAGGACTTCCAGTTTGGGCAGGAAGTGGAGGCTCCACCACTTAAAGAAGGCCAGGTAATTGTCACGGAGACGCAGCACCTGTAGGCTCTTGGGGAGGTTGCGCAGGGTTTGGGGCAGGAGGGTGTGCAGGCGGTTCTGGGACAAGTCCAGCCAGATCAAACCGCTCAGGCCTTGGAAGAAGTGCAGATAGAGGTCTCCCTCGGCCCACATATGGCCCAGTGCATTGCCGCTGAAGTCCAGGGCCCGCAGCGACGTACTGCAGAGCTGCTGGGACACTTGGCTGTGGATGTTGTTGTGGGCCAGGCTGAGGTGGCGCAGGGTGCGCAGGTGAGCCACGAAGCTGAAGTTGTGGCCCACGCCCTGCATGCCAAAGGGCTGGCTGTTGTAGCTGAGGTCCAGGGCCTCCAGTCGCGGTAGCTCCGTGAATGAGTGCTCGTGGTAGAGGTCCAGCTTATTGTGGGACAGGTCTAGCACCTGCAGACCGGTCAGCGGCAGGAACTGGGAGCCATTGACTGCCTGCGAGATGCAGTTGTGGCTCAGGCGCAGGCACTGCAGGTGCGAGAGCTGGGCAAACATCTCCGGCTGCACGGTCACCAGGTTGTTCCGTGACAGATCCAAGGTGAAGTTGAGGGTGCTGCAGTTGGGCCTGAAGTCTTCAGAGCTGGGAGTGTCCACTGGGGCCGGAGCAAGGTCCCCAGGCTGCAGCCAGACCTTCTCCCCTCCATCTGCCTCCCCCATGGTGGCTGTCAGCTCCGAAGCTCCGCTGATGCGGTTGTCCGACAGGTCCACGTAGCGCAGGCCAGGGAAGGCCCTGAAGATGCCGAGCTGGGCCTGGTTGATGAAGTTCATCTGCAGACGCAGAGTCTGGAGCATGGGCAGGCGGGCCAGTGGCCGGAGCGTGGTCTCATCGAGTGAGCGGAAGAAGATGCCGTGCATGTCCAGCTCCTTCAGGGCGACCAGGCTCCCGAAGGAAGGGGCCAGAGACAGGTGGGCAAAGGACACCCTCTTTTGGTAATTGAAGGACAGGTTAAGCTTGCGCAGCTGTGTTAGGCCCTGGAAGGCCTTGGTTTTAGTGATGCATTTGTAGAGGAAGTTCTCACTCAGGTCCAGCACTCGGAGGTTTCCCAGCCCACGGAACCAACTGGCATTCAGCCAGGAGAGAGAACTGTCCTTCAACACCAGGCCTTCAAGACGGCTCAGGTGGCTGAAGGTATCGGGATGTAGCTGGGGGAAGTGACGAGGGCACTCCATGCAGGGGTTGGGAGCGTGGTCGCAGCGGCGGCAATTTCCGCCCACATCGAGCACACGCAGGGCGGTCAGATTGGCCAGGTCCTCAGGCGCCAGTTTGACGATGCGGTTGTAGGACAACAGCAGATACTCCAGGCTGGAAGGCAGGTTGCGGGGCACCACAGTGAGGTTGTTGTACTTGAGTGACAGGTGGGTGAGGTTGCCCAGGCCAAGGAGGGCACCCGGGGCCACCTCCAGTGCCTGCCTGCAGGGGTTCTTGTAATAACAGTTGCCGTCCATGAATAGGAAGCGCAGGGCATGCAGGCCGGCGAGGCTGGCAGAGTCTAGCATCAGGATGTTGGTATGGCTGAGGGACAGGGATATGAGGGATTTGGGCAGCGCAGGCACAGTCATGATGTTGTTGTAGCTCAGGTTTAGCTCTTCCAGGGTGGGCACAGCCAAGAAGGTGCTGGGCTCGATGGTCATGTGGCAGGGGAAGTGCATGGGGCTGAGGCCAACCGGCGGGCAGTTCCACTTGAGGTTGAGATGCCGCAGGCTGGGCAGGTGGGCAAAGTCAGAATCATGGAGGTGGTGGATGCGGTTGGAGGACAAGGAAAGGCTGGTGACATTGCCACGGGGTGCTGCCATGGAGAAGTGGGGCACAGACTTCAGGAACAGCCAGTTGCAGTTCACCAGGCCGTGGGGCTGGAGCTCACAGGGTAGGAAGGCAGGCAAGGTACCCAGGGCCAGGGTCATGGCCAGCATGATGGCCTGCACCAGGAGAGACAGCGGGTGCAGGGCGCTGCGGCAGAAACCCTGTGGGGGTGGGAGGGCTGTGTGAGTGGCCGGCCCCCAGCTCTACCTCCACCCACTCCACTTCATGGGCATCTTCTAGCATCTTCCAACCCCTCTCTCCAAGCCCTACCTGCAGAAGTTCTTCCTGGCTGCCAAGCCCCATTCCCATCCCCCATGGCTTGTGGGGAACCTGAACTCAGTCTCAGACCCAGTCTTGGACTCAGAATTAGGCTTCAGAACCAGGACTGAGACCTAGAATCCAGACTTATGATCTACAGCTTTCACTTAACCAATCCCTGGCTATACCAGGCCAGGCAAGGTGGCCCACGGCCCCCCCTGGTCTCTCCCCGACTTTCCCTTCCTGCTCCTGAGCAAGGTGGCAGCTGGCTCCCTCCCCTCCAGCTGCCCTGAAATCCGCTCTCTGCCCTCCACCAGCCACCCCACAACCCCTTCCTTTTCCTTCGGCCAAGATTCAGGCAGGTGTGAGAGTCTCCCACTATGGCCCAGGCCGGCTGCCTCCCAGGGACCCTGGCCAGAGGGCACTGCACAGCTCCATCACTCTCTGCCTGCCTCACCTAGCCCGAGAGCCTTTGCCTTATGGGTCAGAACAGATGGAGAGAGGGGTGGCCTGCAAAGTGCCAGACAGAGCCAGCCCCAAGCTACAGGCCCAGTGAGACCCAAACCCAGGCTCCAGCCCCAGCTCCATCAGTGCCTCAGTCTCCTCGTCCCCTCTGGGGGTTTGGGTCTCATTGCTCAGAAGAGGGCTTCAGTGGCTGGGCACGGTGGCTCACACCTGTAATCCCAGCAGTTTGGGAAGCCGAAGTGGGCAGATCACCTGAGGTCTGGAGTTCAAGACCAGCCTGACCAACATGGAGAAACCCTGGCTCTACTAAAAATACAAAATTAGCCAGGCATGGTGGCGCAAGCCATAATCCCAGCTACTTGGGAGGCTGAGGCAGGAGAATCACTTGAACCCGGGAGGTGGAGATTGCAGTGAGCTGAGATCAAGCCACTGCACTCCAGCCTGGGCAACAAGAGCGAAACTCCGTCTCAAAAAAAAAAAAAAAGAAAAAAGAAGAGGGCTTCGGCTCTGAAGTCTTCAGGATTCAGTGAGTGTCCCCAGGGCCATGTGGGTGACAACCCGTCACTGTTGCTTGCAGCTGCCAAGCCCACTTCTTTCCCCACCCCTTCCCAGGATATCCCCTTCCCCAGGGGACTGAGAGCTGTTGTCCTACCATGCTGGGGGGCAGGGGCTTCTCCAGAGGGTCTGGCGGGCAGACTGGACAGCAGCTACAGGGAAGGATGCTTCACACTCGAGGTCCCTTCCCACAGGGGCAGCAGCGGCTCAGAGAATAGAGGAAGTAAGATTTTTATACCAGCCTAGTAGCTCCCCCTCCACTCCACCCTGCCCCCAGTGAGGAGGACAGGGTCCCATGAGTCAAAGGCCATTTGCATAGTCAAATGGCAGACAGCTCCTTCACCCCTTCCTCTTTCCACTCCCCTCTCAGACAGCCTACATCCCATGAGGGCCTCACACCTGTCCTCTACCAAGCCCAGGGAGGAGCTAAGGCCCAGAGCTCAGGCAGAGAGCAGGGAGAGATGGGAATTCTGGATAGCACCAGTAGCGGGTACACCTTGCTGGGCACTCCCCATTCTAAGAGGACACTTCCACCCTCAGGTCTTGGCTCCTGCACCACAGCTGGTGCCCTCAGGACAGCGGCTGCCGACTTGTCCTTTTCTGCCCTTGTAGGCACCATCTCCAGAGTTCTGCAGGGCCTCATGCGTGGAGGGCCAGGGTGTAGCTTGAGCAGGAGGCTAGGCTGCACCTGCCTTCACCACAGCCTTGCAACATCTTCCGGAAACAAGACCTCCTCCTCCACATTCCCAGAGCCCCTGGGGCCCCATCAGAGCACACACCACGTCACTCCAGATGGGGCTCCTAGAGGCCAGGTGTGTGCTGGCCCAGCAGGGCCGCCAGCCAGTCCTCCCCATCAGTTCTTCCCACTCTCCTTCTGATCTAGGTGAGGAGACTCAGATTCCTCGGGCCCAAAGCCTTGGGTGACCCCGGGCCCCTCAGCAAGTTCTGCTGGGTCCACCATGCTGAAGGGTGTGCCCACAGCCCACCGTCCCCATGTCCACCAGCCCCCATCCTCTCTCCTAGACCCATGCAGGTGCCACCTCCCTTCTGGCTGTCCTGCCCTGCTCTCTGCCCTCCAGGGGCTGGTCACATTCAGCCCCTAGAGGGAACTGTTCAAACCTAAGTCACACTAGGTCCCTCCTCTGCTCAGACCCCTCCCTGGCTGACTCTGGAGTCAAAGCCACAGTCCACAGATGGCCAACAAGGCCCTATGGGACCTGCCACCCGCTGTTCCCCTGAGTGCTCTCCAGGCCCACTGGCCTGCTTGCAGTTGACTGTGTAGCCCCTGGGCATTCTCCTGCCTCAGGGCCTTGGGATGTGCTGTTCCCTCTGCCTGAAAACTCCCCCAAGTCTCATATGACCCCTCCTTTGCCTCCATTATGTCTCTGCTCCCATGTCACCCTCTCAACAGGGCCATCCAGCCTTCTTACAAACCTCCCACCCCAGATCTGGCACTCCTGAGCTCCTTTGCCTGGTCTATGTTTCTCTTTGTCCTAACATTTTTTAACTGCTAGCACACCGGATCATTGATCTTTCATGGTTTATTGTATATCGTCTTATTCCCCTGCTGGAATGTCAGCTTCTTAAGGGCAGTGATCTTTTATCTGCATCCCCAGGATCCAGTACAGTGCCCAGCACATAGTAAGTGCTTGATATCTGCTGAATTATGTACACCCAGCAGTCAGCTCTGGGCAGGCACAGAGAGGGTATTTCTGAGTGAAGGCTGAATGAATGAATTAATGAATTGTTGCTGCTGGGAGGAGGCAAGGCTGCACATCTGCCAGCCTGCTCCCCCCAGGCCCACTCTGGGTGGTATCATGGCAGGCAGGCTCCATAGTGCCAGGCATCTGGCTGGCTCAGCAGCAGGGGGCGATGGCATCGTCTTCCTGCCCACCTGGGAGCCAATGTTTCGGCTGGGCAAGGACAAGCCTCCTCTGGGTCTTAGCTAGTCTGGCTCTCCTCTCTACAATTCTAGGGGCTTGAGCAGGGGCTCAGAAAGGCGCCAGGGATAGAATGTTGCCCTGAGCCAGGAAGGAGAGCAGTGCCCACTCAGTAGCTGGGCTGCAGGCATCAACCCCATGCTTCCACTCCTGCCTGCCTGGGGTGGAAGGCACCTGCATTCATTCCCTCCATCCACCTCTCAGAGGGATACACCAAAGCTCGGGCTCCTGTGGAGCCCCAAGCCTGAGACTTTCCCAGAGTCCCTTGGACCAGGGACCCAGACCCCCATACCCAGCAGTGGCCCTGCCTTCTTTGGAGGCAGAAAACCAGAGAGGCCAGTAAGCTGACAGAGGGGTCTGCACACACAGGTACAGACCCACGCACATGGACACACTCAGCTTGGAGACACCGATATCGATGTCCACAGAAAAACTTGTCCTGGCCTCAGCCCAGGGAGGCTGGGAAGCCTTCGAGGAGGAGCCCTTATCCCATGTGGGAGGCTGCATAAAGTCCCTCTCAGAGATCCTTGTCCTAATTCCCCAAACCTGCAAACACGTGACCCCAACACCCCACAGTGTGGCAAAAACGACTTCGCAGATGTGATTAAGTTACCCATCTTGACAGGGGTAGGTGGTGGGGGCAGGGAGGGTGAATGCAATTACAATGTCCCTTATGAAATGGAGACAGAGGGAGATTCGACTACAAAAGGCCATGGGAGCCCAGAGGCTGAGGAAAGCAGAATCAGAGATGTCACCTCTGGCTTTGAAGGTGGAGGAAGGGGCCCCAAGCCAAGGAATACAGCCAGAAAAGGCCAGGAGATGGGTTCTTCTGAGGGGCCCAGACACAGCCAGCCCTGCCAACACCTCAACTTTGGCCCTGTGAGACCCATCTCAGTCTTCCAGCCTCCAGAACTGTAAGAGAATACATTTGAGTTTCTTCGAAGCCACTAAGTTGGTGGTAATTTGTTACGGCAGCCTCAGCAAATGACCATATGCAGATCCCTCATGTCACAGTGGAGGCGCGCCTGCCTCTCCAGCAGGGCTCCTGTTGACTGGGAGACCCGCGTGAGGCTGCACGCCCACTCACAGGCACAGCCTCTCCCACACACCTGGAGGTGGAGTGCTGGGGCTCCACCTCGCAGGCCGGCACTCCCCTCTCCCCTGTTGGGAAAGGACAGTTATATGCACAAGACTGCCCAATTCCCAGGGCCAGAGGCGGTCTCTCAGGGCCAAGCACAAGTCTTGATTTAAAAATATTTTATTCTTTAGAAAATACAGCATTCAACCATCCCAAACTGCAGTGACCCCTGCCCCAGCCCTGACTGACCCCACTTCTTGTGGCCAAAGGTTTCTGGGCTGTGCTGGGACCCTAGTCTCAGCTCCCCGGGAGGCCAGGTTCATGCCAGGCCCCTGACCCAGCCCCCTTAAGCCAGCCAGGCAGGGTCCCCGGACACCCTGGGCACACAGACGAGATGCAGGGACAGCAACAGGGAAGGGTCACAAAATGCCAGCCCGGTGGCCCTCGGACGCTGCAAGTGCGTTCAGCTGCCAGCCCTCCTGACCTCCCAGAAACACTTTCCTGGAGCCCAGGAAGGAGGATGGTGGCAGGGAGCGGAAGGTGGGCAGCCCCACAGTCCACACGTGGCCGGCCCTGCTCCAGCCTCCTAGCTGTCATCCCCATTTTCACCCGGGCCGCGGATGAGGCGCTTATGGCCCCGCTTGCCCCCTGGGCCCTTGGGCTTGGCGAAGGCCTGCTTGAAGGCGTGTTGCTTGGGGTGCACCTCGTCGTAGAGGAACTCTGCCGTCAGCTCTGCCCCATCGCCAATCTCAATCTGCATGGGGCAAGGCAGTGGTCACCCCAATGGGAGGGGCTCTGACACACACCACCCCTGGTAGCCCCCACTCCTGGGGCACCCCTTACTCTCACATCCTAGCCCTGGGGTCTCCTGAGGTCTCCCCTTGATTCCCCACCTGGAATGCCACTCCCAGGAAAGCAAGAGCTTAGGGCCTGCTGCCCTGCATGCCTTGGACTCTGCTCGCTGGGGTCACCTCCTCCCTGTCTCCAGGCCCAGGGAAAGGACATGACATGGTAGCCAGGACTTGGACTTTTCTGAGCCACCGATCAGCTGGGCAGCCTTGGGCCATGCGTGTTGCTCCTTGGGCCTCAGATGCCCTATGATCAACACGACAGCAACGATTCCTGCTCTGCCGTCATCTCAGGACCCCAGCGCCCCACATGGAGATTGGAGTGATAGGGCCTGGGGAGGTGAGGCCCTGGGGAGGGCGCCTACTTTCTTGGCGATCTCCAGATGGAAGTCCTGCTCCACGGAGTCGAGGAGGCGGCTCTTGCAGCTGGAGTAGAGCATTCGCTCCTTGATGCTGCACTTGTACCCCGGCATGGAGTAGATGAACACTGTTGGGGGGCAGGAGGTGAGCCTGGGAGGCCTGAGAAACCTGCTGACCTTCGCACCCAGAGCAGGCCTGCCCCACTGCAGACCAGCCCTGCTCCCACCCAGCCACAGGCTTGGGAGCCCTGCCATGGCCACTCACCTACAGACTCAAGGGGGTCGCCCTCATGGGTGTGCTTGTAGAGGAAGAAGTGGTAGCGGGCAGCATCTCGGGGCACCCGGGAGGGCAGCTGGGCCACATCCGTGGGCTCTGTGTGCACCAGCTCAATGGTTTCCCGCTCTAGGTCCAGCTTCTGCCCAGGGCCAAGGGAAGATGGGAGAGCACCAGGTCGGGGTGGGCCCAGGCCCCTCTCCCCAGGAAGCCCTCAAACAGGATTAGCTGGTGGGCAGGAGCCTGATGTGACCTCCCTCTCCCAAGACTCCCCTGCAATGGCCATCCCTCTATGGGGGTCCCTCTGAAGAGGCCAGTCCTGGGCCCAGCCCCAACTCTGCCCCTTTGAAGGTTGTGCTAGAGAAGGAACTCCCACCAAGGGTAGTCAACGGTAGTGACTCCTGGGACAGGATGGTGTGGAGGGTCACAACCTCAGGGAGATACTGCCACTGGGCCAGCCCATCCTCAGAGGCAAGGCCTCTGGCGGAAGCATCTTGGAAGGGAGGAGCCGTTTTGCTTGAAAGCGGCAGCCGGAACAGCCAGGGCAGAAGGACCCTGCCTAGGGAAACGGGGTGGTCAAGGAGACAACAGAGGGGATCTCTGACAGGAAGGGCCTCGGGGCTGAGGGGTCAGTGTGACCCCAGGGGTATGGGTGGAGGGCGGAATGGGGCAGTGTGCTCACAGGTGTACCTGTGTATGAGCAGGGCCTGGGGACAAGGGACCAGAACACATCTATGTGCACACAGTGTCTGCGCCCCAGGCGGAATAGGTAGGGATCAGGGAGGGGTGGGGTGGACCATGTGTTCCCACAAGCACATGGACGAGCTGAAGGGGACAGACTGCAGGCTGGTGGAGTGGGGACTCCATGTACATCTGCACATGTGCATGGGCAGGAGTAGGGGTGGTGGCAGCATGTGCCAGGGTAGGGAGCAGGCACCCACCATCTGGATGTAGTTGACCATTTTCTGCTTGAGCTGCTGGAGTGCCCGCTGGGCCTCAGGCTGCAGGGGGAAGGCGAGGCCCTGCAGGGTCTGGTGCTTGCTTTCCACACTGATCTCTGTCTTCACCTGTGGGTAGGGGAATGGTGAGGGAGGCCCTCACCGGCCCAAAGCAGGGTGTGGCTCCCAGGCAGCACAGGCTGCCACTGGGCCGATATGACCCTGAGGGCTCAAGGCTGGGGCCTCTGCTCCCCACCCACCTCGTTAATGCGGATCTGCTGGAGCTCTCTCTCAGCCGAGGTCAGCGGGGCAGGTGCCGCACAGGACGACAGGTGTTTCTGGTACCCAGCAAAAGAGAGGTCATCCTGCAGGGGTGGGGGTGAATGCAGAGCCATAAATGGGCACCTGGGGATTGGCTAGAGGAGGCCCACGGAGCACGCCAGCTTGCAGCCCTTGGACTCCCCCAGCGCCCCCATCTTCCTCCCGAAGCTGGCACTAGCTTGCTCTCTGACCCTGCACAGTGACCCCTCTCTGTGGGCCCAGGATTGTGTCCCGGTAAGTCCTGGCTTAGGATTACCTTCACAGTCCCGAAGAGCTCATCCTTGATGTGGCCACCTCCAAACTCCTTTTTCACTGTGGCCCGCGTGGCCGCGTACAGCATCTTCAGCCGCACCTGAAGGGCAAGGGCCAAACCGTAAGAGGCCTCTGGGCAGGGCTGCCTCTCCCGGAACAGACAGGTGCCTCTGGAGGAACTCGGTGGGCTCACTGCGCTGGCACACCTGGCAGAGGGCCAGCCCGGGGCCAGGACGCAGCAGGTGGCCCCCACCAGCAGGGGGAGCCCTCGTCCAGCCTGATCACAGCCTCCGGAGCCAGGCTGATGCCTGGAGAGCAAGAGGTACCCAGGCTGCGGGCACAGGGACTTGACCCTCTCTCAGACTCCCTAGGGCACGGCCTGACAGCTCTTCCCCCACCCTCCAGGGGCAGGCCTGTGTCCCCTCTTGGATCCCCCAGGGCAAGGCCTTGTTGCCTGGCTCAGCCCCAGCTCCCCTCCTCACTTCCCACTGGCCCAGGACTCACGGGGGAGTTATCAGGCGACCAGGCGAGGAAGAGCCATTCGAAGCCCTGAGCATTCTGTGAGTCGAGGCGGTAGAGCAGGTAGCAGGGCTGCTGGGCGTCCAGCAGTGGCAGCACGGCCCTGTCATAGTCCTGATCCCAGCGGCCTACTGGCTCCTGCGAGGCACCCAGCACGAGCTGCTCTGGGGGCAGAGGCCGGATGAGCAGCCGCTCCCAGCTCCCACTGCGCCTCCCGCTGCAGACCTCCAGCCTCGCCGTGGCTGCCCAGCTGGCTCAGAGCCGCCGGCTGCCCCTCACCTTCCCTGGAGCCCCCAGGTCCCAGAAGTGTGAGGCTGTGTGGCTGAATGAGTGAGCAAGGGAAGGCACAAAGCTGCCACCTGGGGGCTGCCCCCCTGCACATCCCCAGCGCGTGCACACACCCCCCCACACACACACACGTGCGCAGATCACCAACACAAACAGCCACACAAAGACACGCAGCCGTCAGCCCCTCACGGACACCACACCCCTGGGTGCTCCCTTGGACCCCATCCCCACCGCACAGCTGCTCAGCCCACAGTCCCCACGAAACTGCCTCCTGCTCGCCTCCTCCCCTGGGGCTCCAGCAGAAGAACCGCAGCAGACTCCCCTCAGGACAAATGTGCTGAGGGGCAGGTCACAGCCCCAGGCCACAGGGACCTACAGGGGTAAAAGCCTCTGGAAAGGAGGAGCAGGGGCTCCTACCAGACCCTGGATAAACAGACATCCTGCGGCTACCTGCCAGCTGCAGTCCCCTCGAAAATGTCACAGATCCTTGCCGGGCGCGGTGGCTCACGCCTATAATCCCAGCACTTTGGGAGGCAGAGGCAGGCGGATCGCCTGAGGTTGGGAGTTCGAGACCACCCTGACCAACATGGAGAAACCCCGTCTCTACTAAAAATACAAAATTAGCTGGGTGTAGTGGCCTGTAATCCCAGCTGCTCGGGAGGCTGAGGTGGGAGAATCGCTTGAACCCAGGAGGCGGAGGTTGTGGTGAGCAGGAGATGGCGCCATTGCACTCCAGCCTGGGCAACAAGAGCGAAACTCCGTCTCAAAAAAAGAAAGAAAATGTCGCAGATCCAAAGCAGCCACCATCTAAGTGCCTAGGCCCCACAGGCCTGCTAGCTCCTTGGCTGAAATGGGGCATCCAGCTGCACTTGTAGACTGGGACCTCATCTGGGCACCAGACACCAGCCTGGGTATACACAGGTCTAGCCTGGAGCAATAACTGGGGCAAAGGGGCAGTCAGCCTGGCTGGGGGTCCTGGTGTCAGTCCACCAGACTCTCCTGATCTGGGCAGGGGCCCCGATGCCTGGACGCCCCAACAGACCAGGCCCTCTGAGGCCTCGGCCTCCTCACCTGCCCACCCAGAACTCAGACAGGATCACAGTCACAGTGACTTTGAGTAGTCACGGCCTGTGTTGGCCCCTACAGCACTGTCAACATTGCTTAATTTGTTGCTAACATTTTCAAACTGGGAAATTTTACATAAGAAGTAGAATTCTCAGCCTCTCTAGAAAAATCAGGCCCTCTGGCCACACTGGAGCCATCCTCAATTGGAGATGGACAGTGGCTGCCCATCGGGGGCCTGGACCCTCCTGGGCAGTCCCAGGTACCCCAACAACTGTCATGCAGAACTGAGATAAAAGTCAATCCAGAGATTCCTCCTGCTTAAAATCTTCAGGGACGGCTGGGCACGGTGGCTTATGCCCGTAATCCCAGCACTTTGGGAGGCCGAGGTGGGCGGATCACGAAGTCAGGAGATTGAGACCATGGTGAAACCCCGTCTCTACTAAAAATACAAAATTAGCCGGGCGCAGTGGTGGTCGCCTGTAGTCCCAGCTACTCGGGAGGCTGAGGCAGGAGAATGGCGTGAACCCGGGAGGCGGAGCTTGCAGTAAGCTGAGATCACACCACTACACTCCAGCCTGGGTGACAGAGCGAAACTCCGTCTCAAAAAAAAAAAAAAAAAAAAAAATCTGCAGGGACATCTTGTCTGGGAGGCAACAGGGAGGGCCGAGGACTGGGGTCAATGAGTACAACTGCCTTTTTAAGGGTGGGGTGGCTGTGGCCTGCCACTCCAGGAAGCCATCACTAATATTCTGCCACAGTGACCCCTGCCCAGTCTCTGAGGGCATCAGAATTTGGACTCCCTGGGCAAAGCACTGCCAAGGCCCTAAAACCTGGAATGGCAGATCCTGCTTTGAGCCAACACAACGCGTGGAAAGCCAGCTGAGCACCAGGCCCATTCAGGCAGCCATCCAAAGTGCCTGCTGCTGAATGGCTAATGAGAAGAGCTGGGAGGACCTCTGGGGAGCCTGGCCCACCCCAGTCCCAAAGTCTGTACCCCTCACCCAAAGGGACAGTCCATTGGCATGGAGGAAAGGTGAAAAAATGTTCTCTGGCCTCTGACCTCCCAATCCTCCTCAGTTTAATCCTCTGCCTCCCCAAACCCTCCCCACTTCAGGCCTCAGCTCAAGTCCCAGTGTCCCCAGCACTGCCCTCTATACAGCTCCCAGGTCCTCAGGGGCAAGGCCAAAGCCCAGCCAAGCCTAGAACCCTCCCATCCTACTCTCAGATGAGCCAGACACTCATCCCTTCTCCCCATCATGGGGGCACTTCCAAGAGAAGGGTGCAGGATCTCCTTAGGTCTCCCCTCGGACAGCAGCTGAGCCAGGCCAGGCCACCAACAAATGAGGCGGGTGGCACCAGCCACAAGGGGCAGTGCTGGATTCACTTATCCCCTGCCCCTCTGCCCAGCCCAGCTCGGCATCCTGGCCAGGCCCATCTGAATATCCATGCAGCCTCTGGGAGGTGGCAGGACCCCAGGACAGGGCTCTATTTGCTGACCCCAGCTTCGGCTTCCTGCTCTGCATAACAGAGGTGACAATTGCGCCCACCTCTGATGCTGCCCTGTGAGGCTCTCCTTTGTCAGGATGGCCTCACACCCATTTCCAGAGTGGGAAATTGAGGTCCCGGCAGGCCAGGGGCCAACATCCTCCTTCCCCCACCCACAGAGGCAGCAGAGTCCACCCCCAAGCCTATACCCTGGCCTGTGAGGGGCACTCACCGTCCTCAATCACAACCTTGATGAGCCGCACAGAGCCAGCCCGTGCCTTGGCAAAGAATTCCTTCAGCTCTTCCGTGGCTATAAGAACAAGAAACATGGTGGGGGATGAGTGGGCAGAGTGGACAGAGACGAGTATGGGGCCTGCTCTGTCCCACAGGGTCTGGTGGCTGAGCTGGGAACCAGGTTAAATACAGCCCCCCATGTGACTGGGAACCTGAGACAGCCACTGAACACAAGCTCCCAAATTTAGCCAGCAGAGGTGGCAGGCGAGTGGCCTGCTGGCTGGGATAGGTCTGGTGATGGGGCGGGGTGGGCAGGGATGGGACAACCCACCAGAAGATGGGCAGGCTCTGGCATAAGCCAGGCCAGCCACAGTGAATAGCCTCCATCTGCCCCCTGCCCCGCAGGATGGCCGAGCTCTGGGCTGGCCTGGACACACTCAGCACAGTCATATACACAGAAAAAAGAACACAGACAAATGCCCCCACTGTGCAATGACCACTATGCCCATTCACACACACACACACACACACACAGCTCAATCCAGCATGTGTGAATGTAACACACAACACGCATGTGTGACAGAGGAGCAGAAATTCAAACACCCTCATACATGAACACATGCTCAGTTGCTCAAACACAAATGGACACGCATGTTTAGATACACAAACACACACAGAGATATAGTCCCCGGCTTGCTAACACGCACACAGGCAGGCAAGTGCAGAGCTTGGCTGAGACGTGTGTGCAGGCAACAGGATGTATCAAAGTGTACACAGAAGCACATGGACACGCATGACACCCATGTGTGCAGCCCCAGTCCCAGCCCTCCAGCCAGGCTGTCTAACCCTGAGACCCCGAGGAGCCACAGCCAGCCCAGATACAGCCCTGTGGGGGGTGGGGGGACAACATGACCTTAACCCTCAGGCAGTTGGGGCAGCTTCCAGGAGAAGGAATGGCTCCCCGAAACTCACTAAGAGACTCCATCTTGGTCAGGTGCGGTGGCTCTCACCTGTAATCCCAGCAATTTGGGAGGCCAAGGCGGGCAGATCACCTGAGGTCAGGAGTTCAAGACCAGCCTGGCCAACATGGCAAAACCCCATCTCTACTAAAAATACAAAAATTAGCCAGGCATGGTAGCACGCACCTGTAATCCCAGCTACTCGGGAGGCTGAGGCAGGAAAATCGCTTGAACCCGGGAGGCGGAGGTTACAGTGAGCTGAGATCACACCATTGCACTCCAGCCTGGGCAACAAGAGTGAAACTCCGCCTCAGAAAAAAAAAAAAAAAAGAGACTCCATCTTGGTCATTGGGCTGTAGAGCTGGAAGGTGAGAGCCAGTGAGTGACCAAGGACCCCAGGGCAGAGGTGAGGACCATGGTGAGAGCTGGGGAGCCATAAGTGGTGGATCTACTAGTGGACAGGGAAACCACCACGGCCCATGTGGGGAAGGGCCCTGCTTGGGTCCCTGGGTGAGCAGGGCTAGGCCAGTGTGACCTTGAGGCTGCCCAAGGGTCAGGGGAATTCCGTCAGGAACACAGCTGGAGGCCTGAGGTCAGAGAATATTTATAGGGCCAGGACTGGGCAACTCAGGGGCGGGGGGGCCTTTAGGAAAACAAACTCTGGTTATGTCCTCAGGTGCCCCCCCTTTGCAGAGTGACCGTTAATCTGAGACCTCAGGCTATGCACCACCCTCCAAGGCCACTGGGTGGGCTGGGGCCCAACTGAGCTCAGCAGACCCTTAGGGCTCAGAGAAACATGGCATGGAACTGTAGGCAGGTGGACACCATCCCACTGGGCCAGGACAGAACTTTCCATCGGCAGATCCCAAGCAGGTCCCTGAGGCCCCAAGCCTGGCCTCTGGGGCTCCACTTCTCCCTCAGCTGTGTGACTCCTGACCTCTCTGAACTTCAGTGTATAAAATGGAAATAATAGCCCCAAACTTGGCAGGGCTGTGGTGAGGGGTAAATGGGAGAAAGGGCTTGGCGATGGTGGCCTCTATTAATAACAATTAATCTTTTATTATGATAATAACAGCAAGCTGACTGTGCTGAGCTGCCCCTTCTACCTGCCCAGACCTTCCCAGAAGGAAGGCCAAGAAGCTCCCCTAAGGGACAGGCCGACGGGCCCCTTCTAGTGTTACCAGGGCAAACTGACACCCCCACAGGGAAAGGCACATCCCTGCCCACCCCAGCCCCAATGCCTGCCCAGCCACCATCAATAATCCAGAGGCCAGGCCTGGGACACCTGAGCCTCTATTATCAATGATTCATGAACACCCTCCCTCCGACTCAAGTGAGCCTCACATTACAGGTCCCTTTCCTGCCTACTCTGCGGTCAGCAGATCCACACCTATGGTCAGGACAGGGCTGGCACCTGGTCCTCCAGGGTGATCTCTGCTGCCAACTTCCCAGGCCAGAAATGGGAAGAAGTGGGCTGCTCACAGGTGGAAGGAGGGCTAGGGGCAGCCCAGTCCCCAGTGACCCCCTCGGTGGGCCTGTCTCACTATGGGAAAGGAGGGAGTGAGGCAGCAGGGAAGGGGTATGGGGTGGCTAACTTCCTGGGATCTCCTCCACCAGGGCTGGAGGCTGGGAGGCAGCAGCTATGACCAGACAAAGGGGAAGGAAGAAGCTGGCCAGGAGGCAGTTCCCTCCTGTGGGGCTGAGTCATGAAGCCTGCCCGCCAGCTCCTCCTGGAGAAAGGCTGGCCCATCTGGGAGCCCTGGCCCTGACCCAGGCCCCTGCCTTCGCGGGGCCAGGGAAACCTTCTCAGGGCAGCCCAGCCACCAAGTGGCCACAACCGCACCAGGATTCAGGTGGTCAGGCAGGTCGATGGTGGCAGCCCCAGGCAGGGGATCCTAGTGTGGTGGGAGGGGTGGCTGATGGCCAAACCCGCCAGGCTGTCTGGGCAAACAGCCCGGGCCTTCCCCACAGGCCAGGCAGCTCTCTCAGGCCAGTGACAGAGGAGGACACTGAGCCCCAGGTAGAGTCAGGGCACCTGGCTCCCAGCCATTGCTTCTCTCACAGCCTGTCCAAGAAGGAAACTGGGACCCCTAGGGGAGGGGAGGGTGTGATGCGGGAATGGTGAAGCTTCCTAGGGCTGGGGGCTGGGGGTGGGAGCTGGCCTGGATTCTTTAGGGCCAGGACTCTCCCCACAAAACCCCATATCTGGACCTCTTCTCTGTCTGCAGCCTGGAGCTGGGATCTTCCAACCAGACTGAGGCAGACTCAGAAAGTCACAGTGGAAAATGGGAGGGAGGTCAGAGGTCAAGGTCAGATAGGCAGCTTTCTCCATCCCACGTAGAAGTCTCTGTTCCGGGTTTTCCCTAGCCTGGGGAGAGTGAGTGTCCTGGGAGGAGCAAAGGTCAGGGCCTTCTCCTAACACACATAAACAAGCCCATTCAAGTCAGACACATGCGGTATATGCATCCTTGGCAAAAATGCACACTGAGACGCGCTCCAACTGTGCACACACACAGACACCCACATACATGTGCACACTGCCATGAAACACTGATGTCTAAAGAGGGTCCTATGCGACCTACAGTGTCCATTCAAACAGTCACTAGTGCCAGTGCATGAATGACCCTAGATGTACACAAGCGAGTCACATCCAGAGGTGCACAGGCAGGACTGTACACGGAAGACGTGTGCACATGCGTGTACACCCACTCCCGGAAAGGAACAAAAATATACAGATGGGCACACACAGCCACATTCATCTCCAGGTAGGCACACAGATACTTCCACCCCAGTTGTGTACGTACACATACACCCACTCCCAGCTATGCACACCACGTCCGTACTCCCCCAGATGTGCCCACCCCAGGCGACCCGCGGCTGCAAAAGAGAACAGGAAGCTTTCTCCCGGCTGGTGTGGGGTGGAGGGAGGGGCCGAGAGCCGGGGGGGGGCGCTTCCGAGAGCCCAGACCGAGGCCCCCTGCCCGCCCGCCATCCGCCCTCACCGTGGATGCCCGTTTGGTGCGCCATGGCTCGGCGCTTCGCTCCGTCCGCGCCGTCGGAGCCCTCCGCTTGACCCTGGCCCGGCAACGCTCGCTGGACCAAGAGAGGTGGAGGATGTGGCGGAGGCTGTCGACCCTCGCGCAGCTTCCCGGGCGGTGCCGCAGGACCCGCCCCCAGCGGCGCCCCGCCCCCGACAGGCGCGGCAGGGAGGCGGGGACTCGGGGCCGCGCGTGCGCGCAGCCTGCGCCTCGGTCCGGGTGGGTCTAAGGATGATGATTGATCCGCCGTGCGCACGCCAGCGCGTTCCTCTGTGGCAGGAGAGGGGGGCCTGCGTGTGACCGAGCGTGCGTGGGAGGACGCGCGTGTGTGTCTGTGCGCCCTGATCACGGTGGTCTGTGGGTGGGGCGGATCGTGCGCGCGCGCCCGATCTGTGCGCCCCAAGCCAGGTGGGTCTCCGAATAGGAGTGGGTCCCAGCGTACACGGGTTTGCACCCAGGAAGGGGTCTGCTTGTGGGTGGGCGCGCCAGCTCTTCCCCAGGGGCCGTTTCTTGAGCGCCTCCCGTGGGGTCCTGGGCACCTCGGGGTGATCATGGCCGCTAGGCTTTGCCCTCACGGGCCTAGGCCCGCCTTCACCCACTAGATGGAGTGTATGGTGGTGAGAGCCCGCCGAGACAATGTGAGGGGCTGCCAGGAGAAGGCGAAGATTGGAAACCTAGAGGGGAGAATGAAACAGCCCAGCAGAGTGGAGGGAAAAGTTTTCTTTCTTTTTCTTTTTCTTTTTTTTTTTTTTTGAGATGGAGTTTCCCTCTTGTTGCCCAGGCTGAAGTGCACTGGCGCGATCTCGGCTCACTGCAACCTCCGCCTCCCGGGTTCACTCCTGCCTCAGCCTCCCGAGTGGTTAGGATTACAGGCATGCACCACCATGCCTGGCTAATTTTGTATTTTTAGTAGAGACGGGGTTTCTCTATGTTGGTCAGTCTGATCTCGAACTCCCGACCTCAGGTGATCTGCCCGCCTCGGACTCCCAAAGCGTTGGAATTACAGGCGTGAGCCACTTACTAGTCCCAGCCAGAAAGGTTTTCTGAGAAGAGGGCACTGCATGTGCAAAGGCCCAGAGGTTGAAAGAGGGCCAGAGCCTGGTGAGGAACTTCCCATGTCCTAATGACCTTCTGTGTCTATATCCAGCAGCCTTGCCTTACTGGTACCAGTACCTGCCTGCTGCTACCAACTAGTCAACATGTGGCATCTTCCAGGCCACTGTGATGAGTCAGGGATGAGCATCTGACTCTGGTTGGTCCAATCAGCTTGTCCAGGGACTTTGGCTGGGAAGATTGGAAAGGAGGCCAGCTTTTTGGGCTGGGGTTGCTGAGAGATGTGATGATGAAATGTGTGGCCTACCTGGCATCTGGCCCCAGCTTCAGCTCCATTTACTGTCTTGCTCCCCACCCTCACTAGCCTGCATTGAGGCCTCCTCTGTGCCCCCCAACCCCTGAGTTTCTCATCCCCAGAGAGCCCAGCTACACAGAATTGAAGGGTTTTCTCATTCATCTTCCTGCGCTCACCCTGAAGACTGGGCCTATGTCATCTGCTAACCACTGTCCCCCCAGCACTCACAGTGGAAAATGGAGTGTTATGCAGCCCTGCAGCTTGCCTTCTAGAACAGTTCACAGGCAAGGCCTCCCACACTGAACCCTGCTACAGCCAGATGGTGCCAGCAACACAGAGCTACTTGTTACATCAGCTCAGACTAAGCCACACCCACAGGAGCATCTGGTGATTCCACAGAACCACAAGAGACTTGACCTCCTGGAAATGAATTAACCAAGATTAATGAAAAAGATTAAGGTCATGTGCCCTGTAAAAATGTCCCTCACTGGATGAACTGTGACAAAGTAGGGTACTGCGTGGTCTCCCCAGCTGACCCTCTCCATGGGTCATTCTTTGCTTTTATCACTACCTGGCACAAATCTTTACGTATTTGTTTATCGTCTTCCCTCCACCAGTAGTTAGGTGTTTGCCCTTGCTGTATCCCCTGTGCCTAGAACAGTGCCCAACATTGGCAGGTGGCCAATAATTGCAAAATAAGCAAATGTATGAATGAACCATTAGATGCTTTGTGTTGTATACTTACTACCTGCTGGGCACATTTATTTAATCCTCATGACAGCCCCTGAAGTAGGTGTTACTTTTTCCATCTTACAGATAAAGACTCTGAGGTTTGGAGAGGTGAAGTGATTTGATCAATGTCACATGGTAGTGAGTGAGGCCAAGAATCATAGTTTCATTTTATTCGAGAAGTTGGGGGCCAGGTACAGTGGCTCATGCCTGTAATCCTAACACTTTGGGAGGCCAGGGTGGGAAGATCTCTTGAGCCTAGGAGTTTGAGACCAGCCTGGACAACAACATGGTGAGACTCCATCTCTACAAAAAAAAAAAAAAAATTATTTTAAAATTAGCCAGGCATGGTGATGTACACCTGTAGTTCCAGCTACTTGGCTGAGACAGGAGGACTGCTTGAGGCCAGGAATTCAAGACCAGCCTGGTAAAGATGGCAAGACCCCATCTCTACATATATATATCTATAGATAGATAGATAGATTAATAGATAGATATGTATTAGCCAGGCACAGTCACACATGTTTGTAGTCCCAGCTACTTGGGAGGCTAAGGCAGGAGGATCACCTGAGCCCAGGAGTTAAGGGCTGCAGTGAGCCGTGATCACACCACTGCATTCCAGTTTGGGTGACAGAGTGAGGCTCTCTTAAAAAATTTAAAAATACTGAAGAAACAAAGGGAGGAGTTTGTAGAATCTGGAGTGGAGGAAACTTCTGTGTCACCAAACACAGAAACCATCAAAGAAAATCTTTCACTTCCAAAATTAGTCTATAGAAAAAAAAAAAGAAAATCTTAACCCAAATAAGAGACTGAGGCAAGAGCTTCAATCAATCGAGGTTTACTGAGCCAGAGTTGGAGCGTGCCCAGGAAAGCAACACAAGTCAAAGAAACGTCTGTGGCCTGTGCTCTCCCAAGAAGTTTTCAGGAGGCTCAATATTTGTACATTTCTTTAAAGGGGAGAAGACAGTGAGGCAAATGGTTATGTTTTTGTGAGACTCTTAATTAGTGTCCCGTAAATCTAAGCTATATGGAAGATAGGGTGAACACTGGAAGAACAGGGAGTAACAGAAGAGCCAATTATGCAGAGGTCTCAGGTTAGGTGGAGGAATGATTGATCTCATCTTATCCTTGTTCTGCACCTGGGCAGATAAACTTGTAATTGACATTGTCAGTGTGAAATTTAACAGACTTTGGTTTTAGGAGTTAGGTTTAGGTTGCAGACCTAAAGTTGCAGTTGACATGTCCTTGTTTTATAGGAGGATATACATCCTGAAAGTTTTAGGGACTGGCAAAGAATTTACTGCTGAGCAATTTGTGATTGCAGTCACCTGGAGATTCATGAGGCTTTTTGCCTTTTTGTGGGGATCTGGTTAATGCATAATATTTTGACACAAGGTTGCAAGGTAACAGGTATCCATTTGGGAAAAGAATGACAGTTTTGGAGAACATTAGTTCTGCAGCATAGAATGAAGTGTTGCCGGAATAAAATTAAAAAAAAAAAAAAAAGGCTGGGTGTGGTGGCTCATGCCTGTAATCCTAGCACGCCTGTAATCCCAGCACGCCTGTAATCCTAGCACGCCTGTAATCCCAGCACGCCTGTAATCCCAGCACTTTGGGAGGCCGAGGCGGGTGGATCACCTGAGGTCTGGAGTTCGAGACCAGCCTGATCAATATGGCGAAACCCCATCTCTACTAAAAATACAAAAATTAGCTGGGCATGGTGGCGGGTGCCTGTAATCCCAGCTACTGGGGAGGCTGAGGCAGGAGAATTGCTTGAACTCGGGAGGCGGAGGTTGCAGTGAGCCGGGATTGTGCCAGTGCACTCTAGCCTGGGTGACAGAGCAAGACTCCATCTCAAAAAAAAAAAAAAAAAAAAAAAAAAAAAAAGGAATGCCAGTGTTGTGTGGCTCAGTCTCCAAGCTTAACTCTCCCTTTAGCATAACAAATTTGGGGGTCCTGAAATTTTTATTTTCCTTTATGAAAAGATCAATAATCCATTTGCATAAAAAATAAAGTCTATATGGAAAAAGCCACCATCACAGCCAAAACACAAATAACAAACTGTAACTTGTTACAAACAGCATACTTGTAACTCATTTCAAAATAAAGAGCTGATTTCTCTAATATATAAAGAGCTCTCATAAGTCAATAAGAAAAAGACCAATGGTAGCCAGGCGTGGTGGCACATGCCTGTAATCTCAGCTACTCAGGAGGCTGAGGCAGGAGAATCACTTAAGCCCAGGAGGCAGAGGTCATGGGGAGCCGAGATCACACCATTGCACTCCAGCCTGGGCAACAAGAGCGAAACTCTGTATCAAAAAAAAAAAAAAGAAAAAGAAAAAGACAAATGGCCCAGTAGAAAGTGTGGCAAAGGATACAAACAGACCATTCACAGAAAAAGATAGATAAATAACATCTCTCAGGAAAGTACCTCCCAGTCACCCTTTGTTGGAAAGTTGTTGAAGGATGCACTTCAGCAAAATGAGGGAGTAAACCAAGAGACATAGGCTTAAGATCCAGGCAAGAGTGAGGCGCTTAGGAGCCCAGGAAGCCAGAAGAGCCTGGTAGCACTGAAGGAACACTCAGGCCACCTTGGAACAGAGAGGATGGGATTGCCATGTGGTTCCACATGGCTCTGAAAATAGACAATGGCTAAGCTGTGCAACAGACTGCCTATGACATTTGGTTGCCCAGAGCTTCTGTGAAAATACTTCAGGACAAGGCTTTCCCCCACCCAGGGGTGGGTTGGGGAATAGAGTGTATGCACTTTGTTTTGTCCAATTTTAGACTTTAAAATCCTCTGAGGCATCAACTGGTGAGGGTGAGGAAGTGGCCCCATAGACTGAATTGGGCCTGCCCCACCCTGGTACCTTTCTGTTCTGTCACAGTGACAATTCACAGCTCAGAGGTCCTTTGGGAAACTTTCTCTGACATCGCCCCTATCCTCTTGCCAGCTGGATGAAGCAGCATCCACCAGAACTGCTACCATCACTGCAGGGGGCTTGGTGGGCAGAGGCCTGGCTTGTCTCCATTAGCACTGCGTTCCTGTGCCCAGTGTGGCCCCAGCAGACACTGTGGGTTCAGTCAATCAGCCCCCAGGCTGGTCTGGGACTGAGTCATCGGAGGGAGTGGGTGTTGGGCACAGGTCCCTGCCCTAAGAACCTTCCTTCTTGGGCCCGAGGAACTCCCACTGGGGCAGGACTAGCTGCTGGGAGGAAGTAGGGCTTACTGAGCGTCTACCTGGGCTAGGGAGTGGAGGTGAAGGTGGACTCCTCATACAGCTCATATGCAGGCACTGGGCTGTGGAGCCTTAGCCGCTTTTAATTGGCAAGCCCTGGCTTCCTGGAGGAGGAAAGGGGAAGAGAAGTGCCCTGGGGGCGAGGATTGAGTCAGCTGCATTGTCATAATGGAAATAGTACAGCCCTGGGTGTCCAAGACTTCCCCTCCATGGGCCTCAGAATCGTCCATATGATGTAACACTCTTTTTTTTGAGACTGAGTCTCGCTCTGTTGCCCTGGCTGGAGTGCAGTGGCTCCATCTCGGCTCACTGCAACTTCTGCCTCCTGGGTTCAACCGATTCTTGTGCCCCAGCCTTCTGAGTAACTGGGATTACAGGCGCACACCACCACGCTTGGCTAATTTTTAGTACAGACGGGGTTTCACCATGTTGGCCAGGCTGGTCTCGAACTCCTGACCTCAAGTGATCCGCCCGCCTCGGCCTCCCAAAGCACTGGGATTACAGGCGTGAGCCACTGCCTCCGGCCAAAGTAACACTTTTGCACAGGGAGTTGGACTTGAGTGACAAATGGGTGACAAAGTGCTTTGTTAACTCGCAGATGTGAAGGGGACACTGCGGCTGACCGCCTGGTGACAGCTAGCCAGTGGTTGAGAGACCGCAAGATGGTTCCTCGTCTTTCACTTCCCTCCGTCCCAGGTCTGAACTCGGACCAGCTGGAGCCTTTGGGGGACCACGGATTCCCCTTTACACTCACACAGATTTCTCTTGTCCGTCACTCACTCACAGTCCAGTAAGGATCCTGCTGTCTATTCCGCGAAGACATCTTGAATGCAGGGACAGCCATTTGGAAGACTGTCCTCGAGGGTGGCAGCAGCCTCTCAGGACGGGGAAAGCCAAGGTGCCCACTAAGCCCGTCTGGGGTGGAGGGTGGCAGGCCGGGGTGGAGAGGATTGGAGGCCGCCTGAAGGAACCTGTGCTCGGTGGCATTTACTCAATGTGGGGGTCTGACACCTCCCAGCTCATTTTGTCCCCATCTTCCCCTTGCGTCAGGTCCCCACCCAGCAGGAGGAGGTCCGAGGATCTGCGCGACGCTGGCCCCGCGGAGTGTGGGGGACTTTTCCTCTCAACCACCAGTGCCCCGCAAGCGTGGGTGAACAGTCCTCCCTGGCTACTGTGGGACGCTGGGCAGGCGACTTCGCCTCTCTAGGCCTCGGTTTTCCTGCTTGTCAAATGGGGCTGATGCCGGCGTGGGCTTCTTCAGGCGGTCGCGAGCGTTGACCCCTGGAGTCAGCGAACCAGCCGCGCACGCACTCCCGGGCGGAGGTCGGGGCTGGGGGGCGACGCCTCCCGTCTGCGCGCCCCCGGCCCCGCCTCCCGCCGGCGCACCCCTCCCTCGGCTCCGCCCGCGGCCCGCTTCTTCCTCCCGCGGGCGGCCCAGCCCTAGCGCCCCGCGCTCCGCGGGCAGCCCCCTGCCGCCGCGCCATGTCCGCCGGCTGGTTCCGGCGCCGCTTCCTGCCTGGGGAGCCGCTCCCCGCGCCGCGGCCGCCTGGGCCGCATGCCAGCCCCGTGCCCTACCGACGGCCCCGCTTCCTTCGCGGCTCCAGCTCCAGCCCCGGGGCGGCCGACGCCTCGCGCCGCCCAGACTCCCGGCCCGTGCGCAGCCCCGCACGAGGACGCACGCTACCCTGGAATGCAGGCTACGCCGAGTGAGTGCCCCTCCCCGACCCCCAGCTCAGGCCCGGGCCTGAACCCGCTTCGGGTCCTGCGCCCGCCTAGAAAGCGGGAGGAGCTGAGTGACAGTCCCCACCCACCTGTGGACAGCCCCTTCTTGCCCTCACCTCCGAATCCTGACAACTTCCCGGTCATCCCGACCCAGCGTTTTCCTTGGGATTCCGACCTCCCCCTCAGAGAAGACAGGAGGTCGGGAAGGACCTGCAGCCCAGGGGCTTCCAAGATGAGGCCCAGAGACTCGGTAGAGTTCCAGCATTCGGGGCTTTGGAGATTTCCCCTCGCCCTCTACCCCCACCATCTCACCCTGGGTATGACCTGCGCTGTATGGGACAGGGCTTTGGGCTGCGACAGGACAGGGGCAGGAATGGCAACCTACCCTTACCGTCTAGCCCTGGGTCACCAGGTAGGCTCCAGAGGAGCTGGGCCCTGACTTTTACCTTAGCCATGAGGCCAGTGAAGTTAGGAAGCTTACATCGTGGTTGTCTAAGTGTGTGTTAGGGACAGCACTGGGGAGCTGTTGCCCCAGAGGGAGGGGTCTTCTCCCTGTGCTGGCTTGGGTCCCTGTGCCCATGGGGACATAGGTGTGTCCCTGGAGGGTCGCTTACCATTTCCCGGCCTCAGGATTATCAATGCAGAGAAATCTGAATTCAATGAGGATCAAGCCGCCTGTGGGAAGCTGTGCATCCGGAGATGTGAGTTTGGGGCTGAAGAAGAGTGGCTGACCCTGTGCCCAGAGGAGGTGAGTGCAGTCTGAGTTCTTGGCTGGAATCCCTCCGACAGGCTGGGGCCACGACCTGCAGGCTGAGGTTCTTACCCTGCTGCCCCAGGTCCTAGTTAGGTTGCGTCAGGGGACAAGTGGGGAAGTCAGGCAGAGGCTGACACTGAGCCCTTCCTGTGCAGTTCCTGACAGGCCATTACTGGGCACTGTTCGATGGGCACGGCGGTCCTGCAGCAGCCATCTTGGCTGCCAACACCCTGCACTCCTGCTTGCGCCGGCAGCTGGAGGCCGTGGTGGAAGGCTTGGTGGCCACTCAGCCCCCCATGCACCTCAATGGCCGCTGCATCTGCCCCAGTGACCCTCAGTTTGTGGAGGAAAAGGGCATCAGGGCAGAAGACTTGGTGATCGGGGCATTGGAGAGTGCCTTTCAGGAATGTGTGAGTGTGTGGCTTTTGGCTGGGGAAGAAGTGGAGATTTTGCCCCGGGGATCTCAGGAAATGGCATCTCTGTATACCCATGGTCATCACACCAGATCCTTGGATTGGGAGGATGAGATTGGGTTGGTTGGATTGTTACTAACAGCCATCACTATCAGCATAACCCCTCTCATTTATCCAGCACCTACTGTGTGCTAACTGCTTTTACCTGCATCATCTAATTGAATACCCTATTGGTCCTTGGTGCAGGGGCTGGTTTCTCTTCCTATTTTGAGTAGCACTTCCCTTGTCTAGATCTCCTGACTGCAGGGATCTTGGAGGTATGGCTGGACTTTGGGCTGGGACTGTCAGGCCTGCTGGTAGAAGTGAACTGTAGGGTAGGGTGGGGATTGAGAGACAAAGTAGTATGGTGGCAGAACAGGCAGCAGCTAAGGTGGCCTCGGTTTTCCCCAGGATGAGGTGATCGGGCGGGAGCTGGAGGCCTCAGGCCAGATGGGCGGCTGCACAGCCCTGGTGGCTGTGTCCCTGCAGGGAAAGCTGTACATGGCCAATGCTGGGGATAGCAGGTGAGTCACCCCTTGGAGGGTGGGCAAGGGTGGGATGGGGAGGGCATAAGCAGCAATGGGGACAAGCAAAGGTGGCTGGAAGTGGAGGGATAGTAGGAAGGATTGACTGGCTGAATTGTGTGTGTACTTGTTATGTGTCGAGTGTGGACAGTGGCTGCCGGGGAGGGCAGGGACCTCAAAGGCCCCGCTAAAGGGCTAAGCCTTCACCCTTGCAGGTCTTAGGTAGTCATGGAGGGCTTTAAGGGATCATCATGGACAGAGCTGGATCCTGGTGGTTGGAGGAGGGACTGGTAGGAGGGTGGCCATGGGTGAGGGTGGAGGCCTCCTCCTAGACCTCTCCCTTCTCTCCTCAATCCAGGGCCATCTTGGTGCGGAGAGATGAGATACGGCCACTGAGCTTCGAGTTCACCCCAGAGACTGAGCGGCAGCGGATCCAGCAGCTGGTAGGTGCCCTTGGCAGCATGGAGGCTGTGAAGCTCCAACTCCTGGGTCCAGGGCCATAAGAAGGAGTATGACCTGAGCGCAGCCTCCCCACCCCAGGCCTTTGTCTATCCTGAGCTTCTGGCTGGTGAGTTCACCCGACTGGAGTTCCCTCGGCGGCTGAAGGGGGATGACTTGGGACAGAAGGTTTTGTTCAGGGATCACCACATGAGTGGCTGGTGAGTGGGGATGGGGGACAGGTAGGAAGGGAGACCCCTGGGATCCAGGCCCAGCCGTATGGCCTGGGGCCCCCCTCCACCTTGGCAGGGTGGCACTGTGAGGGTGTGACAGCTGGGCCCTGAGTTGGGGAAAGATGAGATGGGGCACAGGGCTTGGGTTGATGCTGGCTCTGCTCCTGGTAGGAGCTACAAACGTGTGGAGAAATCGGATCTCAAGTACCCACTGATCCATGGACAGGGTAGGCAGGTCAGTGCCTGGTCCTCCTCAACCCCAAGAATCCCTCTTCATTGTCCCCTGCAGAGGTGGGAGCTCCTTTGCCTCTTGCTGGTAGCTGTGGCTGGTGGCCTGGGATTTGCTCTGAGACTAGGAATTTTCTCTCTCAGTCCAAGGCTTCCAAGGGCCACAGTCCACCTCTCCCTGTGTGCTCTGCAGTGCTAGGGCCTGGTACTTGTGCATTTGCTGGAGCTGTTTGCCATCGCCTCACACCTCACTTTCCCTCAGGCTCGGTTACTAGGAACACTGGCTGTCTCCCGGGGCCTGGGAGACCATCAGCTCAGAGTCCTGGACACAAACATCCAGCTCAAGCCCTTCTTGCTCTCTGTGCCACAGGTAAGGGGGCAACGCTGTCCAACCCAGCTTCCATCTGCCCAGAAAGGCAGACAGTGAGGCTGGTGGGAGTCGGGAAGGGAGTGTGCAGGATCCTCAGGCTTAATTTGTAGGTGACTGTGCTGGATGTGGACCAGCTGGAGCTACAGGAGGATGATGTGGTTGTCATGGCAACTGATGGACTCTGGGATGTACTGTCCAACGAGCAGGTGGCATGGCTGGTGCGGAGCTTCCTCCCTGGGAACCAAGAGGACCCACACAGGTACTGTAGCTGCTGGGGACCTGCCTGGGCCTGGGTTGGTGCCAGCAGCAAGCCCAAGTAGTTATGGCTGAGAAGACAGAGCACTGACAATGAGCTGGCAGCTGGCCAGGATCAGGGCTGTCTCAAGCTTCTTGGAGGAGGCAGGGAGACCGTGGGTTCCGAAAATCCCTGGATTTAGACTCTCATGGTCCAGCCCGTGGCCCTCCCAGACTTGCTGCTTGCTTGGTCCACAGTCGGACTGCATTGCTTGGGTCCCCATGTCCAGCCTTGTGCAGTGAGTTCTCCTAAGGTCTGGCCTTGCCCCTTTGCTCTGCCCCTGAAGTCTATCTGCAGGATGGTCTTCACAGGTTCTCAAAGCTGGCCCAGATGCTGATACACAGCACACAGGGAAAGGAAGACAGTCTCACAGAGGAAGGGCAGGTGTCCTACGATGACGTCTCTGTGTTCGTGATTCCCTTGCACAGTCAGGGCCAAGAGAGCAGTGACCACTGAGGATTCAGACACTGTATCCCAGAACTGCTCTAGTGCCCGGGTGTGGTCTGGGCATCCCTCCAGTGTGACCAAGAGCAAATCCTGCCTGCCCTATCCCTAGCCACCGCCCAGTGCTCTCACTATCCACCTCAACACACATCCATCTCAAGAGGAACATTTATACCAGGCAGTCAGAGCTGGAAGTGTATGGAGAGCCCAGCCCACCAGGTCCTGCCTTTTGCGGTGATAACCTTCTCTGGCAGAGTGACTTTACAACTTAACTAGGAAACCCATGTGAGGCTCCTCAGACAGGATCTTGAACAGCCCAAAGTATCATTCTCAGATAGGGGCACCCAAGCTAAGGGTATTAGCCAAAGATGCCAGGATGGGTAGCTAGCCCATGTTTAGATCCAGGTCTCCAATTCATGGTTATCAGGGCATGTGTTCAACAACCCCCAAAGTCCACGCAGGTGGCTTGTAGAAACCTTTGGGCAGCCTCATGTCTGCTAAAACAGCCATCTTCAAGACAGCCCCTGAAAAGAGACCAGTTCAGGTCCTGCCCTGCTGTTCTTTGCTGGAGATGAGGAACAGGTGCTGGGGCTAAAGTTTGGGGTAGAGCACAAGGGACAAGAGGAACTCTTGGAGTTGGCTGGGTGAGAGGGCTCTCCATTTGCTACCTGTAGTAGCCTGCCTCTTAACTGGTTGCTTCTCCCTAGTTCCAGCCCTGCCCTGGTCTGATGCCCCAACACTGCCCTTGCTTTGTTTTCCCTGTCACCTCCCTATTATTAAATGTTTTCTACAGAAGAGCCTTGTGAGTCATGAATTGCTGTACAGCTTGGATTAAGGATACCTATTGCTAATTTTTGTTACCTTTGAGTGGATTAGTTTTAGCTCCACCTTGTAAGCCTGCATATAATCAGTACTATGTTTTCTTTGCAGTTTCCCTAGTTCTCAGCTTGGGTGAGCCCCAGTGAGAGAATTTTTGGCCAGGAAACAGAAAAGTCTCTACCACCATTTTTTTTCCCCTTTTCTTTGAGATGGAGTCTCGCTCTGTTGCCCAGGCTGGAGTGCGGTGGCATGGTCTAGGCTCACTGCAACCTCCAACCTCCATCTCCAGAGTTCAAGCCATTCTCCTGCCTCAGCTTCCCAAGTAGCTGGGATTGAAGGCATGTGCCATCACACTCAGCTAATTTTTGTATTTTTAGTAGATAAAGGGTTTCACCATGTTGGCCAGGCTGGTCTTGAATGCCTGACTCCAAGTGATCCACCTGCCTCAGCCTCCAAAGTGCTGGGGTTACAGGTGTGAGCCACCGCACTAGCTGTCTTTTTTTTTTTTTTTTTTGGGAGACAGGGTCTCACTCTGTCACCCAGGTTGGAGTGCAGTGGTGTGATCACAGCTTACTGCAGTTTTGACCTCCTGGGCTCAAGTGATCCTCCACCCTCAGCACTCCGAGTAGCTGGGACCACAGGTATGCACCACCACACCCTGCCAACTTTTTATTTTTTGTAGAGACAGGGTCTGTGTTGCCCAGACTGGCTCAAACTCCTGGATGCAAGTGATAATCCCACCTCAGCCTCTCTGGGATTACAGGCGTGAGCCACCATGCCCAGCCTCCACTACTTGTAGGCTCTGGGCTTGAGATACTGGAAGGGTGGTTTTTTCACTTAAAAAAAAAAATGTAAGGCCAGGCATGGTGGCTCAGACCTGTAATCCCAGCACTTTGGGAGGCCGAAGCAGGCCGATCATGAGGTCAGTTCGAGACCAGCCTGGCCAATATGGTGAAACCCTGTCTCTACTAAAAATACAAAAATTAGCCGGGCATGGTCGCACGTGCCTGTAGTACCAGCTGCCCAGGAGGCTGAGGCAGAATAATCGTTTGAACCTGGGAGGTGGAGGTTGCAGTGAGCTGAGATTGTGCCACTGCGTTCCAGCCTGGGCAACAGAGCGAGACTCCATCTCAAAAAACTAAAAATAAAAAGTAATGAGACAGGGTCTATTTTGCCCAGGATAGTCTCAAACTGCTGGGTTCAAGCAGTCCTCCCAGCCTGTAGCTGGAATTACAGATGTACACTGTGACTTTTTCACTTACTTTTGAATGCAGATTTCTATAAAGCTATAATTAGCTGGATAAAAGTTAGGGCCTTAGGGCTTGCTGTTTAATAAGCAGCTTAGTTCATCTTCTCCAAAAAGACTATGCTGTCATCTTGGCTGGGGCACAGTGGCTCATGCCTGTAATCCCAGGACTTTGGGAGGCTGAAGCAGGTAGATCACTTGAGCTCGGGAGTTTGAGACCATCCTGAACAACATGGTGAAACCCCATCTCTATCAAAAATACAAAAAATTAGTAGGGCATGGTGATATATGCCTGTGGTCCCAGCTACTTGGAAGGCTGAGGTGGGAGGATCACCTGAACCCAGGAGGTGGAGGTTGCAGTGAGGGGAGATTGTGCCACTCCACTCCAGCCTGGACAACACAGTGAGACTCTGTCTCAAAACAAAACAAAACAAACAAAAAAATGGGGCCAGGCCTGGTGGCTCAGGTGTGTCATCCAGCACTTTGGGAGGCTGAGCAGGCAGATCACCTGAGGTCCGGAGTTTGAGACCAGCCTGACCAACATGTTGAAACCCTGTCTCTACTAAAAATACAAAATTAGCCAGGTGTGGTGGCACATGCCTGTAATCCCAGCTACTCGGGAGGCTGAGGCAGGAGAATCGCTTGAACCCGGGAGGCGGAGGTTGCAGTGAGCCAAGATCGCACCGTTGTACTCCAGCCTGGGCAATAAGAGCAAAACTGTCTCAAAAACAAAACAAAACAAAAACAGCCATGCTGTCAACTAGAACGTACCAAAGCTCAAGTGCTCAGGAAGTATCTATTGAATTACAAGGCAAACCACCTTCATGACCTCAGCTTTACTTGACCCTTCTCTGATTTACTCCTACTTTATAATTTAGGTGAATTCTCTCACCAGGCAACTGACAGCCCAAAATTGCAGCCAAGAAGAATATCCAACAGGTCGCAGAGCCAATGGTAAAACCTGTATAATTAACTCAACTGAGAGGCTCTCAGAACCCACCCCACCCCGGCTTTTTTTTTTTTTTTTTTGAGATGGAGCTTCACTCTTGTCGCCCAGGCTGGAGTGTAATGGTGCCATCTCAGCTCACTGCAACCTCTAGCCTCCTGGGTTCAAGTGATTCTCCTGCCTCAGCCTCCTGAACAGTTGGAATTACAGGCACACACCACCACACCCAATATTTTTAGTAGAGATGGGGTTTCATCATGTTGGCCAGCCTGGTCTCAAACTCCTGACCTCAGGTGATCCACCCACCTCGGTCTCCCAAAGTGCTGGGATTACAGGCGTGAGCCACTGCACCCAGCCTCAGACCCCCTTTCCTACCCATTAACTCTAGATTTCATTTCCTACACATTCTCCAGGGAAGACTGGAAAAACTGCATCAGATATTTCCCACTGCTATATTCCACAGTGCAGGACTTCAGGGTTGAACCTGTCCACAGCTAGGCCCTATGGTAGTCTTGCTAGGACTCCTCTAGCCAGGCAGCTTGAGTGCTGTCCTACCAGCCTGTAGGAGTGTCACTTCCTCTTTCCTCACCACAGCCTCCACTACCTCACCACTCCGCCTGAGCAAAAAAAAAAAAAAGGGTGGGCAGCATCCTGTGCCTGCTTCTCTTACCCACATCAACTGCTGAGCCAGCTCGCCCCCACAGCCTGCTTGCCTAGCTTGCTACCATGCCTGCTGTTGTTCCTCACGTCACAAGGCTGAATGAAGCCTGGGGGGTGGGTGAAGTAGGTCTTTCAGTTGCGAGCAGGACAGAGACCAGAGTGGCTGCTCTAAGGGCAGCCATGCTTACCTACTTGTTCATGTCTCCCAGCAGAGCTGAACACGGCAGCAGTCCTCCCACCAGGCCAGGAGGGGGTCTCTTCCTACGTACGTAGTGTCAGAAGAGCCTGTGCATGGCCTGTCACACACAAGCTAGGATGTTCCCTCCGCCACTGTTGCAGAGTCCCATGAGCAATGTGAAAATGTGGCAGGCCCAAGGTTTTCTTCTCTGGTCCAGAGAGGGCGAGGCAAGAGCAGGAAGCAGGTTCTACAGCTCTGAGAATGCTGAGCTAGAGCAGCAGCCTCCAGGCAAATGGGTTACCAAAGCAATTGCCTTCTGCCAGACTGGGTGCTGGGGCCTCAGAGAGACTCCAGTATTCTTGCCTTCCTGAAACCAGGGTCTAGCAGGACAAAACATATTCCAACTAGAGGTTGTCAATCTGGTGAAGGGTTGAGTAAACAGTAGAGGATGCAAGGCAGCCTGAGGTAAGTGCCAGACAGTCTCCGAAGATTCAGGCTGGCTCAGGCTTGCCTTGCCCCGTCAGTCATTGCTGGCTCTATGGCTATTACAGCCTGGGGTTGAAGGCTGGTTCTAGGGGTTCCTCCCACCAGCCCATAAATCTTAGTTACCAAGGGGCAGTCAGAGGCAGTCCCAGGGAGCCCAGCAATCCGTCTACACAGCATTACAGCAAGCTGCAGTGTGAGCCAGAACTAACAGGAGACAACCCAAGCCTCCCTCCAGCTCTGGGAACCAGGCAAACCATGCTACAGAAACTCAAATCGAAGAGGCTGCAGCCATAAAATTCTGTTTAAGACTGTAACATGGAAAAAATGTTTATACGTTAAGTACAAAAGGGACATAAAATTGTATATACAGAATAACGACTATGTAAACACACCAAAAATCTATGCACAGAAATGTCTAGGGGGAACATTTAACACCAAAAGATTAACAGTGGTAGCATTTGGGTGGCAAACTTGATTCTTTCTAAAATTCCCATATTTTCCTTAATAAGCAGTAATTATAATTACAACGGGAAATAATTTCTTTAAGTACCCAGTGCAGTGTCACTGTCAAATAAACATCAGTGGCTTTGGCCCCAATTCTTAAGGTGGCAAACGCCGCTGCCCCACTCCCCACCCATCCCCAATAGGGCTTGAGCACCTGTAGCCCTGCTGAGCACGTCTGTGCAGCCCCAGCCCTCAGCATCTCTTCCACTCGCTTCCAGCTATATCTTTTCCCTTTCCTTCTTAATTCAGGAGGCAGCTTTGCAACCACAGGGCCCAACGATAGAGACTGTGAGGTGGCATTTTTTTTTTTTTTTTTTTGAGACGGAGTTTTGCTGTTGTTGCCCAGGCCGGAGTGCAATGGCACGATCTCAACTCACCGCAACCTCCGCCTCCTGGGTTCAAGCAATTCTCCTGCCTCAGCCTCCCAAGTAGCTGAGATTATAGGCGCATGCCACCACGCCCGGCTAATTTTGTATTTTTAGTAGAGATGGGGTTTCTCCATGTTGGTCAGGCTGGTCTCAAACTCCCGACCTCCGGTGATCCGCCCGCCTCGGCCTCCCAAAGTGCTGGGATTACAGGTGTGAGCCACCGCGCCCAGCCTTGAGGTGGCATGTTTTCAAAGAACATGGTGCTCAGTTTTGGACACACAGGAACTCAAATACAATCATTTTCCTGCTGCTAAGTAATGCTTGGTGGCTGCTCTGGTTGCAGATATGTGAAGTTAGGTAGCCTTTCCTGTTAACCCATGGTTCCAAGCACTCTCTCTTAACAATCATTCCTACTGTGAATTTTCTACCCGGAAAAGCCAGGGGTGGGCAATAACAATTAAGATCATTTGGTTTCTAAAAGTTCTTCCTCTCTGGGAAAGCAGAACTATACAGTGGGTGGCATCCTGCAGATTCTAGTCTACATTTGGGAAAGGTGTACGCCTCTTGCACTTTCAGAGGAACAAGTCAAAAAGTAATTGCTTAAAAAAAAAAAGTGCTAGCAATTCACAGCCTATTCCTGCCCGCTGAACAGAAATTGTGATGCCTTGATTTACCCCCTAGCAGCTACATATTCTTGAGCAAGTCATAACCCTATTGTGCCTCAGTTTCTGGATCTGCAAGGAGTGTTGCCTGCATAAATGTTTGTTTAGGAACTTAGTAAAATGACATACTCCTCTCTCTGCTCTAAGAAGGCCATGAGCCAGCTGCAGCTCATCTCACTCAGCCTGGGCCTGACCAGAGTCCTTTCCTCTTCCAAGAGAAAGCAAGGAAAAGCAGCAAGCAAGCAGACATACCAGGTCAACAGGAGTGATCTATCATTGGCAACGAGGCCTCAAACAAACTGCAAATGCTCTGGCTTCAGCACCTTATCCCCAAATGCCACAAACCAGACATGGAAGCCATGCAAGAGTGACTATCACACACACACACAGGCACAGACAGAGTACCACCAAGCAAAAAGGGGGCTAATACTGCAGAGATGGCCCCAAAGTGCAGCTTGAGGAACACAGCAAGTCATCCCAAGACCCTCACTTAGCTGCCAAAGAAACAGCAAACACTATCAGCTTTGCTTCAGTCTTCTGAAATGAAAATATTAATAAGGAAGACTCACTAATACTTGTGGCAAACACTATTAGCAGGGATGCAGGGTGTCTCCTGGGCTGCAGGACTCCATCTGCTTCAGCTGAACTCTTGGAAACTACAGATGAGAGATATATGCATACGCACACACATATATGCGTATCTGTATGCACACAGATGTATTTAAATGAAGGTGCATACACTGTGCTAAAATACAAACAACAGAAATCAAAGGTCATATATAAAAACGCTAAATATGACATATAACACAGGCCTAGAACCAGCTCTTGGTTGGGAGCTGGGGAAAGGGGTGGTATCATCTGAAGACTATGTACACAATTTGTGGTGGGCAGGGAAGGCATCAGTGTAAACAACTCAGACTCACTTCACAATACTGGCCCACAGGTAAGTGTGATGTATCTCATGTACAAAAATAGACTCCCACCTTGCTTTTGTACAAACCAAGCTTGGTAGGCACCCAGGAGGACCGTGGGTTTGTCTTGATGACAGGGCACTGCACCAGGCTGCTGCTAAACCTTCCAGCCCTAGGAACTCACCTGCTACCCTCCCGCTACCCTCCCCTTTCCCTCCCTTTCAGGCCCTTGGGTCTTTTTCCCACCCAACACCTACAGCCCGAGGCCTGCCCAACCACCTAGCCTCACACGACTAACTGCAGAAACTAACTGCATGGCTTCCTGCAAGCAAGGTCCTTCTGTATCTGTCCCTTTCTCTGACCCCAAGATATATGAAAATGTTTCTGTAAATGTTTGGCACCTAAGAAACATGATGGTTGTGGATAATGCCACAAGTACACAGGGAGACCCAGTAACAAGACATGCAGGGTGAGGGCAAGCGGCTGAGCTGCCCAAGCATTTCAAAACCAGGACTTTGGCTTCCCATGCAGTTGGAGGGTAGAAGGGATGTGCGGAACTGATGACTTCACCGGCTCCTCAGCAGCATGTACATTCAAATTGAAGATGCTTGAGAGCCCCACTATACCAAATCGTGAGTCTGGTCACTCCTCCAGCAGAGCTTGGTGCAGTGACAGTTAGAAAAGCTGAGTTCCAATTGAGTCTGTTGCACCAAGAGTCCTTTTGAAGACGCTCATCAAAGTAATTATTTTCTTTTGAGCAGATGTACAGCACATCCATGGGAAGGCCATGTAAAAGGATGTTCTCCAGCCCAGTCAAATGATCCAATCCCACTATTATCTCAGTTCCCTCTGAGTTTCTTCCTGCTGGCCGCCCTCACTATACAGAAATAGCCAAGCAGCAACAGGGTCAGTCATCAATGGTGGGCAACCAAAAGGCCTAGAAGGAGAACATAAATCAACTTTAAAAAGCCAAGCATCTCCTCACTGCCAACGGTTCTTCACATCCCACCCCACAGCAAAAATGTGCCCAACCCCAGTGGCTCTGGTAGCCCTCTCTCCTAACCAACCAACCCCGATGCTCTAAGGAGACAGAAACACTCTTTCCTCTATGTGAAAGTAAAATGGTTCTGTTTTTCTCCAATAATCACTGTCCACCTTCCACCAAAGCAGACCCCCCGCCCCCTTTTTTTTAAAGGAAGGGAAAAAAAGGAGTGCTGCCTGGGAGGTGGGTGAATAAGTAACCTGTCCTCATTGCTAATCCACCAGGTTACCTCCAACAGGCCCCCACCTTCCTGGGCTGTAAAAAGTAAGGAACTGGATGGTTTTGCTGTATTTTTTCTAACATTTTTTTCTTGGTTAAAAAAAAAAAGCAAGGTGGCAATGTGCTCCGGGTAGGCTAGTAATGAAATGTCTCATCCCCGAATACCCAGGCAGGTTTAGGAGATCACAAGGGAAAACTGGAGCTGAGACTCACTGATCCTTTGTTCTGTTAGTATTATCTAGGAAGAGATAAGGGCCTGGAGTTAATTCTAAGTGGTGAGTTATGACCAACTGTAGAAATTTCTGGGAATTTGGCGTAAACCAACAGGAATGGAAAACTGAAACCACAAAAGGCCGGTTCAGAGTATTTTAAGGAGCAAAAAAATTGCCAAGCATAGCCCAGGTAGTTTGGACCTAAAATTAGGGTCCAGAGCAAAAACTGGCCTATGATCTCCTTGGAACTCAAAGATGATTCCTGATCACCTCTAGGAAGAATAAAAATGAAAGGCAAGACCAGCCCAGCCAGAGATCAAATAATAGGAGATGAAATAGGGAAACCACCAGTTGAGAAACATGTACTTGGATGCTTGTAATGTACCTATGTAGAACACAGCTTGCTGTGCTTGTTGAGGCACCCACCACCCCAACTGGGAAGGGTCCCTGAGTAGCAGATACCTCTTACTGTTCACATACCATGTTGGAACACGCACTGGCAAAAGTCATGAACTTGGGGTTGAATTGCAAACAGGTAATCGGGCCTGTGTGTTTACCATCCAACACAGCTACTTTTATACCGCTCTCTCCATTCCAGACATGGATCTTGCCATCCTCTGAACCTAAAGAGGATATTCACGGAAAATGTAACAGCTCAAGGCGCAATACAAAGACAACTGGAAATGAGACATGGATTGAGATCTGAGGATACGCCAAGCTTTAGGACCCATCCCTCAGGCAAAATTGAGAGGGAGGAGAGGCAGTGAAGGAAGGACACTTTGGAAATTTATCTTGACCCTAGCTATTTGTTCACAGGCATGTCACTTCCGTTCTAACTTCAGTTTTCTCATCTAAAAAAGGGGCCGAATACCATTACCCTACCAACAGGCAGCCACTAAGATGACTGAATGTAGGGTTACACCAGGACATTAGCATTACTAATAAGGTAGTGCTTGTGGAGTTTAACTCAAATTTTGGTCCAGTCAGGGCAGTTAAAAGACACTATGTCCTTGGCATAATGTGCTATACAGAAATCTAAGAACATCTATCAAATAGATAATAATGTCTCAGTTAATAATTTAAACAAAGAAATGCATAGTACCAGAGAAATAACCCCCACAGGGGATAAAAGGAAACTCACCAATCATAATAAACTGAGAGTCTGGAGTAAATGAAGCCTCCAGTGTGACAGCTTTGCTGTTGGCATAACCCTAAAACAAAACAGAGCAGTTCTTTTGTTCTTACAGAGCCATTAATAAAAACAGCTGCCTACAAACACTGACTCAGCACATGCATCACCTTCCTTTCCATGAAACCCTTTCCTTGTCATGTACTACACCACCAAGCTTCCAAATGTGGTTGCCATCGTTGACAATCCACTCCCACCCTCAACTCTGTATTCAAGGCATACTCAAGGGGGCAAGAAAACTTTATTGTTAGGAAATTATTTTATATCTAAATACCAAACTTGGGTCACTTGGTGAGAAATGAACATCTACGAAATCCAAGAGAGGTAAGTTCATGAGCAGGAAGAAAATACAAGTGCATGCCTTCATGAGTAAGTCAAGAGTAACTGTTGGTCTCCACCAACCAGCTAACATAATTCTTAGCATAGGAAGTATGAGCATGGAAACAGCCATGCTTGAAGGCTGTCAGCTCACCCCAAATGTGTGCATCACCACTCCTTTGAATGCATCAATCAGACGAATGAAGCTGCCGTTGGTGGAAATGAGGATGAGCTTGCCATCATTGCTGAATTTAAGTCCTGTCCACTCACAAGTTCGATCATACTGCATCTTAAAGGTAGCAAATGGCCCCTGCAAAAGATAAAAAACAGTAGCCCCAGGCATATTAATAATTTCTTCTGCTAGAGCCAATTCCCATCCTATTCCTTTAGATTACTTTTTGACTAAGGAAAGCAGAGAATGAGCTACTTCTCTGCCACTCTCTAATATCTACCACATTTTTCCTTTTGTAGAAAAGGCTCTTACAGGGCCGGGCGCGGTGGCTCACGCCTGTAATCCCAGCACTTTGGGAGGCCGAGGTGGGTGGATCACCAGAGGTGAGGAGTTTGAGACCAGCCTGACCAACATGGTGAAACCCATCTCTACTAAATACAAAAAATTAGCCAGGCGTGGTGGCGGACACGTGTAATCCCAGCTACTTGGGAGGCTGAGGCAGGAGAATCACTTGAACCTGGGAGGCAGAGGTTGCAGTGAGCTGAGATTACACCACTGCACTCCAGCCTGGGCAATAAGAGCAAAACTCTGTCTCAAAAACAAAACAAAACAAAAAACAGCTCAAAGATCTCAAAGATTCAAAGATTTACCTTATCAAAAGAACGAAGGTCATAAAGCTTGACCATTTCAGAGTTGACACCTGCAGCGAAAATTAACCCTTCTGGATCAAAAGAACAAACTGGCTTCCCCTGCAGATGCATGAGGCCCTAAGAGAAAAGAAATAAGAAATACACTAAAACACACATGCCACAACCATACGTGGAATAACCAAAGACTGCTGGTACAATGGGGAAAAAAAAATGAATCCAGGACCTTACCACTATATAATTTACTTTTCCCAATTAAAACTAAGAAAGGCATACAAACAAATATCAGCCTACCTACAGAACACACACAAAAAAAACATAAAACTAAAATGAAGCTTTTAAAAAACAGGTCTCCAGACAACAATTTCTGATCAACTCTAACTGCACAATATTACAGACACAGAATTCAAATAAAAATAAATCCCTTGAAGCTAAAAGCTCTAGGAACACTTTTAAAAACATTAAGCCAGCTGGGCGCAGTGGCTCACGCCTATAATCCCAGAACTTTGGGAGGCCAAGGTAGGAGGATCACCTGAGGTCAGGAGACTAGCCTGACCAACATGGAGAAACCCCGTCTCTACTAAAAATACAAAATTAGCCAGACATGGTGGTGCATGACTGTAATCCCAGCTACTTGGGAGGCTGAGGCAGAAGAATCGCTTGAACCCTGGAGGTGGAGGTTGCGGTGAGCTGAGATTGCACCATTGCACTCCAGCCTGGGCAACAAGAGCGAAACCCTGTCTCAAAACAAAAACAAAAACAAAACAAAACAACAAAAAACCCACAACAATTAAGCCACAGAGTACAATGCAATCTGCACTAGATTAGGGTATGTGCTTAGCAGCTACCAACTAAAAAAACAGATTTTCTCCAAAGTTTAAAAAGACCCTGTGATCCCAGAATGGAACCACTGTTTTCTCCCTTCTTTGAGAGGTAGAGTTCATTACAGTGCCTACCAAAGAAAATGCTCAAAAAGTATAACTGTGAGGTACCATTACCTGGCAGTTAGGAGACCGGAGATCCCAGAGTCGAATGGTCTTATCAAGAGACCCAGAAATGAAAGTGTCATCCACAGGTGACATGGACAAGGCCACCACCCTGCAATACATCGAGATAAATAGGAGTTGATGCGAAATATTAGCAAAAATTGGATGTGAATTCTAAACCACTCTGCCTATCTATACATATATATACCTGTTCTCCCAAAATTGCCATTTTAAGAAACACAATAAAACACACATACCACAACCATATCTGGAACAAACAAAGGCAACTAGTATAAAAAAAAAAATTTAAAGCTACAAAATAAAAATATATGATTCCAATGCAAATCAAAACCACAATGAAATACTACTCCACACCCTCTAGCATAGCTATAATAAGAGAGATAACAAGTGTTGGTGAGGATGCAGAGAAATTGGAACCCTCATACATTGCTAATGGAAATGTAAAAATGGTACAGTTGCTTTGGAAAAGTTTTTCCAAAAAAAGTTACCACGTGACCCAGAAACTCCACTCCTAGGTATTTACCCAAGATAACTGAAAATATATGTCCACACAAAAATGTACACATATGTTCAGATCTGCACTATTCATAACAGCCAAAAAGTAGAAATAACCCAAATGGTCCATTAACTAATGGATGGACAAACAAAATGTGCTGTATCTATACACTGGAACATTATTTGGCAATAAAAAGTAATAAAGTACTGCCTCATGTGACAACATGGAGGAACCTTGGGAACACCATGCTAAGTAAAAGAAGCCAGGCACAAAAGATCAGATATGAACTGATCCATTTACACAAAATGTCTAGAATAGGCAAATCTATAAAGACAGAAGTAGATCAGCAGTTGGTAGGGGCTGAGGGAGTGATTACTAATGGGTACAGAGTTTCTCTTTGGAGTGATAAAAATGTTCTGAAGTTAGATGATGGTGATAGTTGTCCAACTTTGCAAATATAGTAAAAACCACTGAACTGTACATTTTTAAAGGAATCATTTACAGTATGTAGACTGTATCTCAATTAAAAAAACACAAAAAAGCATGATTCCTTATCAAGATGTGTGAGGACTACACAGATATTCTCAAACCTAAGTGGCATCAGCATCACCTGGAGGGTGGGTTAAAACAGACTGCTAGGATCTGCTCCCAGAGCCTCTAATCCAGTAGGCCTGACTTGGGGTCTGTGAATCTGAGTTTCTAACTAGCCCCCAGGTGATGGGTGAGGCTGCTGTTTTGGGCACCACACCTAGAGAACCACAAGCCTATGCTAACAGCAACTGTATTCCTTTTTTGGTTCCCTTTTGTGGTTATACCATCAAGAGACACTCACTGAAAAACATTTTCTTCCAATGTAACTCAACTAACATCTGCACCAGCTCCTCAAGTTAAAATTTTAAAAGGTATTGTTAAAAGCCAAAATTTCCTGAGAATGCTGAGGAGGTAATAAAACACAATGAGCAGGCCAGGTGCGGTGGCTCATGCCTGTAATCCCAGCACTTTGGGAGGCCCAGGTGGGCGATCACCTGAGGTCAGGAGTTTGAGACCAGCTTGGCCAACATGGTGAAATCCCACCACTAATAAAAATACAAAAATTAGCCAGGCCTGGTGGCGTACACCTGTAATCCCAGCTACTCAAGAGGCTGAGGCGGAAGAATCGCTTGAACCCCAGAGATGGAGGCTGCAGTGAGCCAAGATCACACCACTGCATTCCAGCCTGGGAAACAGAGCAAGGCACCGTCTCAAAAAACAAAAATCAGAATGAGCAGAACACGTTGTGGACATGTAATTTTATGCCATGGCATTCAGCCCAAGAGCTCAGCACAAGACTCTATGCTGAGAAGTACAGGGAACACATGGAGAAGTAAGACCCCGACCGTAAGGAATTTTAACTGTCCAGTCCACATGACTCCAAGAGGACCAGAGAAGGCTTCTGGAAAGATACAACATCTGAGGTAGAAAGGATTTCAAAGAAGTAGCCCAGAGTTCACCTTAATGGGAATGGTGGGAGAAAATGCTGAGAAAATGGGTCAGAGCCAGAAGGGACAGAACCTGACTACAAGGGGAAGGAGCAATGAAAATATAGAGAACCATTAAGAGAGATTGTGAAGCAATCAAACTGCAATCCAGGAAGCTGAAACAGGATGGTAAGAGATGGGAAGATTAATTAGGAGCTAACAATAATTTACCTCACAGGGCATGAGCCAGGGCAGAAGCAAAGGAGAGAACACAGAGGAAAGTGACACATGAGGTTAAACCTAGGGAGAACTAAATAGTTTAACAACTCACTGAATATGATGGCAGGGGAAAAAGAGTGAACTAACAACAGATGCTTTGAGCCAGAATTGGAAGAGACAGAGATGAATAAATATGAGGAAGACAGAGAGAAGCTGGCCCAAAAAAGGTAACAATGATGGACAGAGTACTGGACCTGAGTATTAGAAAGAGTATTGGACAGAAGAGACAGCTACAAAGATGTGTATAAAACATGTAGGTGGTGCTGGGTGCAGTGGCTCATGCCTGTAATCCCAGCACTTTGGGAGGCTGAGGCGGATGGATCACCTGAGGTCAGGAGTTTGACAGCGGCCTGGCCAACATGGTGAAACCCTGTCTCTATAAAAACACAAAAATTAGCCGGGCATGATGGTGCGTGCCTGTAATCCCAGCTATTCGGGAGGCTGAGGCAGGAGAATCGTTTGAACTCAGGAGGTGGAGGTTGCAGTGAGCCAAGATCATGCCATTGCACTCCAGCCTGGGTGACCCGGTGAGCCTCCATCTCAAAAAACAAAAAAACAAACAAAACCTGTAGGTGGAAGGCGGGTCTGAAACTGATAATAGACATGAGCTAAAAATACTGATTTGGGAAGCCACCTGAATGGAGGTAAATGAAATCAGCGATGGAGATAAGAAAGCGGATAAAATATTTGTTTATTTTAGAGTCAAAACAGAGGCTGAAAACTACAAGAACAGAACCGACATGGGAAAAGTCACCTGCCACGGGAAAGTAAGTTTTACTGAGAGGTTAAGCACCAAGAAAAGCCCAAACCAGTGGCTTTTTAACTAGAGGCAGCAGGGAATGAAGGATAAAGGTTTGGATAAAGCCCCATAGACGATTCTGGGACTAGTGCAAAAATGATTTCAACAGTGAACATGTGTGAGGAGGTGGAGATGGGAATGTACAGATTCTTCTTTCAAGTTTGATAGTGAAAAGGAGTGGGTGATAGGGTCAATAAGTAGATTTAAGATAAGAAAGACCAAGTAAATTTGTAGGCAACAAAGGAAAGGCCAATTAAGGAGATGGAAGCAAGCAGAAAGAGGAAGGTCTGTTTTGTGAAAGAAAGACAACAGCTTTCTCAAGGAAAGGATTCCAAGGAAGACAGAATTTAGGTGGAAGGGATAGATGTTTAAAAGAACTCTTTTTTTTGGAGACACGGTCTTGCTTTGTCACCCAGGCTGGAGTACAGTGGCACAATCATGGCTCACTGCAGCCTCAACCTCCCAGACTCAAGCGATCCTCTCACCTCAGCCTCCCAAAGTGCTGATAACAGGCCTTAACCACCACACCCAGCTGAAATAACTCATTTTGTATAGCCTTGATTTTCTCATAAAAGGAGGGACAAAGTCATCTATCAAGAATCAGGAGGTCGGCCAGCCGGGTGCGGTGGCTCACGTCTGTAATCCCAGCACTTTGGGAGGCTGAGGCGGGCGGATCAGGGACCATCCTGGGTAACACGGTAAAACCCCATCTCTACTAAAAATACAAAAAACTAGCGGGGCTTGGTGGCGGGTGCCTGTGGTCCCAGCTACTCAGGAGGCTGAGGCAGGAGAATGGCGTGAACCCAAGAGGCGGAGCCTGCAGTGAGCCAACATTGCACCACTGCACTCCAGCCTGGGCGACAGAGCGAGACTCTGTCTCAAAAAAAAAAAAAAAAAAAAAAAAAAAAAAAAAAAAGAATCAGGAGGTCAAGAGGTTGAATAATTGGGAAGACTGGAAAGCACGTCAAACAACTGCATCAACTCTTAATTACAAATAGTACATTTGTGAACATTAATTTGAATAAAAACAAGCAAAACATCTACTTATCATGAGCCATCCTTTGTCTGAAACCAGTTACCACTGGTTGCCACCTTATTTCACCTTTATTTCAGCAACACAAATGGCCTGCCCAACTGGAAGTGCAACTTTTTTTTTTTTTTTTTTTTTTTGAGACAGGGTCTTGCTCTGTCACCCAGGCTGGATGGAGTGCAGTGGCGCCACCTTGGCTCAATGCAGCCTCTGTCTCGCGGGTTCAAGCAATTCTCGTGCCTGAGCCTCCGAAGTAGTAGGAATTACAGGCGCACACCACCACTCCTGGCTAATTTTTGTATTTTTTGTAGAGACAGGGTTTCACCATGTTGCCTAGCCTGGTTTTGAACTCCTGCACTCAAGCAATCTGTCCTCCTCAGCCTTCCAAAGAGCTGGGATTACAGGCATTAAGCCACCACGCCTGGCCTGGAAGTGCAATTTCTAACAGGAGGCTCTCAGGCCATCTCCTGTCAGGGCTCCATACCAATCGAAACCATCCTGGGTTACTGTACATTTGCAAATGGATGCAGGAAAAAATACCCCAAGTGATTAAAATATTATCCAGGGGAAAACGTGTTTAACATTCAAAGAAAAGTTGAAAAATTAGAGAAAAAAGTAACTAGGGGCATTGGGGTGAAGAACAGAGAGAAGCAACCTGCATTACAATACAGAAAAAGGAGATAAACTTCTTGATTTTAAAAAAAGGACTTTCTTTTGCATTCTCATTAAGATCTTTAAATGGAACATTTTTACATAGGGGCCCACTGAAATGGGGGCCACATATATTGGAAGGCCTCATAAACACAAACAGTCCTTTATTAAGGGATATGTGAGATTTGGTATTCCTAAATGCCAAATCTAATTTTTACTACATAAGTTTTCACTGAATATCTTTAATCCACATTTTTTCTAGTTTTATATGTATATATAAAACTAGAAATATATATATCTAACTAGAAATAGATATACCTATAACTAGAAAAAATATATATACATATATATCTTTGAGACGGAGTCTCACTCTGTCGCCCAAGCTGGAGTGCAGTGGCGCGATCTCGGCTCATTGCAACCTCTGCCTCCTGGGTTCAAGCGATTCTCCTGCCTCAGCCTCCCGAGTAGCTGGGATTGCAGGTGTCCACCACCATACCTGGCTAATTTTTGTATTTTTAGTAGAGATGGGGTTTTGACACGTTGGCCTGGCTGGTTTCAAACTCCCGGCCTCAAGTGATCCGCCCGCCGCGGCCTCCCAAAGTGCTGGGATTACAGGTGTGAGCCACTGCACTGGGCCTAGTTATATTTTAACTGAGGTATCTCTGAACACCTACCTCTGCACCTCTATAACCTCAGTAAATCAAGAGTTGACTATTTAAGAGAAGATGAAGAATGCCAAGCAGTAGTGAGGAAGTAGCTTCAGTTCACTAATAAGCTCTCTCTAGCCTTCTATTCTCTGGGTAACCTCAGGGATAAAAGAACTATCTGCTTCTATAATACGTGGGTCTTACCTTTTGCTATGTCCAGGAAAGTATCTGATGTATTTGTTGTCATGCAAGGACAAGTAACGAATAGTATCTGTAAAAAGACAAACAAGGTATGATGATATCATACTATTTAAAAGAAATTTACTTTACATTTTCATCTTAAAAAGACAAGGTCAAATAATCCATTGTATTCTATATCCCAAGCAAGGCATGAATAAATAATGGTGAATAATTCTACTCTGCAGCTGAAGAGTGGGTATGTAGATTTCACCTAACTCAAAAGCAGAGTTCTTAAGTTGACAGCATAGAAAGCAATGTTTGAAATGACCTTTTATTACCAATTTGGTTTCTTCATAATTACAATGCAACTCCCACCCTGCAAATATACCCTGGTCAAAAAACAAAAACAAGTAAAGCACACATAATAATTTTAGATACTGGTCTAGTGTCCACAGAATGGCAAACCTTAAAGAAAAATATGTGGCTGTTGAGCTAACAGACTTAAAGAGGTGAGCAGCCATGGCAGTTAAACTGAAGATCAGGTTGAACCCTGGCAGCAATTTTTGTCTAGAGTTCTCCATCAGTATGTTGACCCACCCTCAACTCATTTGAACATTCTTCAATTGGACACACAAATTACAATGAAAATAAACAAAACGTCAGAGAAGTGATGTCAAGATCTGGGTTAAAAAGATCTTAAGACATTAAAAAAATCAAATTCTTATACCAATGAGTAATAGCAGTGAGATTTTGACAATATTAAAGAAAGGAACAATCAGAGATTTGTGCTTGTGGAAAAATAAGACACTCTTAACCAAATGATTCTATCTGAAAGAGTAAACAAACAAAAAACATGGTGGCGGTAGAGAAATGAAGTGCCATAAAGAATAAAACTGCAAAATAGAAAAGTATTATCCCCTTAAAAAGACTAGGAATAAGGAAAAATTGTTGAGAAACAGCTAAGGGAAAATGGTACCAAAATGCAGAAAGAAAACCATAGAAAGAACATTCTGAAGGCAAACAGAACATAGGAATAAAGGGGTTGAAAGCATCGAGTCATCCCAGGGGTTCACAGGGGTGCTTTCTAATAAGAGGGCATTTAACTTGGGAGGGGGAATAGGGGAATAGGGATATTTGTATATTCCATAACTTGAACACTACACAATTTTCCTTGAAAACATCTTCAAACTTCTTGAATGACAACTACGAAGTATTTCTAGTTATTCTACTGCTAACAATGACTCACCTGCCCTAAGAAGAAAAAGACTTCCTCCCCATTACCTGGTTTCCCAGAGATGAGCAGGGTGACGCCATCCTCTCAGCCCCACTTGGCAGCTGGCGCGCTGTTCCTGGCAAGGCAGTGGCCTGTACAGTTATCTCCTGTACCGGGTGGTATCATAGACCCTCAAACTGTACAAACTACTACCTCAGCCTGGAATCAGGCAAAAGGAAACGGAGCGCTGGAGGAACTCTTCAGGATGCACTTGAGACAGGAAAGGGAACATCCTCACAGCAGAGGCTTGGCAGCAAAGCTACAAGTGCCACACATTTGCCTCATCTTGCACCACATTTGGAGAATCCTCATTTAATCACTCAGAAAAACATCCCAACAGAAGAAATAAACCAGTCATTCGGATGATCACATAGACATGTTTCCTCAGGATCCTAAGGTTTTACATTCTTTTCCAAAATCATTAACTACACTGCTTCCTTAGAAAACCACTTCTGAAATACAGGCATGAAAAGTAGAAATGACATACTTAACTAAAAATCAATACAGGCAGAAGAGTCTCATTAAAAAAAAAAAAAAATGGAAAAAAGGACTTCCGCCCATTCTGCTCTGAGATAGGCACAGCCAAAATAGCAGTATAAGCTATCCTTGTGGAATGACATTAGAAAAATCTTTTTTGTTTTTTTGAGATGGAGCCTCGCTCTGTCACCCAGGTTGGAGTGCAGTGGTGTGATCACCCTAGACCTCCAGGGCTCAAGCAATCCTCCCACCTCAGCCTTACAAGTGGCTGGGACTACAGGCGCGTCCCATCACACCTGGCTAATTTTTGTATTTTTTGTAGAGACGGGGTTTTCCCAAGTTGCCCAGGCTAATCTCGAACTTCTGTGCTCAAGTGATCCACTCTCCTAGGCCTCCCTAAGTGCTGGGATTACAGGCATGAGCCACTATGTAGCCACCGGCCTAAAAAAAACCTTACTGCAAAATGTGAGATGATCATCAATAATCCACTGAAATAAGTTTAAAAACAGAATCCTGGCCGGGCGTGGTGGTTCACACCTGTAATCCCAGCACTTTGGGAGGATGAGGCAGGCAGATCACTTGAGGTCAGGAGTTCGAGACCAGCCTGACTAACATGGTGAAGTCCCAACTCTACTAAAAATACAAAAATTAGCCGGGCGTGTTGGTGGGCACCTGTAATACCAGCTACTTGGGAGGCTGAGGCAAGAGCATCGCTTGAACCCAGGAGGCTGAGATTGCAGTGAGCCGAGATTGCACCATTGCACTCCAGCCTGGGCAACAAGAGCAGGACTCTGTCTCAAAAGAATAAAGAATAGGCCGGGCACGGTGGCTTACAAGGTCAGGAGATCAAGACCCATCCTGGCTAACATGGTGAAACCCTGTCTCTACTAAAAATACAAAAAATTAGCCAGGCATGGTGGCATGCACCTGTAGTCCCAGCTACCTGGGAGGCTGAGGCAGGAGAATTACTTGAACCCGGGAGGCGGAGGTTGCAGCGAGCTGAGATCGCGCCACTGCACTCCAGCCTAGGCAACAGAGTGAGACTCTGTCTCAAAAAATAAAAACAGACAAACAAAAGAAAATAAACAAAATTAAAAAATTAAAGAATTCTAACATGAAAATAAGTGTTACAGTTCAGTTACCAAGACAATCTGTTAACTTAGGATTTATCTCGAGACATGCAGGCAAAAACAGAGATTGTTTATTATAGAAAGAAACTCACAAGTTCAATTTCTAAAAGTAACTCTACTCTTTAGATCAAAAAACGTTCCTGGAATCAGAAGTGACTAAGGTTGGGAAAACACCAAAACTGTTCTAACTTCCCTTAAACTATCATAGTTCAAGCATTTGTGAAACTTTTCTCAAATCTCTATCATTTTAAAAGAAAAAGTCCTGTTGTTTATCACTTGCTGTGTATCAAGTGTTCTTTCCTTTTATTTGTTCTAAAAGTGTTCTTTTTGGAGATGGAGTCTCACTCTGTCGCCCAGGCTGGAGTGCAATGGCGTGATCTTGGCTCACCACAACCTCTGCCTCCCGGGTTCAAGAGATTCTCCTGCCTCAGCCTCCTGTGTAGCTGGGATTATAGGCGTGCACCACTGTGCCCAGCTAACTTCTGTATTTTTAGTAGAGACAAGGTTTCACCATATCGGCCAGGCTGGTCTTGAACTCCTGACCTCAGTGATCCGCCCACCTCAGCCTCCCAAAGGTTGGGATTATAGGCGCGAGCCCCTACGCCCGGCTTTAAAAGCGTTCTTTTAAGTGTCAGGAAGTACAAATCATAAACACAATTAGTTGTTTCCTTTTTCCACTCCCCACTCTGAATTGAAGACTTTTCATACTCAGTCCCAAGTCCTTCAAAAGTGCCAATGGCTTGCTTCCAGCATTCCTTCAGTCAAAACAATGCAATTAACATTACTAACATTATATGAAAATACTTAAACTAAAGTAGTCACAAAGCAGAAGTAGTCACAAAGATTCCATGAACTATTTAACAAAGGAAACCATGACCTTAACTTCCTAAAAAGGCTTGCTTACCGTCTATTTTGTTAGAGCTGTAAACAACTGTGTTTGCTGCATGAGTGTATCTGATGAGGTCCACACCATATTTCTTACTGTACAGGGTTCTCTTTGGTCTGATAAGAAAATAGAGACAGAAAATCATGAACATTCTCCATCATCAAAATCTGGGATCTCCACATAAAGAGAAGCACTTGAATGATGTGGCAAAGGTGAGGATTTTTGGTAAGTTCTAACACTGGAAAGAAACAACTTCTTCCAAAAGGGAAAAAACAACGCTCAAGCAACAGCCATCTGAAGAAGCTTTCCACCTTAGAACACCTAGTGGCAAGGTTAGGTGGGAAGTAAAAGTAAATCTGGGGATTCAATTCAGTCTTTACTACAATGTTCAAAAGCTTTGAGAAAAAATACAATCATGTGCCATGTGATGACATTTTTATCAACAACAGACAGCACATAGGGTAATGGTCTCATAAGATTATAATAGAGCTGCCCTCTACAACCGATGTTTCATTTTTTAAATCCCTTAAACTGTTTTACGGCACCTTTTCTATGTTTAGATACACAAACACTTAACGCTATATTATAATTGCCTACAGTATTCAGTACTGTAAAATGCTGTACAGGTTTGTAGCCTAGGAGCAATGGGCCATACCAAACAGCCTAGGTGTGTGCAGATTATACCGTCAGGTTTGTGTAAGTACACTCTATGATGCTGCTGCAACAAAAACTCACGTGATGATCCCCATCTAAGTGATGCATGGCTGTACATCTACTTGGGAAGAAAGGCACACAAAACAAGTCTTAACTTACAACAAAGAGGGATATGAGAATATGTCAAACCCAAGAGGCCAAACTTTTCTTCTCAAGACATCCATTTAGAAAGAAGCTCTGTGTTTTTTTTTTTCAAGACGGCAGTGATTCCTCAAAACTGAAACCAGATGCAAAACTGCTTGCCTTTGCTAATGTAACCTGCTCTTGCAGAAGACATCCATCCTTCCTATCCTACAGGTCAAAAGCGCTTGCTGAGCCTTTTAGAAGGCAAGCCTAACTTTCTCTAGCAAAACCAGTTAAATAGTTCCTTTGCTTTTACTTTAAAGCAAAATCACACATTTCTGGCCACAAGGTGGTGGCTCACATCAGTCATCACAGCACTTTGGGAGGCCGAGCCAGGCAAATCACCTGTAGTCAGAAGTTCGAGAGCAGCCCAACATGGTGAAACCCCGTCTCTACTAAAAATACAAAAATTAGCCGGGTGTGGTGGCACACACTTGTAATTCCAGCTACTCAAGAGGCTGAGGCAGGAGAATTCCTTGAACCCAGGAGGCAGAGGTTGCAGTAAGCCAAGATCGTGCCACTGCAATACAGCCTCTGCGACAGAGTGAGACTCCACCTCAATAACAGACAAAAAATCACACATTTCCAAGCTAGAGGTTATCAATCTCCATTTGTTGAAGTTCCTTAAATGTCTCCCTTTACAGAACCTTGAAGAGCAAGGCTAAAACTGGTCTCAACAGAACCTTTAACCAAAAACTCTAACACATACTGGTTAAGTTAGAAAAATTTTAGGCTGGGCGTGGTGGCTCACGCCTGTAATCTCAGCACTTTGGGAGGCCGAGGAGGGTGGATTGCCTGAGGTCAGGAGTTTGAGACCAGCCTGGCCAACATGGCGAAACGCTATCTCTACTAAAGATACAAAAATTAGCTGGGTGTGGTGGCCCACGCCTGTAGTCCCAGCTACTCAGGAGGCTGAGGCACGAGAATCACTTAAGCCTGGGAGGCAGAGATTGTAGTGAGCTGAGATCGCGCCACTGCACTCTAGCCTGGGCAACAGAGCAAGACTCCATCTCAAAAAAAAAAAAAAGAAAAATAAAAATTTGAGACTTAAATATCTATGTAAATCTAGATTCAAATGCTAAAATAACTCTCCAATACGATCAACTGAAAAAACAGGAAAGCCTTTAACATAATGTCCTACATTTAGTTCTTTAGAAAGATTTCATAAATCCTGTACTAATGTTAACCAAGAGTTCCAATTTATGAAAAGGAAAGCTAATCCTCTCAATGTAAAATCCTCTCAGAATCTAGGTACTAAACAATCACGACTCAAGCAGTCTTTAAGAAGTCAGTTATTTGCACTTTCAATTTTTGTTAAAGTGAGGCCAAGGGCTTCCCTACATGAAACCCATTTCCAACAGACTTCTCACTACAAATACACTGGATTTTCCACATTCTTACCTTTACTGAAATAACACTTCACTCCTAAAAAGATCAGCAAAGGCTACTTTGCCAAGTGCACTGTCTGGGGTTCTGATGTGGGGTTACTGTGTGGTAACCAGTGAGGCAGTCTCAGTGTGTGGCTGTATACTTACTCTCTACATAGTTGACTCTGCTACCAGTGGAAGAAGTTTATATCAGTTATTTCATCCCATCTACAATAGCAAAGACAGAAACTGGCCGGGCGCAGTGGCTCACGCCTGTAATCTCAGGCTTTGGGAAGCCAAGGTGGGTGGATCACCTGAGGTCAGGAGTCTGAGACCAGCCTGGCTAACAGGGTGAAATCCCATCTCTACTAAAAATTAAAAAAATTAGCCAGGTGTGGTGGTGGGCACCTGTAATCCCAGTTACTTGGGAGGCTGAGGTAGGAGAATCACTGGAACCCGGGACATGGAGGTTGCATTGAGCCAAGATCGCGCCATTGTACTCCGACCTGGGCAACAAGAGCGAAACTCCGTCTTAAAAAAAAAAAAAGACAGAACATGAAGAGCCAACTCTAACTTGACAAGTTGAAAGAGAATAGTGTAAGGAAAATTTCTGGTTCCACTTAGATCTGGTCTATTTGTCTCAAATTTATCAAAAACACTAACCTGAGATTTTTTTTCCTGATAACAGAAATCTACTGCCTCATTTCATTTCCCAATTTGATTTTTATTATTTTTATGTTTTTGAGACATTCTCGCTCTGTTACCCTGGCTGGAGTGCAGAGGCACGATCTCGGCTCACTGCAACCTCTGCGTCCCCGGTTCAAGCAATTCTCCCTGCCTCAGCCTCCTGAGTAGCTGGGATTACAGGCCCCTGCCACCAGGCTCAGCTAATTTTTGTATTTTTCTGTATAGACAAGGTTTCACCACATTGTCCAGGCTGGTTTTGAACTCCTGACCCAGGCGATCCACCCGCCTCGGCCTCCCAAAGTGCTGGGATTACAAGTGTGAGCCACCACACCTGGACTCATTTCCTAACTTGAAAGCAAGATTATACTGTACTGCATCCATGTGGGTCTTACAAAATACATGCACAACATTTTTCAAATATTTTGGTAAGCTTCCTTCCTCAAACTATAATTCTGGTGATCAAGCATCAACAAGGAAAATAATATTAACCTTTCACTTTGAGTAATTTGCTTCACCTACCACAAACAATATCCTTTATACTCTTCCAAATTGAAATATCACTCAATGGGCGAACTCCATTGTAAAGAAAATTTAAATGACCAGTAAACTGGAAAATACTAAGCACACAAAATCTTGCTTTAGCCATTTTCAAACTCCCAAATTCTAACACTAGGGTCATCTAATAAAGATACTATGCCTTCGGCCGGTCACAGTAGCTAACACCTGTAATCCCAGCACTTTGGGAGGCCTAGGTGAGAGGATCGCTTGAGTTCAGGAGTTTGAGACCAGCCTGGGCAACCTGGTGAGAACTTGTCTCCACTAAAAATAAAAATAGCCAAGTAAGTTGGCGAGTGCTTGTAGGCCCAACTACTTTGGAGATTGAGGTGGGAAGATCACTTGAGCCCAGAAGATGAAGGCTTTAGTGAACTATAAGCATGCTATTGCACTCCAGCCTGAGCAACAGGGGAAGACCTTTGTCTTAACAACAAACAAACAAAAAAACAAAACAAAACAAAACAAAAAAACAGGGCCGGGTGCGGAGGCTCACATATGTAATCCCAGCACTCTGGGAGGCCGAGGAGACCGAGGTGGGCAGATCACTTGAGGTAAGATGTTGAGACCAACATGGCCAACATTGTGAAACCCCATTTCTACTAAAAATACAAAAATTAGCAGGCACACTGATGGGTGCCTGTAATCCCAGCTACTCGGGAGGCTGAGGCACGAGAATCGCTTGAATCCAGCAGCGAGGTTGCAGCAGTGAGCCAAGATTACGCCACTGCACTCCAGCCTAGGAAAGAGTGAGGCAGTCTCAAAAACAAAACAAAACAAAACAAACAAACAAACAAAAAGAAAGGCCGGGCGCAGTGGCTCATGCCTGCAATCCCAGCACTTTGGGAGGCCGAGGCGGCGGATCACCTGAGGTCGGGAATTCGAGACCAGCCTGACCAACATGGAGAAATCCCGCATCTACTAAAAATACAAAATTAGCCAGGTGTGGTGGCGCATGCCTGTAATCCCAGCTACTCAGGAGGCTGAGGCAGGAGAATCGCTTGAACTCGGGAGGCGGAGGTTGCAGTGAGCCGAGATGGAGCCACTGCACTCCAGCCTGGGCAACAAGAGCGAAAGTCCCTATCAAAAAAATAAATAAATAAAAGATACAATACCATGCCTTCCCAAGGAAATACTTCTTTTCTTCTGAGGTCGGTTTGACCTATACTAGTGACAAAATTTTTCATCATATTATTGCCTAGAATGGAAACTAAAGAGGTTGTCTAATACCCAAAGAAGTAATCTGACCAATGTCACATACCTAGTCACAGGCCAAACTAGTACCCAGTTCCCTCCTAACTACCAGGCCACTCCTTCACCACAGATAATGAAACAAGGTTACAATTAATTGATCAGAGAAAACTCAAGAGCATGCCCTGTAGTATTGTATCAGTACTAAATTTCCTAATTTGGATAACTGTGCTCTGGTTACATAAGAATGTCTTTGTGCTTAGAAAATCCACGTTGAGCCGGGCGCAGTGGCTCATGCCTGGAATCCCAGCACTTTGGGAGGCTGAGGCGGGTAGATCACGAGATCAGGAGTTCAAGACCAGCCTGACCAACATGGTGAAACCCTGCCTCTACTAAAGATACAAAAATTAGCCAGGCATGGTGGCATGCACCTGTAATCCCAGCTACTCAGGAGGCTGAGGCAGGAGAATCGCTTGAACCCAGGAGCCGGAGGTTGCAGTGAGCCAAGATCACGCCACTGCACTCCAGCCTGGGCGACTGAGCGAGACTCCATCTCAAAAAAGAAAGAAAATCCATGTTGAAGTGTTTAGGGATAAAGGGGCTTGATACCTCCAACTCTAAAGGTGGGGGGAGGCACACAGTACATATAAATATTTACCTACAGTCATGAAGCAAATGCAGAAAATGTAACCAGTTATTGAATCATATGGGAGTTCTTTGAAACACTGTAACTTTGTTAGTTTCTAATTATGTAAAAATGCTACGAGTAAATAAACTGCCTTATGTCACAAAACTAGCATTTTACTTTTAACAAGACAGGATTTGGCCAGGCACAGCAGCTCATGCCTATAATCCTAGCACTTTGGAAGGCCAAGGCGGGTGGATCACTTGAGGTCAGGAGTTCAAGACCAGTCTGGTCAACATGGTGAAACCCCATCTCTACTAAAAATACAAAAGTTAGGGTATGGTGGCAGGCGCCTGTAATCCCAGCTATTTGTGAGGGTGAGGCAGGAGAATCGCTTGAACCCGGGAGGCAGAGGTTGCAGTGAGCCAAGATCGCGCCACTACACTCCAGCCTGGGCGACGGAGAGAGACTCCGTCCCCCACCCGAAAAAAAAAAACAAAAAAAAGAAAGACAGGACTTCATGTCAAGGTCATCCTTCCCAAATCAAAATTACGCCAAATTTGGGGACAAACTGCAAAGAAATGCTATAACAACCTTCATTTCCTTTAAATGAGGATATACATCTCCACCCTCAGGTTCTGGGAAGAGGTTCTAATCTGTGCATAAGCACTATACATTTCATGCAAGCCAGCTTCAAATTACTCCTCCAGGACCCCACAATGCTGACCCTACTACCACACCTTTAAATGTTACTTCGTCTTCTAAACTGATTCAAGTGACCAGACCAGGACAGAAATCCATCTACTCAATGAGTAACACTGACTCAAATAACTATTTGTCCAGCTAACAATTCCCTCTTCCTTAAGACCACCACTGCAGACCACTCTGCCACAAACTGCAGGCAGATCCAGAGCCGGTTACATAATACTTTCTCACAGCCCCAGTGGGGAAAAAAACTGGGGGGATACCATTATAGCTCAGTCCAAACTAGCATTACTTCAGATAATCAAATTCACAAATGAAGAGATATGTTCCAAAAGAAGGACACCAGTCTAAAAAAAAAAAAAGGAAAAAGGAACAGCTGGAGAAGGTGGAGAAAAACCCAAGATCTCAAATAATAATAATAATAATAATAATAATAATAATAATATCTGTTACTAGGTGACAAAATCAAGTCTGAAAAAACCAGGGTCCACCGAATTAAACCAAACATCAGCAAGCCTTCTTGGGGAAGGTGGCTAAGGGTAAAACGAATTTAATCTAAACTAGTTTTTGGCTCCAAGGAGCTGCAAGTCCACAGGCGTGCGGTGAGGAGGGCTGACAAGGACCCCCAGGGAAAAAGGCAAAGTGCTGTGCTTAGATTTTGCGAAAAGATGCAGGTATGGTGGGTCTCCAGATGACTTGTGGCAACATAAAAGTTTCATGATCAGAATTGGAATTCAAAGTGGACCAAAAAGTGTAATAGAAAAAAAAAAGTATGAAAGGAAACCTGAAATTGTTCTACGATGCTTGCTTTGTTTTAACGGAAGCTCACATTCAGGTCAGGATGGGACGACCAAGTTCGTTTGTGTGTGGCAAAAAGGAAGTTTTAGATGTTGCTGAAAAGTTCACTTATGAACGTGGGCACCAAGTCTGAATGAGTAAGAGAAAGGCTAGGAGCAGGAAGAAAAAGCAAGGGGGCTCAAAGGGGCACAACAAATAAATCCTGACAGCTAAGAAGTGCAACCCACGCGGTCTGACGGCAGAAAGGCCGCGGGAAGCTGAGGGGCAGGGGATGGGCGGAGTGCCAGGGCGGAATCGAGGTCACAGTGGAGAGAGCACAAGAGAGAGCTGACGCTGCCGAAGGAGGCAGAAAAGCAGCCCCTGCAGTCCTGCGTCGAGGCCGGAGCAGACCAGCACCTTTGACAGCCTGAGGAGCTGAAAACGCTACCTGGTGGGCCCAGGGTGGGCGGACCGGGCGTTTAAAGGTCAAGGTCAAGGTGGGGTTTGGCAAGTGATGCATAGCGCTCAAAGGAGACCGAAGACATACAAATAATATTATAAAATTATGACTATCGTTATCTTTTTTTTTTAAGAAGAAAAAAATAAAAGGTCTCCTGGACGGCTGCGGGGTGGAGGCGGCCCTGGCAGGAACGCGTGCAAAATAGGCTGGGGGCTGAAGTCGGGACGGAGGGCAGGCCGAGGGACCTGTGCTGGGCCACCGGAGGGAGGCACTGAGACTCGGGCCCAGGGCCTCCGCCGCACTCACTTGCCCTCCTGGCAGTCATAGAGCACGATGGAGTCGTCGTCGCTACTCGAGATGACCGTCTCGCCGTTGGGGCTGAAATCGAAGCAGTTAATCTTGTCCGAGTTTTCGCGGAACACCTTAGCGACGCGGAAGCTCCGCAACACGCTGTCGGTCAGCTTCATGGCGGCGGCTGGGGAAGGCAGCGGCGGCGCAGGGCCGGGGCGGGGCCCGGCGGCGAGCGGGCGGGCTGCCGAGGGGCCAACCCAGGCGGGGCGGGCGCCGCGCCGGCGGCTAGCGGGAAGTCGGCCAACAGTTGGGCCGCCTCCTCCTCTTCTTCCTGCTTGGTCGAGGGTCTTCTGCCTGGACTGTGGAGCCTCGCCGACCGTTCGTCCTCACAGCCACCTCACGGACAACCGGCGCGTCGCCGGCTCATTGTGTCCGCCATTTTGGGGCGACAGGCAGAAGCTGAGGGCGAGGAGCCTCAGCCGCGGCGCACGCCGGGAAAGGGGGCGGGGCGGGAACGGCGGAGCAAGGCGGGGAGGCGGGGTGGTGACGTCAGCGCGGCCGCGGCGGAGTGTAGTGGCGGGGCGGGCTGCTGGCAGGGAGCGGCCGAGACGTGCAGGGCCTTCCCGGGGGATCGGAAGGTTGCGGATGCCTTGGGAGCCGGGGGCCCTTGCGCGGGATTGCAACCCCCGCGAAGACTCTGGCGCCTCCTGCAGGCGTCCCGATCGCAGGCTGCGTGGGAGGGGGTACTGCAGGGTCGGGTATGCTGCTGGAGGCCGGTTTTGGGGGTGACTCAGGTGAGCCGCTCGCAGGCAAGCTTGACCGCTAGTCCACCGCAGCGTCCGCTTAGACAGCTTCGACCTCTTTACTTTTTTTTTTTTTTTTGGAGATGGAGTCTCTCGCTCAGGCGCGCGCCACCACGCCCAGCTAATTTTGTATTTTTGGTAGAGACGGGGGTTCACCATGTTGGCCAGGCTGGTCTCGAACTCCTGACCTCACCCGCACCCGGCCTCGTTTTCTTAATCGAGGTAGACTTTAGGTACAGTAAAAATCAGCCTTTTTAGGCCGGGCGCGGTGGCTCACGCCTTTAAACCCACCACTTTGGGAGGCCGAGGCGGGATGATCGCTTGAGCTCAGGAGTTGAGACCAGCCTGGCCAACATGACAAAACCCCACCTCTACTAAAATACAAAAAATTAGCCGGGCATGATGGCGCGGCTGAGGCACGAGAATTGAGAAAGGCGGAGGCTGCAGTGCGCCGAAATCGTGCCACTGCATTCCAGGCTGGGCGACAGAGCAGACGGTTTCCCCCCAAAAATTAGCCTTTTTAGTGGCTAGTTTTATGTTCTGACACCCATACACAGTCATGCAGTCACCACCACATTCAAGATTTGGAAGAGTTGCACTATCCTGTTTGTAGTCAACAGGATTATTTTAAAGGTTCTATCATATAAGTGATTATTTGCCTTAAAAGAAAGTTTATCTCTAACAAAGGAAAGCAGTATTTGAACAGAAAATAGGAACCAAGCTTCCTAACCTTAACTTTCTGGGCAAGGGGTTAAACTCAATGCCAACCTATGTGGCTTCACAGATCTGTATCTTGTGTGAAGCTCCTCAAAAGGTTAATTGCCTGGGGTTTCCAACAATGAAGATGGGGATTATTTATTTTTGCTTTCTTTAGCTAAAGAGAAACAAAAACGAGGAAAGGCTGTGAGACATTTCAGTCGCTATTAGGAAGGTTATTATCCAGAGACCTGTGCAATGGTAAAAAACAAAATGGAAACCCTGGGACAGTTGGGGTCTTTCTAGAAAGAACTAGAGGCTGTATCCCAACCCCCTGGGTAAAAGGAGAGCCAGGATCCTTATACATAAAGAGAAGTTGTTCTCTAAGGGAAGAGGCAAGTTCCTGGCTAAGTCTGGGGTATAATTGCCTCCTGACAAAGAGCAGAGCTTCTGGCTACAATTTGTTCTGGGGTCTGGAAAAAGCCGGTTTGAGTGAAACCTGAATAGATGGCAACTTTCCAAACTGCACACAATGGAAGAAAAACCCTCCACGTCCCAGATCACTTGCTCTGCTTCCCTGTAATTCCTGTGCCTTTATTTCAGAAGCTAGAAAGTCTGATACAGCGTCTGCTTCGAATAGTTTAGAAGGCAACAAGGACAGATCGAGTACCATGTTCTAGAACTGTCGGGAAGTGAACACACCCAGTAAGATGATGCCATATTTTGGTCCATGTTAATCTACAAAAATAACCACAGAAACAGCTGTAATCTACTGAATGTTGCCAGCCAAAATAAATCTTTGCAGGGTATTTTTCAAGTATTGTACTTCCTATACCTTTTCCAGATTTCACCGTTAAGACCAAACCTTCCTCCCAAGACTTGACTTTCTGCATTATTTTTGGAATGCAGTCTTTTTTTTTTTCCCCCATTTTTAAGAGGGTCTTCAAATCCTCATCCTGTTTCGCATTCTTACTGTTTCCAATTCCTAGCCTGGCTCCCTGCCCTATTATAGTGGGGCTCTCCTGGCTTCCAGCCCAACAGTATGGTTGCCTTAAAGGATGGACTTTAGGCCAGGTGCGGTGGCACTTTGGGAGGCCGAGGTGGGTAGATCACAAGGTCGGGAGTTCAAAACCAGCCTGGCCAAAATGGTGAAACCCTGTCTCTATTAAAAATACAAAAATTAGCTGGGCACAGTGGCGGGCACCTGTAATCCCAGCTACTTGGGAGGCTGAGGCAGGAGAATCGCTTGAATCCGGGAGGCAGAGGTTGTAGTGAGCCGAGATCACACCACTGCACTGGGCATTAGAGCAAGACTCCGTCTCAAAAAAAAAAAAAAAATGGACTTTAAAAAGTGACACAGAAAGCCGGCTCCAGTGGATGGGTGGATGGAGAGAAAGCTGCAGTCAAGAGTGAATCAGATGGGCTTTAAAAGAGCATCAGACTTAATTTTTTATGTTTCCTTTTATTTGTAGTCATTCTTTTACTTGTCACATATTCATTGCAAAAAAACTAAAAAATACAAATAATAAAAACAGCATCCAGAGATAGCCACTGTTACAATCTTTTATTATAGTGAAATATATATAACACGAAATTTACCATTTTGATGTAGAACCTTTCCGATTTTTTCATATACATATATATATATATATATATTTTTTTTTTTTTTTTTTTTTTTTTTTTCCTGCTCTGTCACCCAGACTGGAGTGCAGTGGCGTGCTCTCAGCTCACTGTAACCTCCATGTCCTGGGTTCAAGTGATTCTCCTGCCTCAGCCTCCTATAGATGCCCGCCACCACGCCCAGCTAATTTTGTATTTTTAGTACAGACGAGGTTTTATCATGTTGGCCTGGCTGGTCTTGAACTGCTGACCTCAGGTGATCTGCCTGCCTCACCATCCCAAAGTGCTGGGATTACAGGCATGAGCCACCACACCCAGCCAATCCCTGAAATATATTTTTATTGGGTTCATAATATATTGTTTGTAAGTTTACCCATACTATGAACATATTCCAGGTCAATAAATATCGATACAATCATTTTGAATGGCTACAAACTATTCTATTATATGGCTGTAAAGTAATTTTGCTTCCCATTTTGTCCAGAGCCCAGCCAGAGCTCAGTATGGATTAATTGAATAAATGAATTTATCCAAAGGATTCCAGATACTTGATTGGCCCACTTATTAAATTTTTCTATTTCATGCTGCACAATTGGAATGGAAACTGTCCTAAACAATGTGTCCTCTTTCCAAAACACAGAGCTCCTTATGAATTCTAATTCTTTGAGATAAATTTCTGAGCTCCAGTGCCCAGCAGCAGGGCTTCCCTAGAGATTGACTAACGTCTTACTCAACCCTTGGAATAACTAGAATCAGGTGACTCTCTTCTTTGGGACAGTTGCATGTGTGTAAGTGTGACAGTGTGTGTGTGTATCAGTGCTTACACAGCCCTCGGAATAACTAGAATCAGGTGACTCTCTTCTTTGGGACAGTTGAGTGTGTGTGTGTGTGAGCTTAATTGCCAAAGAGGAAACGCAGAACACTAGAACACAAAATGCCTGGTGAGGTGTCTGAGCCCCAGCACCAGGAAGTGGTCGCCTCACAGGTTGGCAAAAAATTTACTGACAACAGTATAGGTTTGAAAAAGGAAAATTTCTTAGAAAGAAAGAACGCTGCAGAAGAGTGCAGCGGGGCACCCCAGCGAGAGGACTGAGGGCCTTGGTGGATTTTCCTTAGGTGCATTTATGGACCTTCAGGCAGGAGCTTAGGGTTGTAAAATTAGTTTCAGCATGACATTCCAGAGATGCCTAGAAATTTTAGTTACTTATAAAAGTTGAAAGAGGCCTGGAACCAGATGCCCACTTTAGATACTAGGGAAGTTTAATTACTTCTAATTTCCCCAGATAAGGAGTTTTGCCTCTGGATGGCCTGTTGGATGGTTACCAGGTGGTCTTTGCTCCCTTCTAAATTCCTCAGATAAGGGCCAGGCACAGTGGCTCATGCCTGTAATCCCAGCACTCTGGGAGGCCAAGGTGGGTGAATCACTTGAGGTCAGGAGTTCAAGACCAGCTTGGGCAGCATGGTGAAACTGCGACTCCACCAAAAAATACAAAAATTAGCCAAGCATGGTGGTGTGCGCCTGTAGTCCCAGCTACTCGGGAGGCTGAGGCAGGAGAATTGCTTGAACCCGGGAGGCGGAGGTTGCAGAGCCGAGATCGCACTCCAGCCTGGGCGATAGAGTGAAACTCTGTCTCAAAAAAAAAAGAAAGAAAAAAAATAAATATTACAAGGATGAAGTAAGCCATTTTTATTTAGACAGAATTTAAGTGTGTGCATGGAAAATCTTGTGGGATATACATGAATATGACCAGAAATAATAAATAAATTTAGTTACTAATGTATGTCCACTTCTACTGGAATTCCTCAGAGAGGTCTTGAGACTCCAGGACCGGGGGCCTGGATAAAAAGAAAGTATCTTTCCCTGGCAGCAGGACTAACTACCCAATTTGTAGGGCCCCTTGTTAAAAAATTGCTAAGAATCTCAAGATGACAACAACAGAATATTAAATGAAGTGCAGGGTCCTTCTGACTATACAAGTCACACACCCATGAAGCTGGCTCAACCCAGGACTAGTACAGCAACAACACTGAGCCTTTCTACATGCACTGGAAACATACTGTGATGAAGACTCTGAAGTTCTGAGAGGTTAACTTTCTCAGGGTCACTTAACCAATAAGCACTGAAGTCTGGATTCACACTCTGCTTCAGCACTGGAAAGCTTGTGTTCTGTTTCCAGGGCAAAGGACAAGAAATCATTCACATTTAACAAAGACCACTGTCGGTAAATAATACCTTCTTAGTCTGGAAGGAAAGGATGGAATCTTCCCAGATAAGCCTTGACTGCTCAGAGCCAGAAGGAACTGCCTAGAGTCTCAGGGCCAAGGCCACTGTCTCTAAAACTACAGCACTGTTTCCTAAGGCTTAAAAACTCCCAAACAATCCAACATACACAGCTTTAGTGGCCTCTCATCAGTGCTTGCCTAGAGTCATGCTGAACTGCTTCCTAGTGTTTTGTTTTACTCTCCCCAACTCCTCCTTCCAAGAAAAATAGCTTTAAGATGTTTTATTTTTTTTAATTTTTTTTTTTTTTTTTTTGAGACAGAGTCTCACTCTGTCACCCAGGCTGGAGTGCAGTGGTGTGATCTCAGCTCACTGCAACCTCTACCTCCTGGGTTCAAGCAATTCTCCCACCTCAGCCTTCCGAGTAGCTGGAATTATAGGTGCGTGACACCACATCCGGCTAATTTGTTGTTGTTGTTGTTGTTGTTGTTGTTGTTGTATTTTTAGTAGAAACGGGGTTTTGCCATGTTGGCCAGGCTGGTCTCAAACTCCTGACCTCAAGTGATCCGCTCACCTCGGCCTCCCAGTTTTAAGGTGTTGTACAGCCCTTACATAGGACACAGCTCCACTTTACCCTGCCTCCAACACAGCTGACCTTCCCTCCCACGGAGTAACCCTGCAAGCCCAGGCTGGGCACAGTGGCTTACACCTATAGTCCCAGCACTTTCAGAGGCTGGGGCAGGAGAACTGCTTGAGCCCAGGAGTTTGAGACCAGCTTGGGCAACAAAGCAAGACCCTGTCTCCACAAAAAATTAGCCAGGCATGGTGGTGTGCACCTGTAGTCCCAGCTACTTGAGAGGCTGAGGCAGGAGGATCGCTACAACCCAGGAGGTTGAGGCTATAGTGAGCTGTAATCACCACTGTCCTCCAGCCTGGGCGACAGTGTGAGACTTTGTCTCCTAAAAACAAAAAAAAATTAAAATTAAAAGTACCACTTCTTACCTATCCCAGCAGCTACAGCATTCGGCCCACACAGAAGGCACTCAGGAAATGTCTTGAATTATGTCTGAGGAAGGAATAAATGCATGGAAGGAATATAGCTGACTATAACCAAGAAAAAACAATAAAATTTTCAGTATTTACAACCTCTCCCACATTAAAGAGGGCAATTCCACCTACGGATGCCTTTGTTTTGATGATGTGGTGGGAAATCATTTAGGAGAAGGAATACAAAGTCTCATATTTTAAAAGGAAAAATCCAGGGAGAAGGACGGGTGTGGTGGCTCACACCTGTAATCCCAGCACTTTGGGAGACAGAGGCAGGAAGATGGTTTGAGCGCAGAAGTTTGAGACCAGCCTGGCCAACATGGCAAAACCACTTCTCTACAAAAAATACAAAAAATTAGCTGGGTGTGGTGGTGCACGTCTGTGGTCCCAGCTACTTGGGAGACTGAAGTGGGAGGATCACTTGAGCCTCGGAGGTGGAGGTTGCAATAATCCAAGATGATGGCACTGAACTCCAACCTGGGTGACAGAGTGAGATCCTGTCTCAAATAAAAATATATGTATATATAAGAAAAAGAAAAATCCAGGGAGAGAGCTGGAAGTGGGGGCCAGAGGAAGGGAAAGGTTCATGACAAGAGCACAGCATGGTTTGGAGACCTAAGGAGAGATGTAGCAACTGCCAAAGGGAGCAGGTAGGGGGTGTGAAAAGAAAATAAAATTTTAGGACATTCCCAATTTATAATGTGAAGGAGAAAAGTGAAGCCCTGGAAACTGAGCAGGCATTGCTTTTTTTTTTTCTTCTCTGATGCATGACTGCTGCTTCCTGATCTTTGTATTGAAATGTTATACATTAACCAGGCTCCCTATTCTTCATTCAGACTTAGACTAGATGATGTGGGAGATAGAGACCCTTGTGATTGTTGTCTCTTTACAATAGAATGTTAAGCAAACTCCTTCCAGTATAATCAATAGTAGCCAACCAAATCTTGTATTTATGTTAGCCTTTTTTTGGAAAATGTTGTAATTCTGGTCAGCACTCCTGTTTTTGCCTATATAAACAATCTTTTTTTTTTTTTTTTTTGAGACGGAGTCTCGCTTTGTCACCCAGGCTGGAGGGCAGTCACGCAATCTCGGTTCACTGCAACCTCCCAGGTTCAAGCAATCCTCCTGCCTCAGCCCCACCAGTAGCTGGGATTACAGGCACACACCACCATGCCTAGCTAATTTTTGTATTTTTAGTAGAGACGGGGTTTCGCCATGTTGGCCAGGCTGGTCTTGAACTCCTGACCTCAGGTGATCCACCTGCCTCAGCCTCCCAAAGTGCTAGGATTACAGGTGTGAGCCACTGTGCCCGGCCCATGCCCAGCTAATTTTTGTATTTTTTAGTAGAGATGGGGTTTCACCATATTGGTTAGGCCAGTCTCGAACTCCTGACCTCAAATGATCCCACCTGCCTCAGCCTCCCAAAGTACTGGGATTGCAGGCATGAGCCACTGCACCTGTCCCAAAAACACATTTCTAATGTCAACCTAAAAATCATCAAAAGGTTCGATATCCAGTTAAAAGAATTTATTCAAGCATAAAGTGTGAGGGCAGCCATCCAGGGAAACACAGACACCAAGCAGTGGCAATTAGTGTTCTCCAGCATGGGGAAAGATGAAGGTTGTTTATATAGGCCGGGCGCCTGTAATTGTTTATACGCCTGTAATCCCTGCACTTTGGGAGGCCAAGGGCGGTGGATCACAAGGTCAGGAGTTCGAGACCAGCCTGGCCAACATGGTGAAACTCTGTCTCTACTAAAAATACAAAAATTAGCTGGACGTGGTGGCGGGCGCCTGTAGTCCCAGCTATTCGGGAGGCTGAGGCAGGAGAATTGCTTGAACCTGGGAGGCGGAGGTTGCAGTGAGCCGACATCGTGCCCAGGCTGCAGTGCAGTGGCCGTGAGCTGAGACTGTGCCATTGCAGTCCAGCCTGGGTGACAGAGCAAGACTCCACCTCAAAACCAAGAGAAAGAAATGTGTTTTTGTTTGTTGGTTTTTTTTTGAGACAGGGGCCCAGGTTGGAGTGCAGTGGCGTGATCAAGGTTCACTGCAGCCTCTACCTCCCAGGCTCAGGTGATCCTCCCATCTCAGCCTCCTGAGTAGCTGGGACTACAGGAGCATGCCACCACACCTGGCTCTTTTTTTTTTGGTAGAGATAAGTTTCGCCATGTTCCCAGGCTGGTCTCGCATTCCTAGGCTCAAGCGATCCGCCCACCTTGGCCTCCCCAATGTTGGGATTACAGGCGTGAAACACTGCGCCCTGCCAAGAAACATGTTTCAATAAAATTGTTAGGAAATCAAGTGTGTGATTTGTGATGCAACTCTCTCCTCTATCTCCCTAAGAAAACATCAGTAAAAACAGTGAACTGTTTTGTATTTTTGGAGTCTGATCAGGACTCATCTTATGAATGTGGGAAGGCATCCAGCCAACACAGGGTAGGCCCCGGATGAGAGTAGGGACAGCGAGGTAGGCCCAGAGTCATTAGCGTTTACATGCCGCTTATGTGCTTGAGGATCGCAGAATGGAACTCTTGCTAAGCCAGAGCTGTATTTGGTGGCCCATGGTGGGAGAGGGAAGAACAATAATAAGTTGTGGAATAAAAGCCATGGAGAGGAGCGGGAATTACTTAATCTGGCTCCAGAAGGGGTGAGTTGTGGGGAAGTAGTGATTCTCAGTTCGTTTGCTCAGCCCAGTCAGTGCCTGACACTCAGGGTGCATCTGCTGACTGACCGTACAGGATAAAGGAAGGGAGAGGCCGGGTGCGGCGGCTGAAGTCTGTAATCCCATCACTTTCGGAGGCTGAGGTGGGTGGATCGCTTGAGGTTAGGCGTTCGAGACCAGCCTGGGCAACATGGCGAAAGCCCGTCTCTACTAAAAAATACAAAAATTAGCCCGGAGTGGTGGCACATGCCTGTAATCCCAGCTACTCGGGAGGCTGAGGCATGAGAATCGCTTGAATCCGGGAGGCGGAGGTTGCATTGGGCCGAAACCGCGACTCTGCACTCCAGTCTGGGCGACAGAATGAGACCCCGTCTCAAAAAAAAAATCGGCAATCGGTGAGGCGGGGATTATTACCCTCAATGTAGAGATTTAAAAAATGAGGACTGAAGGTGACTCCTTCCAGGTCTGTCAGTGGCCAGCAAAGAGCCAATATGCTAAACTCTCCCCTCCCGGACACCGGCTTCAGCCAGAGCTCGCACCCGCCTGCGCCGCTCCACCCACCCACACTTCCGGCTTCCGCTCCGCCCACCCCCTAGTACTTCCGTTCTCCAGCGCTGGGCACCGCGGCCGGAGCTGTGGGCTGGTAAGTCTGCGCCGCCAGGGCTCGCATGGCCTTCAGAAGCGGTCCCTGGGCTGGGCGATGACGGGTCCTGGTGGCAGCAGGCCCTTCTTTCTCGCATCACCGGGCATTACGCGGCAGCCATTTCCCTCGCTAAGGCCCTACCTTAGGATGACGTCACTTCCGGCCCCCTACTGTCTAGGGAAAGCCGGAAATGGTACCAGCCTTCTTTGATGGCGGGGAGGAGTCAAGACCGGTAGTCTTCCTATTTCCGTTGTTTTGCTCTGGAGCCTCCCGGAGTTTCGGAGAGACCGTGTCTTGGATAGAATTGGAGGACTTAGCAAATAAAAATGCAAAGCGTCCAGTTACATTTTTTTTGAGTTAGAATCTCACTCTGTCACCCAGGCTGGAGTGCAGTGGCGCGATCTCGGCTCACTGCAACCTCCGCCTCCCCTGTTCAAATGATTCTCATGCCTCAGTCTCCCGAGTAGCTGGGATTACGGGCGCCCACCACACCCGGCTAATTTTTGTATTTTTAGAAGAGACGGGGTTTCACCACGTTGGTCAGGCTGGTCTCGAACTCCTGACCTCAGGTGATGCGCCCGCCTCAGCCTTCCAAAGTGCTGGGATTACAGGCGTGAGCCACTGCGCCGGGCCACGTCCAGTTAAATTTGAGTTAAGATAAACGACGAATAATTGTTAAGTCCTAAACATTGTATGCACATACTTATACTTTAAAAATTACTTGTTTATTTGAAATTCAAATTTAACCGGAAGTCCTGTATTTTCTCTGGCAGCCTTAGCATTGAGCGTCCCCCTGTCCTGTGCTCATACCCAGTGGCAAGGCTGGGATCTTCTAGGCTCTTGTCCATCTGGGAAATAGATACAAATTTCATCCAGGCTATAAAGACCGGCTGTCTTAGTTGCTAAGATGCTTTTAGCTCCAAGTCCAATGGGCAAGCTCCAGGGGTCCCCCTGGCCAAAACTGGACCCATTTTCGGAATCCCCATGACGATGCCCTCTGTGTTCCCTTTCACAACAGAAGTCAGGCATGGCTGTCTTTTCTTACCGGAGAGCTGAGAACTAGGCAAGCAAAATGGTCAAAGTCTAGAAGTAACCACCATATTTGGGTGTGGGGTAAACCGGTGTTTGAGATCTGTGTTGCAGTGGACAGTATCAGAGAGCCTGAGGTTGTTAAGGGAAGAGCGTAGTGTTAATCTCACCCCATGTCTCATTTTGCGGATGAGGCCCAGTGAGAGAAATGGAGGTGTCCCAGCCACTCAGAAAGCCTATAGTAGAGCTGGAACCTCAATTCCCAGCCTCCTTACCCTGCTCAGTCCATACTTGCTGATGAAGTCAGCTTGCAACATTTATGGTAGGCATTTATTAAAGTAGATGCAATAGTACATATGTAGTACAGATGAGCTGTTTGGGTCTTTGTTGTTCCTATACCCCTCTACAGCTTCCTGACCTTCGCCCCAAGGCTTCTTTAGCTTTTACTCTGCCCAGTGGGGAAAATGGCTATGGGCTCAGTTATGGGAGCCTGGCCTTTGCCTACTTCAGCCCTTGGGCTCTCACCACTGTGGGTGGTGTGACCTAGGACTTGTTTTTGTTATCTTGGAACCAGAAGGCGTGTTCTTGGCAGGGTTGGGTCTGGCCAACTGTGTGGGTAGAAGGGCATCCTTTTCTGTCCTGCAATTGGGCTTCATGGCACATGGCCTCACATGGTGCCTGGGGACTTTTCTAAGGTTCCACCATGAGCCAGACTTTGCCCTCACTCCTGATTTGAACCTAAACCTCTTGCTGAACTGGTCCTGCATACTGAGATTCCTCAGATTGCTTGCCCTGAGGATGTGTTCTGGGTTTGACCTGATAAACCTGCAGCCTCCTATAGACCCTGACTTCCCAGGCTCCTAATCCCAGTCTCATGAGATAATGAAATAGAGAAGACTGGAGGTCAATGGGCTCAGGGTCAGTTGGTGGGACAATCAACAGCTTCCTGGCAGCAGAGGTGGTAAAGAGGCAAGGAAGGAGTGCCAGAAAGGGGCGTTGCCCCAGGGTAACAGCGCAGAAGTGCAGGGGGTGGAAAAGGGGTGGGATGGGAGCCCACTGGTAGAAATTACTCCCTCTGTCAATGATTAACTCCCAGCCAAAGGGGTGACCTGGGAGGAGGGCCCAGCTAATAGGAACTTTGGACTTGAGGCAGAGTATCCAGAGGGCCGGCATGTGGTCTGCAGAAGAGGAGGACGTGGCTGGGTGGCAGGGCTGGTCTCCAAGGACGAGTAAGATCCTGCAGCTGCAGGCTTCAGGAAGTCTCCTGGGGCTATCAGATGGCTCCTTCTTGTAGCAGCAGCTGTGGGGTCCACTGGCCCTGAGCCCTCAGAGGGGCGGCCGTGGGGGACCTCCTGTCTTTTGCCTTGCAAGGGCCTCAGTTGTGCTTTTTCCCTCTAGGCAGCCATGGGTGCCAGGCAGTGCTGAGAGCAGTGGGGCATGGCTGCAGCCCTGCAGGTCCTGCCCCGCTTGGCCCGAGCCCCCTTGCATCCACTCCTCTGGCGGGGCTCAGTGGCCCGTCTGGCCAGCAGCATGGCCTTGGCAGAGCAGGCCAGGCAGCTGTTTGAGAGTGCTGTAGGTGCAGTGCTGCCGGGCCCCATGCTGCACCGGGCACTATCCTTGGACCCTGGTGGCAGACAGCTGAAGGTGCGGGACCGGAACTTTCAGCTGAGGCAAAACCTCTACCTGGTGGGCTTTGGCAAGGCTGTGCTGGGTATGGCAGCTGCAGCTGAGGAACTACTGGGCCAGCATCTTGTGCAGGGCGTGATCAGCGTTCCCAAGGGGATCCGTGCTGCCATGGAGCGTGCCGGCAAGCAGTAAGGAGCCATGGGGGCCTGCCTCCCTCTATCTATCTGGAGGGAAACCTGGGCCCAGACACAGGCTGAATCGGGCCTCCCCTCCCCACCCGCTTCCCATTTCTCCTGGATCTGGCCTGGCCCCAGGATGCATGTCAGTGGGCATCTTCGTTCATGCCCCCATCACCTGTAAAGTTGAGAGATCAGGTGGGAGGAGAGGAGTCCACCCCATCTCTTGCGTGCTGACCTTTCCCTCCCCAGGGAGATGCTGCTGAAGCCACATAGCCGTGTCCAGGTATTCGAGGGTGCGGAGGACAACCTCCCGGACCGCGATGCGCTGCGGGCTGCACTGGCCATCCAGCAACTGGCTGAGGGACTCACAGCTGATGACCTGCTGCTCGTGCTGATCTCAGGTGTGGTACCACATTGGCCCAAGACTGTTGGTGGGGGGTGCACCACCTGATCTCTCAGGTCTTCGAGAGATCAGGTCTGAGCCCCCGGGGTCACAGGGTAAAGTTAGGAGCAAGGGAGGTGGTGAGGAGCCTGGATGGTGACTCCTGGGTTGCCTTGGGCTAGTCGTCTGGCCTCCCCTGAGCTGTGGAGTCCTCCCCCTGAGCTGACCTTTTCGGTGACAGTGAGAGGGTGCATGGGGAGCACATAATGCAGGGCCTGACACATCCGTAGAGTCCTTGGAAAATGTCACTGCTATTGCTGCTGTCTGTACTAATGTCACCTGGGGCTAGGCCCTCAGACCTCATGGAGTCCTCTCCTTGATCTTCCATTGTGTGCCCCCTGCCCTGCCTCCTGTTCTAGTCTCTTAAGGAGTAGTTAGTTCTTCCGGTGCCTACTGGGACCTGGGGTACCCCAAGGCAGGGGCAACCTCAGGTGGCCAGGATGTGGTGACTGTACACATATTGCATATCCACAGGGGGGCACCCTAACCCCACCTTTCCAGCCCCCTTTTTCTAATGTGGGCTTGTCACCCCTGCTTGCCTGGTTCCCTGGGTTGGGATAGCCCCTCTACCTGATACCCTCATTGTCTTGAGAGGTGGGGGTTCAGCTCTGCTGCCTGCCCCCATCCCACCTGTCACACTGGAGGAGAAGCAGACACTCACTAGACTGCTGGCAGCCCGTGGAGCCACCATCCAGGAGTTGAACACCATTCGGAAGGCCCTGTCCCAGCTCAAGGGTGGGGGGCTGGCTCAGGCCGCCTACCCTGCCCAGGTATGAGTCCCTTCTTCCCCAGGCAACCTTGGGTTGGTGGAGCCAGGCCCACATGTGCCAGGGATGTGAAAGCTAGAACAGCATATAGATTGGCAGGGGCATGGTGTGAAAGACCATGGGGCCGGCTGGGTGACATCATGGGAGGGGTGCCAGAGACGGGGAGGAGGTGCCTGCATGACCAGGTGTTTTGCAAGCCCACGTGAGAGGAGTTAACCATGGGTAAGGAAATGCACTGAGTTGGGGGAGGGTGTGTGGATACCCTAGGGGCAGTTTGTCCTTATGGGCTCTGAGGGGAGGAGGAAGTGGGCCTGAGCCTTGTCTGGTGGCCCTTCCCCAGGTGGTGAGCCTCATCCTGTCAGATGTGGTGGGGGACCCTGTGGAGGTGATTGCCAGTGGCCCCACCGTGGCCAGTTCCCACAATGTGCAAGATTGCCTGCATATCCTCAATCGCTACGGCCTCCGTGCAGCCCTGCCACGTTCTGTGAAGACTGTGCTGTCTCGGGCCGACTCTGACCCCCATGGGCCACACACCTGTGGCCATGTCCTGAATGTGATCATTGGCTCTAATGTGCTGGCGCTAGCTGAGGCCCAGCGGCAGGCCGAGGCACTGGGCTACCAGGCTGTGGTGCTGAGTGCAGCCATGCAAGGTGATGTAAAAAGTATGGCCCAGTTCTACGGGCTGCTGGCCCATGTGGCTAGAACCCGCCTCACCCCATCCATGGCTGGGGCTTCTGTGGAGGAAGATGCACAGCTCCATGAGCTGGCAGCTGAGCTTCAGATCCCAGACCTGCAGCTGGAGGAGGCTCTGGAGACCATGGCATGGGGAAGGGGCCCAGTCTGCCTGCTGGCTGGTGGCGAGCCCACAGTACAGCTGCAGGGCTCGGGCAGGGGTGGCCGGAACCAGGAACTGGCCCTGCGTGTTGGAGCAGAGTTGAGAAGGTGGCCGCTGGGGCCGATAGATGTGCTGTTTTTGAGCGGTGGCACCGATGGGCAGGATGGGCCCACAGAGGCTGCTGGGGCCTGGGTCACACCTGAGCTTGCCAGCCAGGCTGCAGCTGAGGGCCTGGACATAGCCACCTTCCTAGCCCACAATGACTCACATACCTTCTTCTGCTGCCTCCAGGGTGGGGCACACCTGCTGCACACAGGGATGACAGGTACCAATGTCATGGACACCCACCTCTTGTTCCTGCGGCCTCGGTGATGGCATAGGTCACATTTTGGGAGTTCAGAGGAGGCCTACAAGGGCAAGGTCAGATGGCAGAGCAAGGTTGGTCCTCAGGGCCTCTCTAAGCCTTAGGGCCCCTCCTCTCCTTGGCCTTGGCTGTTTGGTTAACTGTCACCTTCCACTCAGGGCCTCTGCTCTATATCTATTCCCTTCCAGCCAGACTGGCAGATGGGGGCTTCCCCCTACCCCTGAGGATGAGGACAAGCCCCTCGGCCAGTTCAGCGTTCCCGTGCTTCTCCCTTGGGCAGCCTCTCTCTTGAGCCCCTCACCCTGTTTCTTTCTGTGAAGCGAGAATGTCTGAAAATAAATAGGACCATGCCATGGGTTCTCAGTGCGCCTTCCCTCAGAGTGAGGCCTCACGGGGGAGCCGCTGGGAGGGGAGCGTGGTACGGCTGCAGCCACAGTACCAGGGCCTGGCAGGACTCTTAACACCCCTCTACTGGGCTGGGTACGTGCAGGATGTGCCTCGCATAACGGGAGCCTGTGCCCATCCCTCTGGAGTGTGTGAGGGTTGAGCTTGGCTCCTGACAGCTTTGATGTGCGTGAGCAGAGACCCCAGGGAGGACAGGCCTAAAGACTGCAGTCTGGGGTGACCAGCCACCCACCCACCCAACCATGACTCCACCATGGCACTGTCACCATGGCTTCTCCAGCCTCAGCTTGTAGGCCTCGTTGGATGGATGTCCTTTCTGTCTTTGGACAGCCCTTAGCCACATACTGCACTTCTGGTTGAGCTGAAGTTTGTCCCACCCCCCAGTGCTGTTTCCTTGTGACAGCCCTTGTCCTAGGCTGAACATCCCTAGTTCCTTCAGCCACTCCTCTGGGGACCAAGTCCAGACCCTGAAGTCAGCCCTTCAGTGGGGGTCCCAGCACTGGGATGGTGGGTCCAGCCAGTGATGAGGTCCAGTGACCCACACCTCTTCCTGTGACCACTGGCGGGAGAAGAGGCAAGTGGGAATAGAGGAACGGCTGTGTTGGCCTGGCCAGCAGCCTGGGTTGAGAGAGGGAGGTGCCACTGTCCTGCCTCCTTTTGAGCCCCCTTGCTCAGTGTCAGAACCCTCCGCTGGCTGTCCCCGCCGTGCGCCACGGCTCCAATCCCTATATGAGTGAGCAGTAGAATCACATAGGAATAAAAAGCCATAGAGAACAGCGAGGCCTGGGGCTGCTCTTGCAGGCACTTCTTCCACCCCAACCCTCCCCTCCTCCCTGAGGGTGTGGAGGGGCCCTGGGCCAGGGCTGGCAGGACTTTCCCCTGGGAAGGGTTTCCCTTCCCCACCTGGGCTCTGGGCAGCCTAGCTTGCAGACAGTTCATGACCTGGGGGCCTGGCTCACACAGGGCAGGCTGGAGATTGGGAGGGAGGTAAACGTGGTAAGCGGGCTCTGGGGACCAGGGAGGTTTAGGAAAAGGGGAGCTTGCACCCCACTGGGATGCGCAGGCACCGCTTCCTTTCCTTCTGTGCTGGCATGGAGTTCCTGCTGACTAGGGTCACAGTCTCTGGGGTTATGGTGATCCTCGCATGATCCTGTGCCGTGGTGCTCCTCTGGCAGCGTCTACATGTAGCCTGTTCCTGCCTCAGTCCTTGCTCTTGGGAGCATGAGTATTGGCACTGGGTTCCAAGTTCCAGGCAAAAGCAGGATAGGAGAGCTGGGGCAGGGGCTGCAGGAGCTGAGGGCCTGGCAGCCATGTCCCCAGTGTGTGTGTGGGTGGTAGGTGTGTGAGTATACAGACGTTGGTGTTGGCGTACTCAGAGTGGGAATGCATCTCTGAGTGTACACATAGATACTTAGTACAGGGCACATGACTCCCTGCATCCCTGCTGAGGGCTTTGGGTATGGATAGGATCTTGCAGGAGGTTCCCCCTGCTCTACATTGACCCCTTCCCTATACTTCTGTTTGTAGGGGCTGGGAGGCCAGGGCCCGGATTGGACCCCATAGGGCCAAATGGTCTGTGAGCCTAACCCGTTAGATTTGCTCACTGGATACCCCAGAGATAAGAAAGGATGTATTTGGCCACAGTCTAAATGCTGAGATGAGAAAACCCTGCACAGTGAATGTTTTGATAGGATTCATTACTTGCTCCATAAATGTCAATTTTGGATCATTGAAGTGCCCGTCCCTTGCTCTTGGCTTCTGTTTCTTCCGGCTGCTGCTGCCCTCGTGCCCACCTCATCGTCATTTTCTGAAGCTTCCCCTGGCCCAGCTGGAGGATTTCACCATGGAGGGTGTCTGGCCCTGCTGGCTATAGCAACCCTCACAGGCCTCTCCATTCTCTGCACTTGGCATGAGCCAAGAGCAGTGGGGCAGTGGGCCTGGGCAGCCCTTCAGTGTCAGCTAGTCCCAAGCGTTTGATTTATAGTTGGAGATTCAGAGAGAGAAGGTGGCTTACTGGGGACTGTACAGTCCCACATAAGGGCCACAGAACCAGGGTAAGAACCTAGTTGGAACCTGCTTGACTATCCTCTGCCACTCTCTGGGGCTCAGATACCCTGGGGCCAAGCAAGGGCTCAGCCAGATCCAGGGGATCTACTTCTGCTTCCCCACTGCCCCTCAAGGGCTTGGGATGGCGACACAACCATGCTTGGCCTCTCCAGGGATCCACACAGCAGATGTGTTGGAACCTTCTTGTCTCAGAGGGACAGCTCCATTGTGTGTGTGATTTGGCAGAAAACCATGCGCAGTTGAGTGGTGGGCTTCTACATAAATGTGTGTCTGCATCTGTATGCACATCTGTGTGTGTGTGCATGTGTGCGTGTGCATGAATATATGTATAAGCATGTGTATGTGTAGTGCAGCCCACAGCCAGTCTCTGAGCTCTGCTGTGCCCCATCCCAGGGTGGAGACACACAGGTGTAGTTAGAGTGTAGGGGATACAATGAGCAAGTTGGGCAAGAAGGCCCAGAAGACTGGCAGAGGCTAGTGTGCCTGGCCGAGGGAGTTGACTTCACATTGACATCAGTGGCAAACCTCATGAAGATTTTGGCAGGGAATAATGTCATGAAGCTGTTTTGGGACTTTAATGCTGAGAGCCAGCTTCCTTACAGCAGAGGGCGGGGGTTGGGGGCATGCAAGGAGATGGAAGGGGTTGCAGATAGGAGAGGTGCATTACCAGGCTCTGAGACCCTCTCCCACCTCCCCTATGCAGCCTCAGCTCCAAAGCCTTTAGCCAGCCCAGGGAACCCTTTAGATGCCTGCTTTGGAACCAAGGCCGAAAGCCCTGGCTCAAACACTGTTGGGAGTAACTGAGCCCATCTGTCTCTGGGAATGCCTCAGGGTGTTGAGGATTTGTGGGGGCAGAGGCTGGGCAGCTAGTGGACAGTTTGGTGGGCATAGGGACCCCACTCATGTAGGATCTCACGAGGGTGGCATTTAAGTGGCTTGGAAGGAGCACTGGAGTAGGAGTCAGGTGGTAAGTCCGAGTCCTGGCCTTCCCACCTTCCTTTCTCCAGGCCTGTTTTCTCATCTGTTTAATGGGGAAAACATCCTTGCCCTATCATCTCTTTAGGAAGGTATCAGCGGCAGGTGGATCTGTGCGGGAAAGCTCTGTGGAAGTGGGGAGCTCAGGGAGGGAGAGAAAGAAGGTAGAGGTGTTGGCCTCTTCCAAGGGGAATCTCAGGGAGCTCTTGGCTCAGGGAGGCCCTCTTCTCCCATGGTAGGACCAGAGTTAGAGCCAGCGGGACCTTGGCGCTCACTGACTGAGGCTGAGTGAGCAACCTGCTGGCCTCTGGCACTAGGCAGGCACCAGCAGGGAATGGTATCTGAGTCTTTAATGGCCAGTAGGGTGTACAGTGCCCTGGGAGATCACGGAGCTGATGGATGATCGCCTGGAGTCAGAGTGAGCTGAGCCGCCTGGAAGAGAGCCCCCTAATGTCTCTGGAAAATGGGTAGGGCAACCTGCCTCCCTCTGGGTCTGGGTCATGTGCGAGGGGCATGATGAGGCCCAGACTGAGGTGAGGGAGGACTGGCTTAACCCCAGGCCAGAATCCGTAGCTAGGTAAGAGGATTTGGGATATGCTAGGGGAAGGGAGGGGGTATGCAGGGGTGGGGGACACACACACCCTGGATGATAGGGAAGCCAATGACCTAGGCAGGCTGCCACATCAGCTATAGGACCATGGGGCTGTCGTGAGCTGTGCCCAGCCCAGGAGAGATGGGCTTTCTCCCCAAGGCTGTGGGCCAGACATCTCCCCAGTAACCGCTAGGGCCAGTTCTGAGGCTTTGCTCTCCACTTCCCCTGACTCAGCTGGTTTGTAGTGGCTGGAGGAGGGTGGGCTGGGGGTGGACACTCAGCCTGGCACCAGCTCGTGCCCACAGCTCTGATTCCACCTCTCTAGACATGCTGCTTCCATCCGGGGGTTTCTAGGGGGCAGGGGTGGGAGCAGGTGCAGCTGTCGCCTTGCTCAGATGAGGAAGTTCTAGCCAAGGGAAGAGGGCAAAACAGTTGGCCCCTGGAACAAGTGCCCCATCTGCCCAGTCCTATGAGGCCACTGCCCTTAGCAGCTCCGCCTCATGGGACCACTACTCACCAGGATTTGGCCCACCACTGCCTCCTTGGGGAGCCAGGGAGCTGTAGGACTTGGCTGTGCCCCAACCAGAGAGCCAGAGGCTAGACCCCCAAAATGCATCCCATTGAGAAGGTCTTCCCTGGTGTCCCTTCACGTCTGGGCTGGCCTTTTCTTTTCCTCCACTAGCAGCCAGCAGAGCCGCCCTGCCCACCTCCCTGGAAAGGTGTGAGCCATACATTTCTCCAGCCCTGCCTCTCCATCCCCGCTACCAGCCGAGAAGGGGGTGGGGCCCTTGGCACTTGGCTTCTGCCCCTTCAGATCATTCCCACCCACCTGCACAGCTTTAGAGTCTCAAGATCTCCTTGTGGCCCTTGGTTGTCTCCAAAAATCACACTTGTAGCCTCATTGGAGCCAGGCCTCTGTCTCCACCTGCTTTCCCCACCCCTATCCACAGAGCCCCCGTTCCTCCCTGTCCAGCCCAGTTCCAGGAAGCTGACTGCAGGAATATCTAGGCTCTGGGTTGAAACCCTGCTGTTTGCAACTCTGGGCAAAGCTCTTCTAGGGATGCTGTCTGGAGGGAGCTGGTCAAAGACCCCTAGGGGAGGGAGAAGTGCCTGTCTTTACCATGTGGGTCTATGGGTCTGGGGATCAGTAGCTTGGAGTAAAACCTGTGAGCCTATGGCAGGGGGAAGATCTCTCCCTCCACTCAGACTCTCCACCTGGGCAGTGGGAGTAGCCCCAGCACATTCCAGCCAGCCGCCAACCCCCCTGCTAGCACAGGCACTTGTGAGGGTCACAGTCCCCTGGACGGTGCCGCTGCTGGCACCCAGCAACCCCATAGCAGCAGCCCAGTCAGAGTCAGGGTCAGAGCCCTGGACTCCAGGACTGGGCATACACTGTTCCAGGCAGCCCAGCCCCCGCCCACCCTCTCAGGTCCCCCTGAGGGTCTCTCTCAGCCCAGGGCCACCCACAGAAGCCAGGCACCCAGGCAGGAACGGAGCCTGCCAGCTCCCGGCCAGCCTTGTCCCTCTCGGCTAACTGGCCACCCCTCTGCCTCCCACTCCTGCTGACCCCCGGGGGACCTGAAGCTGGCAGTCCACTGCTGCTCCCCACTGCCTGGGGCAGAGAAGCATTCTCCCCATCTGCCTGCCCCCCAGGGCTCCGGCCACCCCATGCCTGTGTCCCCAGATCCCCAAGGCTCACCTCAGTGGCGCTGTCTCCTCACCAGAGGCACTGCAGTGTGGGAACTGTCCCGAGGAGCTGGTTCTCAGCTGAAACAAAGAGGTGGGGGAGAAAGGGGGGGCAGCGGGAGAGGGAGAGGGTGAGTGAGCGGGCGAAGGAGTGGAGGCTGGAGGGGGAAGAGAAGGGAGAGGATGAGAGAGAAGAGGAGAGGGGAGGGGAGAACAACGAGCCTGCCGCCCACCGAGAGATAAAGCCTGACACCCAGGGACTAAAGGGCCAGTAGAGGAGGGGAGAGGAAATGGGGAGGGGGCAGGGGAGGTGAGGGGCCAGACTGAGAGTGGGGAGACTGTTAGAGGGGCGGGAGAGCAGGGACAGGGTGAGGAGGTAGAGGGCAAGTGAGGGGCGTGGGCAGGAGAGGAGCAGGGTGAAAGGCAGGTTGCAGGGGGCTGGTGGCTGATGGCTGAGCTGGGCAGAGGGGCCCCACCCCGTCCCATGCCAGGCTCTGGACTCAGGGGAGACCAGTAGGACTTGAATGGCAGAAGGCCATGCATGAAGGGGACTGGCAGGGAGGGGAACCTGCCAGCCGTTGGGTAAGGGGCTGGGCTGGTGGGCTGGCTGGGAGGACTGCGGCCAGTGGCAAGGCAACAAAGACGTGAAAAGAAACAACGGCATCTGAATGGAGGAATCGGCTTCTGCTGACCCCTGGGTGCCCCAGCCCTGAGCATCCCAGCCAGAGCTTCCTGGAGTGGGGGTGGGGGGCAGATACACTCTGGGGCGGTCCAGGCTCTGAAGTGGCGGCCTGAGGTGGAGAGGAGAGGACATGGGCTGTGAGGCCAGGCAGGGGTCCCAGTCATTCTTTGAGGGCTCAGAACAACCGGGACACACACCATGATTGACCACACATGAGGATGCTGGTGTCACTGTCTTTTCGGGAAGGGGATGGTTGATGGGGCCTATCCTGTGACTGAGAACTGGGTAGGGGAAGCCCCCTCTTAGGGAGAGTGTGTGCCCTGCCTCCATCCCAGGGAGGAGGGCAGGGTAGGGAGCACAGGGAGGGAGGAGAGAAGTGGGGATCAAAGAGGTAGGGAAGCAGGGGAGAGAGAGCGGGTGGGGGGAAGGAGGCTGCAAGGGGTGGGCACGGAGCTGCAAGACCGCCGAACCAGAGGCTCCCACTCCACACCCCACAATTCTCAGGCTGCCTAATGCCGAGCTAATGAAGGATGAAATAATGAGCCACTTCCCTGCTGCTGCCCTCCTGCTGCCAAGTGCTGCTGTGACAGGCAAGGGCACTGCCTGGGGAAGTCAGCTCGGTGAGTCTGTGTGAGCGTTCGTTCACTGGGAGGGAGGACAGGATGGCCTTGAGCAGGGCCGTCCCAACCCTCTCACCCCACCAGGCACAGCCCCCGGGCCAGTTCAGCCTCCTCTTACACTCAAAGGCACAGAAGTTCCAGCCACCCTCCCACACCTTGTGACCAAGGGAAGTTCCCTTTCTTATCTCAGACTCCCAGAGCACGTTATTTGGAGAGTAGGAGAAGGGGAGGGAGCGAGGGCTTGCCTAAAGCTGTGACAGGGAGACTCCCAGAGAGTCAGCCCCTGAGTGCCACCCTCCATACAAGGGTCAGAGGTGTGTGCCCCTTAGACCCTGCCTCCCCAAGCCGTTATCACCACCTCAGGGAATCCCTCCTGGCCCCACCCAGCAGGGGTACAGTGACTTGGCTGCCACTTGTCCAGCTGTCTCTTCTTATAGCCTAGAGCTCGGAGAAGGGAAAGGACCTTCCTTCCTTCTTTCTTTCCTTATTCTTCTTTATTTTTTATTTATAAATGATTTCAAACTTACAGAAAAGTTGCCAGAATAGTGATAGTACAAAAGACACACGTGCTCTTTTGGGGATATGTTCAACTACTGTGAATATTGTGCTCCGTTTGCTCTGTGTGTGTGTGTGTGTGTGTGTGTGTGTGTGTGTGTGTGTGTGTATAGACATACATATTTTCTTTCTTACTCATTTGAGTAAGTTGCAGACATTTGAAAGGATTGCTTCCTATCTGTCTCTGTCTCTGGAGCCAGCCCACGGGATCCCAGACCACATTATGTGGAATGAATGAAGGCCTGGGACAGGCAAGGAATGAGCAGATGTCACCTACTGGGAGCTTGAGATCTGGGGACTGACCAAGGCCACCTTAGGAATTGGGCCAGCCCAGGGCTTGAGGTGGGGTAGGGGGCTGTGCTGGGCCTGGGGTCCTGGGAAGCAAGTGAGCAAGCGGGGAGGGAGCCATTGCCCACCAAAGCGAGCATGTGGTGTTTCCCGGGTGTGGAGCTGCAGCATATGTTTGTGGAGATGGTGGCAGGCAGGCAGGCGGGGTGGAGCTGGGAGAGCGGGATGGCCGTGCTGTGGCACCTGGCACACTTGGGAGACTGTGTGCTGTTGGGCCCTAAGTGATATGAGAGGACCCAGCTGTTGGAGGCCCCAGCCCCACCACCTGCCTTTGGGACTCTCCCTACAGCTCCGTGAGGACAGGGCAGGGATGGAGTCCACCTGACCAGCTGGTCTGTGCTGATCTGCTCGGAAGGGGCATGATGGGGCTCCAGCCCTACTGAGGCTTCCATACCGGTCCCTGACACAGGGCTGCGTTCTTTCTGCACCCCCAGTACCCCCAAGTAGGTTGGAGTCCCATCCGGAGACCCTCCTTCAGATGGCTGTTCTCATTCCTCCCAACTCCCACCCAAAGGTCATGGTTAAGAATTTTGGTATTGGCCGGGCGCAGTGGCTCACGCCTGTAATCCCAGCACTTTGGGAGGCCGAGGCAGGCGGATCACGAGGTCAGGAGATTGAGACCATCCTGGTTAACATGGAGAAACCCTGTCTCTACTAAAAATACAAAAAAAAAAAAAGCTGAGTGTGATGGCGTGCGTCTGTAGTCCCAGCTACTTGGGAGGCTGAGGCAGGAGAATGGCGTGAACTCGGGAGGCAAAGCTTGCAGTGAGCCGAGATCATGCCACTGCACTCCAGCCTGGGTGACAAGGCAAGACTCTGTCTCAAAAAAAAAAAAAAAGAATTTTGGTATTTAGGCCAGACTTGGTGGCTCATGCCTGTAATCCTAGCACTTTTGGAGGCTGAGGCCAGTGGATTGCTTGAGGTTAGGAGTTTGGGACCAGCCTGGGGAACATGGTGAGACCCCTGTCTCTACAAAAAATACAAAAATTAGGCGGGTGTGATCATGTGCACCTGTAGTCCCAGCTACTCGGGAGGCTGAGGTGGGAGGATCACCAGAGCCCAGGAGAGTGAGGCTGCAGTGAGCCACGATTGTGCCACTGCACTCCAGCCTGGGCAACAGAGTAAGACTGTCTCAAAAAAAAAAAAAAAAAAAAAAAGTTTGGTATTATTTAGAAATCACACCTTGGAGATGACCTGAGTTCTAATGCAGTGATATTCTCTCTCCCTTGTAAGTGAAGTCCCCCTCCTTCAGAAAGCCCTCCAGACCTCCTCAGAGCATCCCTCCTCAGATGCCTTCCTGGAAATGCCAGCCTTGTTTGTCCTTTTGCTAGTTTACTTGGGTGCTATGCCTAGGAACTGGGGCTCTGCTCAGTCATCAGCCATTTTTCCTCCTGCTGCCCCAGGTCAGGCACATAACTGGCATCCATAGATGACTGAACACTGGGCTCCTCTGGTGTCCCCGTGCCCAGTATGTCTGAAAGGCCACAGGCCCTGGGCTGGCTGAGGGGAAGGACAGCAAGGGGGCCCACATCAAAAGAGGAAAGGGCTTATTCAAGACCACCAGCCTGTCGAGGTCAAGTCAGGCCTTTGACCTGGGTCTCTGACCACTTGGTCAACGCCTTCTGCATCCTCCCCTGCAGCACAGGCACACCAGTCTTGGGCTGTGGTCAGGGGCCCTCGCTGACGCCCACTGGATGACCCCAGGGAGGGGCGGGCCCCCACCCTCCTCTATTACCTCCAGCCCACCCAAGTGAAGCCCAGGGGACACCAGTGCCCATCCCCCTGAAGAGATTTCAGCCAATTAGCACGTACAGTATTTACTTAATTAGGGTAATGACATAATTAGTGTAACTCGGGCTCCATCACATGGCTTCAACATGCAATTAGGAGCTGTCAGCGGGAGGCGACATTGTGAGAGCGCTCATTCAATTTTGGTTCCAGCATGGAGGCCTAGCAGCTGCCTCTGCTTGGAGGGAGGGAGATGGGTGGATGGTGGCGGCTGCTGTGTGTGTGAGGTGACTGCAGGCAGCCCATAGCCTAGGAGAGAAGAGTAAGTGGGGACAGAAAGGCAGTTTCCTGGGCTAATGGAGTCCCTGACTGAGCCTACTCACATCCTCAACAGACATTGCCACCCTTGACCCCAGCCCCAGGGCAAGGCAGAGGCGGTGGCTTGGCTGGAGTGTCTGCGATTAGGGGGCTGAGCACTGCAGGCTCCTCTGCCCCCAAGTTCTCTGCCTGAAATGCCACCATTAGCAGGCTGTCTTGTCTCTCTTTAGGGCTTTGCTGTTCATAAGAGCCACCATCTGATACCCACTGGCCAGTAGGCTATTCTTCGTGGCCCCAGGAGGCCACAGACTGGCAGGACTGGGATGATCCCTGTTATCCTCATTGGATTCATGGGGAAAGTGGGGCTTAGGTCAAGGAAGGTGGTAGAGCCAGTCATGGCAGTGCCAACCCCAAGAGGGAGCCTGTTATGGCTGGAGACTCCCCAAGCCTGGGCATATTCCCCCTCACCCCCAAGGAGGTCTCCTGCCCAATGGCCTCTTTCCCTTGGAAGGAGTGGGGCTGCCTTTGGAGTTACTGAGGTGGTCCCCAGGCTCCTGGCTCCCTCAGCCTTTCCTCCACCTTATACAGGGCTAGGAGGCAGAGCCCTGACTCTGTCCACAGCCTTCCCCTCGGTGAACCTCAGCGAACCTCACAGCTTTCTTGAGTGGGGGCCATTGTGGGGAGGAAGGGAAGAAAGGAAGATGGGAGTCAGTGCCACCATTGTGCGGGTAGGGAAACTGAGGCTCCAGGGCCTTCAAGGAGGTGCTGTTAGAACCGATATCAGCCCCTAGCAACCCTACTTCTGGCCCAGCAGGATGACCTGGGCTGAACTTCTCCCTTGGGTCTGTTTCCTCTTGTCAAAGGAGAGAGTTTACACTGCATGATCTCAGACATCCTGGGCCTATCCAGAGCCCCCTGGGAGGTGGGACCCAAGGAACTTGCCATCCCTCTTCCCTCCTTCCAGATTATGTCCTCAGAGCTGTCCCTTCCCTTTGTGACCTGCCCCTTTCTGGGTTAGCCCCATTGCATAAATGAAACAGATGAAGGTCCCTGGCTGCAGAGAAGGGAATCCATTTCCTAGGCCCTGTGATCTCACTTGATCCCTGTGCTCAGCCTGCAGTGCTGGAACCACAGCCTTCTTAGAGGCTAGACTGGTGTTTAAAACCCCTCAACTCCCTGCTTCCACCTCAATAGCAATTCAGGTGAAGTCACCAATGCTAGGTTTACAACGCACTTCATGCTTCCATCTCATGGGCGTCACCTACATCCTGCTAAATGACAACAATGTCTCTGCCTCTTAGGTGGATAAACCAAGGCAGCAAGACCCAGTAAAGGACAGCACCAAGTCCCAAACCCCGGCTTTGGTCCTTGCAGGTTAGTGACTCCCCTCACACTGAGCGTCCTCAAGTCTGTCCTGCCCTGACCGCATGGCTCTAGATCTAGGATCCAGGGTGGGAGGGGCTCTGATGAGACCAGGGTTCAGCCAGCTGGGAATACTGCTGGTAAGATCGGGTACCACTGAGTGGGAAGGTCTGGGATGACACCCAGAGTCCAGGCCTTCTAGATGGGAGACAGAGATTCTCCAGTTCAGAAGGGCAGAGGGTCTAGCCTGGACAAAGGGAATTGCCAGTCAGAACTGTCTCCAGGGGCCTAGCCCCTCAGGCAGGGCACAGGTGGGGTGGGCGCACAGATGGCTGGTGGGCAGCTCTGGTTACAGGCAATAGTCACAACAAGACTAAAATCCCCTTATTTCTATGAACGCTGGGGCATAAGCTGTGAGATGGCACAGTGAAGATCCACTGGCAGAGGCCAGTGCTGCCAGGAGGAGAGAGGAGCCCACTCTCACCTCTCAGAGGAGGTGGGGGCTGTGGCCAGAGGGCCAGAAGGTCCTGAGCACCAAGCCATCTGGCCTGGTGCCCCTGGACTTTTCAGCCTCAGGAAAGAGGCCCTTTCAAGCCAAGGAGGTGAGGACTAGCACAGGAGGGGAGCCTGAGGCCAAGGAAGAAATGGCATAGCCATAGTCATAGGGGAATGCTGGCTGGTGGGAGGATCCTGAATTGTCTGTGTTAGGACTGGTCCTCCTGGGGCTGGGTAGAGCTGGAGGCAGCCTCTCTTCACTTGGGCTAGCTGCCTAGGCTCATACTCAGACCTGGCCACATCCTCAGCCCTGAGATGGGACCTACAGCTGGGGGACCTCATGTACCTACCCACCCTCCTTCCTTCATCAAATGTTTGCTATGTGCTGACTCTAGGCCAGCCACCTTGGGATTGGCTACTGGGGCAGGAATGGGGAGCAATGAGCAGGCAGAGATGAAGGCCAGCACCTCCAGAGGCTCATGTCCTTAGAGTCCAGACAGACACAGGCCCAAGGAGTTCTCTCCAAAGAGTAGGCAGAGATAAATCTCAGGAAGAGCCAAGGCCAAGGGCCAAGTCAAGCTCACTAGTTCAAACAGGTGGTGGTCCCCACCCACTCCCTCACTGGTCAGAAGTCTGGGGGCAGGCCAGATTTCCGTTGGCAAATGATAGGAAAAGGGCATTCCAGGTGGTTGGACCGTGTGAGCAGAGGCTGGGGGCCAGGACGTAGGATTCAAGAATACTATGCTCTGGCCTGAGGTATTTGGGTGGGCTCTGGGCAGCTCAAGGAAGGGGCTGGGGACTCTAATCACTTGTGAAAAAGTCAAGGCATTCCTCTAACACCCATTTAGCAAAAAGTTCCTACAGTGTGCCAGGCATGTGGTTTATAGGTTGGGGATTCAGTAGGGATCAAAACAGATGACGTTCAAGGGAGACAGAGACACAGCATTTTCAGATGCTAACAGGTACCACGGAGAAGATTCTAACATGGTGATCTAGGAGGCGATCTAACAGGGCTAGGGCCTAGGAGGAGACTTTAGGGCGTGGGGCCAGAGAAGGCTGCAATGATGTTTAAGCCAAGATCTGAGTGATCCAAAGGTCAGGGGGAAGAGCATTCCAGGCAGAAGGAGTAGGCAGTGTAGAGGCCCTGAGGCCTGTGAGGTCCTGAAGGGCAGCCCACGTCAATGGGGCAAGGAGAAGGGAAAGGAGGTGGATGGGACCAGCGAGGCAGGTGGGGCTCTGTCGGTTGGGCTAAGGCCTGTGGACTTTATTCTAAGTGCCATGGGAAGTCATTGGATTTTGAACTAGGGAGTGGTTTTTTCCCTTAAATCACTGTGACAGCCTCATGGAGACCAGATTGTGGAGGCTCCATGAAGACCAAGGGAGACACTGTCGAGATGAGAGAGGATGGTGGCCAGGATTGGGTGCTTGCTGGGAGGTGGTGGGAAGCTGGCATTTGGGGATGTTATTTGGAGGCAGAGCCAACAGGACTTCAGGAAGGGTTGGCTGTAGGGTGTGAGAGAGGGTTGTCCAGGGCAGTTCTTCAGTTTCTGGCTTAAGCACATGAGCAAATGGCATGGCCATTTTCAGAAGAGGGGGATGCTGGGAAAAGCAGACCAGGGAGAGGGAAATCAAGGGTTCTGGGTTGTCTGTGTTAGGACTGGGACTCCTGGGGCTGGATAGGGCTGGAGGTGCCAAGGGAAACAGTTGTCAGATATAAGCCTAGAGTTCCAGAGAGGGGGTTGCCCCAGAGATTGATCCATCTTTAGCATAGAGATGTATTTTGCTTACACAAGGGACAGGGTACCCCTCCAGCCCCAGGAACCCAGAGATTCAAATGAGCCATTGATCTGGAGCCATTGATCAATGAGCCATTGATCTGGAGGCCCCAGCAGGGTCAAGGCCAGCAGGGGCCAGCAGGGAAGGACCCTGCTCTTGAAGCCTCCCCCATATCTGTCTAGTGAACCAAGACCACCTCACCCCACCCCAAAGCTAGAGAAGTTGATGATGTAAACTTGGCTTTCAGGAGCCAAGGCCCAACTGGGGGTGGAAGGTGCTGCCGTAGGGACCCTGGAGGCCAGCTGTCTAAGTGATCCTCTGCTTATCCTAGCCTGGCCTGGCCTGGTGTGAAAGAGTCTAGACTCCACCCTGACAGGACCCCGTCATGGCTTAAAGTGCTCCTTCAAAGGGCCTGAGAGCCATTCACGTCCATTGCCACCAGTTAGCTGTGTGTCCTCAGGCAAGCCCTTCATCTCTCTGTGCCTTCCCATTATAGGCAGTTGGAAGAGTAACTCTCTGAGCCCATGTCCTCCCCTGTCAGAGGTCTGTGAATGCAAAAGCTAGCCAGGTCATGCCTGTTACACCCCCAACTGAGCAAAGTGTGGCTTCAGCCCCAGCTCAGACGGGGCAGTGGGAATGATGGGAGGCTGGAGCTGGGTGGGCTGCTGTTCTTGCAGCGTGGCCCGTGGCCCCTGCCTCACCCATCCTCCTGTGATTCTCAGCTCTTTGGGGCCCGCCCCAGGCAGACAGGCATCACCTCCTGAGTGTCTCTTCTTCAGGGAGAGGAGGTGGTTGCCACCGCCACCGCCAAAGCCATCCTCCGGGTCCTGTGCTCCTCCATGCCAAGCACATTAGGGGATAATTAAGTAAAAATAGGCATTCCGACCAGTGTAGCTCATTAAGGCCTAATTAAGTTAATTAGTTCCAGGTGTGGATGGCGAGGCTCAAGTGAGGCGGCGGCTGTTGTTTGCTGTAATTGCATTTTCGCAGCAGCAGTGATGGTGACAGTAATGGTGTGGCAGAGACAGCGGCTTTCTCTGAGGCCTGGAAGCCCGCCAGGAAGTTCAGGAGGCTGTCGCTGAGCTGGGAGGGGTACGAGGAAGCCAGGGGCCACACAGAGAGAGTGGTGACTGGAGGTTCAAGGTCTCCCAGGCCCAGGGAGGCCCTGCTCCGTCTCTGTGTGGGGGAGGTTTTGTGTATATGTGTGTGTGTGTGTGTGTGTGTGTGTGTGTGTGTGCACAAAGCCACAAAGAGGCATCTTCCCCTCTGGTTGAGTAGGGGAGGTGCACTGTGGCTGGTCTTTTGGCCTTGGGCTCAGTTCCCTCACACCCCATCACAGTCCCCAGGAAAGACTTTAAAGTGACTTTGCTAAAAGGGAATCTGTGGGCCAGAGGGAGTGGGAAAGACCTCTAGGAATCTGCCTCACTCACTCTATTTGGCTTGAATCCCCCATTCCTGTCCCTTCTGGCAGGTGCATGGATCTTAAGCTGTCGCCTCTTTGTGATTCAGGGCAGGAGTGGGGGCTACGCAAGTCCAGGCCTCCACAGAGGACCTGTTGGCTCAGTTAGTCTCCTGACCCAAACGTCTCCCTCAGTCCACTTTCTGTCATGGCTTCTGGACTCAGCTGTCCTTGGGGACCTGCCTGTGTGGGACAGCCCTCTCAGCCTCAGTCACACTCACATTCATACATTCATGCTTGCATGCATTCAGCTGTTGCTCACTGAACATCTCCTCTGTGCCAGGCAGCAGGACCAGGGGATGGGAATATAGGCTGGGCAAGACAGGTTGGACTCTGTCCCATGGCACCTTTGGTCTCTCCAAGGAGGCAGACATGTTAATGACTCTGGCCACACAATTTTGCCATGGCTGTGGGCACCTAGGGGTGTTTAACCCAGTCCTGGGAGGAAAGATGTCCAATCTGCAGTGAATGTGATGCAGGAGACAGGGGGACAGGGTGTGTGTCAGGAACTGAAAGGGCTTCCCTCTGGCTGGAGGACAGCATGAGGGCACTGAGTGGGGAGAGTGGGGCCAGATCAGGGAGGACTGTGGGGCTGCTGGGTAGAAAATGAACTGGCACTGGTGACTGGGAGGCGAGGGAGGAGGTGGCCAGGGCTGCATCTGTGGATCCAGAGAGGAGTGGATAGATTTGAGGGATATTTAGGAGGAGAACCGATGGGGCTTGCTGCACTGGTTGGGTGTAAGGGATGGGGTAGGAGGAGGCTGTCAGCCTTGCAGAGAGGGGCCTTGGGAGTGGGGTTGGGCTCTGAGATGTCCCCACAGGCTGGGACTAGGATGAGACAAGGGAAGTGCCTGGGGTGAAAAATTGGGGGAATTCGCTACCAGCCTTGTGTTCCCCCTTGTGCCTCTCTCAGGTGTCCTGAAATTTCTCGCTAAGAAAGACACATCTTGGAAAGTGGAAGCCGCCCCTGGAGATGGGACAATGGGGGCATAGTTCTCAGCAGGGTGTGCCCCCTGGGCACTTCAACCCCTACCTGGGAGGTGCTGTCTTCTCTATACCTTCCAGCACTGGGCTGGGGCCAGGATTGACACCTTAGGGCTCATTTGCTCCTGATAGGTACTCTCTTTCCATTCAGGTGTCCAAATGACAGGAAAGGTGCCCATTCAGCTTCCCCTGTCATGCCTCCCATGACAGGGAGCTCCTGCCATCTGGGCAGCCCAGTCCTTTGGTTGGGACCATTATAAAAATATTGTATCATGAGCCCAAATCTGTCTTCTTCCAACAGTTGACTCAGCCCTGCCTCCTACCCTCCCCTACTACCCAGGCCAAGTCTGCCAATCCCCTTTCCCCGACCAGCTTCACCTCTCAGAGTCTCAGTGTCCCCACCTGCAAAAAGGGAAACAGTAATAGCTACCCCCTTCTAGGATTGGTGTGAGGATTAAATGACATGTGTATAAACCTCATGGCATATGCTAACTTTTCTATTTTATTTTTCAGAGACAGGGTCTAACTGTGTTGCCCAGGCTGGAGTGCAGTGGCATGATCATGGTTCCCTGCAGCCTTGACCTCCTGGGCTCAAGCGATCCTCCCACCTTAGCCTCCCAAATAGCTGGGACTACAGGCATACGCATGTCACCATGCCCAGCTAATTTTAAAAAATTTTTTGTAGAGATGGGGGTCTTGCCATGTTGCCTAGGCTGGCCTCAAACTCCTGGGCTCAAACAGTCTTCCTACCTTGCCTCAAACTCCTGGACTCAACAGTCCTCCTACCTTGGCTTCCCAAAGTGCTGGGATTACAGGTATGAGCCATCACACCTGGCCACATGCTAATTGCTTAGTAACTGGTTCCTAACCCATAGTAAGGATGAATAGCTGCAGAGGTGGACGCTGTGCTCCTTCTGGCTTGGGCTGCCCAGTCATACAGTCTTGTACCACTGGTACATCAATGGTACCCATCTGTTGGCCCCAGGTAGCTGACCCTGCCACCACCCCACTCACATCCGGTGTAGATGGAGAGCTAATCGCAGAGAAGAATGTCCATGGGGAAGAAGTGACATTTTCTTGGGATGGCAAAGCCACAATGACGTGCAGGGTCTGCCCGGCTGGTTATTGAATCAGTTCTCTGCTCAGCCCCAGCCCCTCCCCTCTGGTCCCCCTGCTCCTCAAGTCTCTCATTCAGGGGTACGAGTGGACCTGCCATGCCTGTGAAATGGCCCTGGTGGTGGGAGTCCCTCCTGAGCCTGAGGGCCCCGCTGAGCCCCAGATCCCTTGGAGGGTAGCAGACCCTTTAGAAACGCATCATTGTCTGGGGTGCCCATACTTTTCCCACAAGGCTGCAGGGTGTTGAGGCTGGGGCGAGGGGCTTGCAGGAACCCCTGGCTTCCCTCAAAGATCAGAAGAACCACCCAAGAAAGGACAAAGCCATCCCACTGCCTTTTCCCATGCGTTCCCATCCCAGAGCCTCTGTCTGCAGCAACAAAACTGGCTTCTGCAGTGCTCTCTGCTTCTTCTGTTTCTCTGTTGAAAACCAGCGCTTGTGTCAAGGAGGAATTCTTTAGATTTAAAGGACAGTGGTGACCATCCTCCCCGAGCCCTGGTCACCGGGGACCACCAGGTTCCTGTTGGAGGACAGAGGGCACCACAGGGGAAGGCAACAACAGGGGCAAAGGAATGCCCAGAGCATGGGCAGGGCAGCCATTCAGGCAATGCCGTGTCATGTGGGTGGGCAGGGGCGATGGGTGGGAACAGGGTGGGTGGTGTTTGTGGGATTGACAATGAGCTGGTGTTGTGCAGGGCAGGCCTTACCTCCTTCTCACCCCAACTGAGGGAGGGTTGACTGTTTCTACACACCCCCTTGTTTTTCACACCCGGGACTTGGCCCTAAGGGACTTTCCCAAAGGCACACAGCTGGTGGGGCCTGAGGGAGGATGACGGAGGTGTGGGCCCCCTCACACCCCTGTTGAGTCCTGCTGGCAAGGCTCCTCCCTATGGGGGCACCAGGAGAGAAACAACTGTGAGGCTCAGTTTGTTTGGTTTGGAGGCCTAATACCTTGAGGCCCTGCGCCTCCAGGAGGTCTGGCTCTGCCACTGGCTCACTGTGGGTGTGACCGGGACCGGGGCCTAGCTTTGCCCTATGCCTCAGTTTCCTCAGTTGCACAAAGGAGTTAAGTTCTGGGTTGGCTCATGCTTTTTTGCCTCCCAGGGCAATGGCGCACCCGGGGAGAGGGGTCATCTGCAGTTGCAGTCACAGATGGGAAAATGAGGCCCAGAGATGAGACAGTTTACTCTGGGGCCAGCAGACTCAGTTCTGAGCATGTGGCCAGCAGCCAGGAGAGGAGACTGCAGGGGGAAATGCCAGCAAAGCCCAGCCTTTTTGCATCTCCAGTTTTCTTTAACCTGCCCTCCAGCCCTCCTTTGCCTGAGTTCACAACTCAACCCCAGCTGCGTGTATCCTGACGCAAGGCCCCCTTCCCTCCACCCAGCAATTATGGCTGGTCACAAAAGCTGGACCGTGACCAGACAAAGGGACAGGGATGAAAGTGCTGGTTGTCATGGCAACCTGGTGGGGTTGCTGGGACCCAGGGGAGGGGCTGGCTATGTGCCTGAGCCCAGGCATCAGGACGAGACCTGTGAGCATGAGCCAGGGCAGCCTGACGGCCCACAGGGACCCCCCTCCTGCTCTGGGCCCGCCAAAGCCGGGCATACAATGGCAACCTCAGCCCCTCCATGGGCAGCACCTGCTCCCTGGGCCTCCCCCAGTGGCCCCATTATCCTGCACCTGCTGACCACCGCCCCCCCAACCTGCTTCCCAGCCCAAGCTCCCTCCCCAGGGCAGGCCCTGCCCATCCTCAGGCCCACCTGCCTTCTCTGAGAGCCAGCCAAGAGGGCTGGGGAACCAGGAGGGATAGCAGGGAAGGCCCTGGGCAGGGACCGAGGGTCCAGCTGCCAAGCCAGCTCTGCCTGGCCAGCAGTGTGTGTGCCTGCAAAACAAGGCTTTGCTCCAGGACCTCAGTCTGCTCACCTGAAAACTGGGAGCATCCAATCCTGCCTTCAGGGTCTGCAAGGGCCAGTTTCTCTCTGCTTGGAGGGAGGGCTGAGGCCAGGTTGGGAAGAGAACAGACGGGGGTATCTTGGGTCATATTTTCAGGGCCGCATCTGTTGGACCACATGGAGACCTGAGTCCTTACTGTACACTTCAGAGTCACTGCTTAGGTTTGGAGATGACATTTTCCAGAGGCCTCCAAGGATACAGAGGAAGTGGGCAGGAGACCCAGTATTGCCACGCTTTTTTTTTTTTTTTTTGAGATGGAGTCTCTCTCTGTCACCCAAGCTGGAGCACAGTGCCACGATCTCGGCTCACTGGAACCTCTGTCTCCTGGGTTCAGGCAGTTCTCCTGCCTCAGCCTCCCATGTAGCTGGGACTACAGGGATGTGCCACCACGTCTGGCTAATTTTCGTATTTGTTTTGTTTTGTTTTGTTTTTTGAGACGGAATCTTGTTCTGTCGCCCAGGCTGGAGTGCAGTGGTGCGATCTCGGCTCACTGCAAGCTCCGCCTCCCAGGTTCACACCATTCTCTTGCCTCAGCCTCCCGAGTAGCTGGGACTACAGGCGCCCACCACCACACCTGGCTAATTTTTTGTATTTTTAGTAGAGACGGGGTTTTACTGTGTTAGCCAGGATGGTCTCGATCTCCTGACCTCGTGATCTGCCCGCCTCAGCCTCCCAAAGTGCTGGGATTACAAGTGTGAGCCAGCATGCCCAGCCTAATTTTTGTATTTTTTAGTAGAGACAGGGTTTCACCATGTTGCCCACTGGTCTTGAACTCCCGAACTCAAATGATCCGCCCACCTCGGCCTCCCAAAGTGCTGGGATTACAGGCATGAGCCACCACGCCTCGCCAGTGCCAGGCTCTTGAGTGGCCTATCAGGAGTACTGGGGAAAGAGAAAGACAGTGGGGTGGGTACTCTGCAGGAGGAGAGTGCTCCACAGGGGGCAGCTGGAGGATGGCTGGGGGCCCTGTTGATGGACAGTCCAGTTCTTCCATAAACAGGGAAACTGAGACTCTAGCAACTATCAGTGTCTGGCGCAAAAGGTAGGCCTGCCTGCCAGCTCCCTGATGCCCCACCTCAGGATGGTGGAGTGGAGGAGGGACAAAGAGTGAGAGGAGTGTGAGGCCAGGTAGATGCCCCTCCTCCTCCTGTAAAGGGAAGTGGGATTCTCATGGCAATGGGTCTTTGTCTCATGGTCTTTTCCTTGTGGCTCCCTATATCCTGCAGGACAGCCCCAGGTTCCTGTCCCACTCTGCCATGACTTTGGGTGAGGCCCCTCCTTTCTTGCCACCTCAGTTTGCAGACCCAGAGTATGGGAGCAGATTGCCAAGGAAGTTGTCAGCTCTAACTGCCACCCTAGCTGTTTGAATGTCCCTAGGCCAAAGCAGGCAGGCCATTTGCAAGGGGTGATGGGGAGGAGGGCTGCCCCACCTCTTTGGGAGTGAGGGATTCCATCTCTTTGGAACAAACCCTTCCTTACTGACCTGCTGGGAGTTTTTTACACATTCGCTCCTGGAGGTCTGGCAAGGGCAGTGCTTTTGCCAGGAATGGAAGTATTTGGGGCAGGAAAAGTCTTGGTGTCCCTCACACCACTCTGTACTGATGACCCCACCGTGACACTGGGTAAGGTTTCTGTTCCTCATTGTGCAGAAGAAAAACTGAGGCCTAACAAAGGAAGGGACTTGCCCGGTGAGTCATCAGAATAATCCAGGCCTCCTGCCCCGTCCAGAGCCCTTTCTAGGGGTGGATGAAAGGTCAGGCTGGCAGTCTGGTCCCCAAAGTGGCCAGCCTTGGGGGATGAGTGGATGGGAGGGCTCAGCTAAGCCTCAGCAAACCCAGGCTCCCTGGAAGGTGGGAGTGGGGGCACTTGGTGGGTCACAGGGCCAAGTTGATGAAGTCACCCACTCTGCCAAGATATTACTCCAGCTGACGCTCACCAAACTCCTTGGGACTGAGGAAAAATCAGAGGTGCTCAGAGCCTAATTATAATAAACAGTTTCCTGTGCAGCTCCTGGAGCCCCCCTGGGAAATGTCCTGTGGAAGATGTCTTTGTCTCAGAGCCTGCCATCTGGCGCTTTGGCCCAGGAAGGTGGGGACCAACAGGCATCCCCCCCTTGGGCCGCTGCTCCTGGAGCGCAGAGCCTCAGCATCCTGCACCCTCAGATGGAGGTCAGAGAAAAATAGGCTGGGGGAGAGGAGGTGAGGGTGGGATCATGTGGGGTCATGTGCAACTGGGCTGGTGTCAACAGCCACTATCTTTGAGGTGATGGCCCCGATGTGGGTTGCTCTATCTTCCAGTCATTTCTATGGGTCTTTCCTGGACTGACGCATGGGCAGGGCTGCTGAGAAAAGCTGTGCCTCTGCCCCAGCACCCCCTGACCCCATCCATCAAGTCCACCCTCCAGTTGGGAGAAACAGCAGTGACCATCACATGGTAGGGAGTGAGTCATCTACCAAGTGGTACTGACCATGGTCCTCTGGGGCCCTGAGGAGAGTGTGTGTTCTGTTGGCCAAGGCACTCAGGGAGTGTGTCCTGAGAAGTAGCCCAAGATGGCATGGAAGATCATAGAAAAACAAAGAGGGAAGAGGCTCCGGCAGGGAGGCTGCACAGGAGTAAAGGTGGGCAGGGGATTAGGTGGGGGCTGTGATGGATGAAGATTGTCTGTTCATGGGCCAGTGGTCTTCAGTCCACCAGCCCCGGAGAAACTCTGTTCTACTCCTTGCTTGAGCTCTGGGCTTTCAAGGTCTTGTCTGTCAAGGTGATCATGTGGATCAAAGGAGAATTAAATTTTCTCCATTTTTATTCATCAAAGAAATGATTATGCTGGTCAGAACTGCTGAGGGCAGCTGAGCAATGGCAGGGAGGCTTATGTCGGGGAGGCCTGGGGAGGCAGTGAATCGTAGACCTCACCCATTCCCTTCTCTGACACCCCCCGCCCCCGATGCCTGCAACTCACTTTCTTGTGGCATAGCTCAGAGCTCCAGGCCTAGAAAATCAGAGGAAGATCCTGGGGGCCCAAGAGGGAGGCTGGGGACAGGTGGGGAGCGGGTAGCTCAGCCACTCAGTCTGGATGCCTGTCACCTTCCGTTCTGGCTGGCCAGCCACATGAAGGGCCCATTCTGCTGCCCATTCACAAGGGGCTTTCATCTCTGCAGCCAGTGAAGCATTGCTCCCATCTCAGCCAGCAAGGAGACACAGGGGAGGGGGTGTGCAGACTTGCCATGACCTCAGACTCCATGCTGGAAAGGCATGGCCCTGGGCCAGGGCATCCTAAGCAGCCCATCTGCCCCAATCCCCCAGCTTCCAGGCCACCAGAGTCCTCAGCAAGGGGGATCTGAGTAAGAGATGGGCAGTGACTCCCCAACTCTTGTAGAAACCTAGTCCTCCCATTTCAACAAGGGTAAGGCTGACCTCTCTTCCAGCTTATTCAGGGCAAAAGATGGCCCTCCCATCACAAGAGGGGCAGGAGTCCAGTGGGTCATGGCTCAGCCCCCTGCTCCTTTCCCAGGGAGCAAGGTAAGTATGGTGGCCTTCAGGACAGGGCAGGAAGACCAAAGCCTGAACCCTTGCGCAGCCATGGGAGAAGACAGCACATTAGAGGGTAGCCCCTGAGACCCAGGAGAACAGGGACTGACTCACGGTGTCCTTCCAGGGAGGAGGGAGGCAGTCATATCCACAGCCCGCCCTTGAAGAGGGGCGAAGTGGAGCTGGCAGGGCTGCTGGTAAAAGCAGCACCCCCGACCCCCACCCCTCAAGTCCATTCTCCAGTTGGGAGAAACAGCAGTGACCATCACATGGTAAGCAGTGAGTGGTTCTGTGAGCTGGGCCTCCTGAGAGTGGACCCTTTCAGCTGTGGCCTGTCCATCTGTCCAGCAGCCACAGCCCCTGTGATGTCACCAGCCCACTGTGTTGCTTGGCAACTTTCCAGGATTAGCATTCTGCCCCTCTCATCCCTGACATCCCACCATAGGCTGATGTTGCCATGGCAACCCGGATAGATGCTGCAGCTTTTTGGACAGCTGTACCTAGTGTGGGAAGTGCCAGGCAAAAGCAGGGAAGCAGGTGCCTCTCTACAGGCCAAGGGGGGTACCCAACCTATACGCAGACCCATTGAGCAGCCAGACTGCCCTAAACAGGGCTATGGAGTCCTTGTCCCTTCTAAGAGCTGTGGACACCTTGCCTCCAGTTCCCCTCACAGTCCTTTCTTCCTTCTGCAGTGATCACTGAGTACCTGTGTGAATGCCAACAAGAAAAATAAAACCACAGTTTGGATTCAGGAAAGGTTGCACCACCATCAGGTCTTGAAGGGTGAGTAGGAGTCCGCCAGATGCAGGAGTGGATGGAGACAGGTTCTAGACAGAGGAAGCAGAAGCCTGTGCAAGGGCTGAACCACTGTCTCCAGGCATAGATTACACCCTGCCTCTAGGTTCCTCATGGCCTGGCCTCTCCATCTTTCCCACTCAATACACTTTATGGTGGGGATAGGGTCCAGTTCAGTTCCAGACACTTAGTGCCCAGCAACAGGCCTGGCACCAAGCCAGCACGACTAAAATGCCAAGTAAAATTCAACATCAGGGCCTATGACCTCCCCTAGTACTAACCGTCTCAGCAAGTCTGTTTCCCCATCTGTGAAATGGGGCCAGTTTTGAGAAGGCTGTGGGCAGGGGTTCTCAGGTACAGATGGGGTGATGTTTTTCTTTTGGTTCTTTTGGTTTGTAAACCACTTCTTTCCCTTACAGAAAAAATTGGAAGACTAGTACATGGACATCTGTGACCTTCAGATTCCCTAATTGTTATATTGCAGCACTTTTGCTTTATCTCCTCTTTGTCTTTTTATCTAGCTATGCTTACCTATATGTATAATTTTTGCTGAACCATTTGAAAGGAAATTGTAGCGGACATTCTGACGTGTTTCTTCAAACACTTCAGGCCACGTCAACTAAGGACAGTCTGATACAACCACAGTAGCATTATCACATCTAAGAAAATTAACAATAATTCAATATTCAGAATAGGGCAGGAAGATCAAAACCTGAACCCATGCCAGGTGCTGAGAGCAGATGAGGGGCATCAGAGGGTGGGCGCCCGAGCCGAGGGGTGTCGGGCGCATCCGCTGCCCAGCGGAAGCGGCGGCCTGAGTGGAGTCACCGTGCAATGGGTGGGTGTGGCTTTGTGAGCCAAGCCCCAGGAGAACCAGAACCCACCTTTTCCTCAGTGCCCTGACCAGCTGTCCCGCAGCTGTGGCTTAAATGCCAACTTCCAGTTCGTAAATTTCTTCAATTATTCCTCCCCAAATTATTTACATATGTATATGTATTTAAATCAGGATTTAATCAAAGTTCTCACGCTGCATTTAGCTGTTTCGCTGCTTACTCTAAAAGGGCACAGGAGGGAAGATGGGTGGGTAATGGAGCCTAGAAGAGTGACGCTCCCTGGTCGGCCCTAATCCTGCCGATCGGGGCATATGCTGGAACATCCCAGTCCCACTGTCCTGGGCGGAAGTAACCGAGACCTGGAGTTGGTGGGTAGGTAAGGGTTCAGGCTGGGGAGGTTCGCGGACGGAAGCTCCCGCCCTGCGGTGCCGGATGGCCCCGCCCCTTAGCAACGGCCTAGCGTCCCTCCCTAGAGACGGGGCTGATGCATCCCCGCACTGCTCGGTGGAACCGGTACGTCGGTGAGGCGGAGGGGTTGCGGGGCCAGCGCGGGCAGCGGGACCTCGAAAAGGCGCGGAGGGCGAGTGGACGAGGGTGGGGAATGGGGTCTCCCAGGAGTCTGGTTGCTGAGCCTTGGCCAGGGGGAAAGAAGGGAGGTGCACTTTATTTTATTATTTTTGAGACGGAGTCTCGCTCTGTCGCCCAGGCTGGAGTGCAATGGCGCGATCTCGGCTCACTGCAACCTCCACCTCCCGGGTTCAAGCGATTCTCCAGCCTCAGCCTCCTGAATAGCTGGGATTATACGCACCCGCCATCATGCCGGCTAATTTTTGTGTTTTTGTAGAGACGGGGTTTCACCCTGTTGACCAAGCTGGTCTTAAACTCCTGACCTCGGGTGATCCGCCCGCCTGGGCCCAAGTGTTTGGATTACAGGCGTGAGCCACTGCGCCCGGCCTGGAGGTGCACTTCAAACAGCCTTGCAGTGAAGTCCTGTACTTGCCAGACCAGTTTTTGGGCCCCATCCCCATGCTGAGCACGTGGCAGTCCCATCAGCTACCCAATCCTTCTCCAGATCCCTACCAGAGTTGTTACAGAGGTCAACTTCATTCCTTTCTCCACCTTGCCCATCCATTAGTTCATTTGTTCACACAATCATTCAGCAAGTACTTTCTAGGCACCAGCTGTGTGCCAAGCCCATGCCAGCCTCATGCTAGGTGCTAGGTGCCAAGTTTCCAGAGATCAGCGTTACTTGAAAATGCCTACACAGCTGACAGGAAAAACAGATGTGCACATGTAATACAGGGAGAGGTACACTGGAGGGGAAAGACACAGTTGTGGAGGGCAGTTTGCATCGGGTGAATGCTTCAAAACGGTGGAGAGAACCCCAAGCCTGGGGGAGCAATAACCATTCATGGTGTTGTTTGCCTGGTCGCCCCAAGGGCAGATACTTCCCAAATCCCTTAAAGTCGCAGATCCATTTGTCTGCTTATGCAGAACCCCGGGGTGTGAAATGGATAAAGGTGCAGGATCCTTGTTGAATCGGGTGAGTGGCATAGAAGCCCTCCTGCTTATGTGGCTCCCCACAGGCACCCACTTTGCAGAATCTCAGCACCCGGTTGGAGAACCACTGTTGTGATGCTAGAACATGGATCTTTGGGTCAGCCAGAAGTGAAGACCTCAGTTTCCATTCTGGTTCTGCCAAGTGTTTGGTTGTGTGATCTTTGCAAGTTTCTTTACTTTCCTGGGCCCTAGTTTCCTCAGCTGTAAATTGGCAATAATAGTAGTATCTGCTGTGAGGTTGGAATACCCCTATTCATCTGTGTCTCTTCAGCCAAGTGCTTGGCTACTGGTTGAGTCAAGTGGGGTTGAGTGTCAGTGAATCCAACCAGAAGCTTCCTCTGGCTCAAGCCAATAGGGCTCCCAGGTGATCTGAGTGGGGAGAAAGAAGAACTTGGGTTCAAATTTCAACTGTGGCTCTTGCTGGCTCTGTGACCTTGGGCAGGTCACCTAACTTCTCTGAGCTTCATTTTCCTGCCTCTGAGAAATGAGGATACTCTCAGTTCCCACCTCAGAAGTTTAAATGAGATGATGCATAAAATAAGTCTAAGCCACCAATAACATTCACCATTCCCAACACTGTGCCCACCAGGGCCACCCCTGCCATCTCACTGGCCAGTTCCCTTCAACATACAGGGGGAACTGCCCAGAATGACCAGAGGCAGAAGCCTTGCTGGGAGCCATGTTCTTCTCCCTCCTGCCAGTCACACTCATTCCCAGGCAGAGACTGCTGTCACCCATGAGGCCGCGGCAGGAGGCAGACTGGGTCTTTCTTTCTGTCTGTCTGTCTAGCTCCTGAGTATACTGGTAATGCACAGGTGCACAGAGTTGGGGCAGGGCTGGAAGGGAGCCATTGTGAAGGGCTGAGGGATGGAGGGGAAACAGGTTCTGAGTTTGCAGCTCACTCTCACACCTTCTTTGGGACACACCTCGGTGCATCCCCCCCACTGCCAGCTTGCATGGAGGGAAACAGTTTACCGGGGCAGCAAGTTCACCCATTATGGATTCCTTTTGCCCCCAGCAACCCTGCAGTTTCCTGGACATTTGCACATCTGTTATCTCCGAAGATCCTTATAACTCCTTATAATGCACCAGTAAAGCAAACCAAGCATGTAAGCATGTTCAGGCCCATCTGGGAGCTGAGGAAGTCATGGAATGGAATGCTCTCCTGTGGAGCTGGGACCCTGGCCTCTCCAAGCCCTGCTCTGTTGGGTGATTTTGTTCAAAGATGAAACAGTCATCTGTGGGTTTGCAGCATGATGAAGCTGAGCCCCAAGGCGTCCTCTGTTCTTTAGGGTACTTCGGGAAGTGTTGGTGACTGTTAGACAGGTGGGCCAGACTCGGCATTGTCTTCAGCACCTGTCCTGGGAGGCAGCTGGCCACCAGAGACTGGATTCAGGGAGCAGAGTCCCGCTAGGGGAGGCCGGGCAGGCCCGACTGGCTGGAGGCAGGTCGGCCTTTGGGCTGAATGTCTGGGGCTTCCTGCCAGAGCCCCATCTTTCCTTCTTTGGCCCTCAGGCGCCCTGACAACTCACCACTCACTTCTTAGAAATGGACTCAGCTGCTGCATGCTGCTTCAGCACTGCTGGGTAGTTTTGCTCTAGACAGCCCTGGCCACCCACCCCACTCCTCAAGTCAGTGCAGGCAAGGGCCCCCTGCCATGATCCATCAGGAGGCCTACACTAGCACAAAACACCCAGCAAAAAGAGTGCCCTGTTCTTCAAGCTCTTGGCTCTTTGTCTCAGTGTGCAGAAGGGATGGGAAAATGGGATGGGGCCAGGGAAGGGGGGCTTGCTTGGGCTAGGCCTCTATTTCCTTTCATTAAGATGCTTTCCTTTTCTTTCTTTCTTTCCTTTTTTTTTTTTTTTTTTTTGACGGAATCTCGCTCTGTCGCCTAGGCTGGAATGCAGTGGCATGATCTTGGCTCCTTGCAACCTCTGTCTCCCGGGTTCAAGCGATTCTCCTGCCTCAGCCTCCGGAGTAGCTAGGATTACAAGTGTGCACCACCACACCCAGCTAATTTTGTATTTTTAGTAGAGATGGGGTTTTGCCATGTTGACCAGGCTGGTCTCTAACTCCTGATCTCAAGTGATCCACCCACGTCAGCCTCCCGAAGTGCTGGGATTACAGGCATGAGCCACCAAGCCTGGCCATTTCTTTCTTTTTTCTTTTTTCTTTTTTTTTTTGAGATGGAGTTTTGCTCTTGTCACCCAGGCTGGGGTGCAATGGCGCGATCTGAGTTCACTGTAACCTCTGCCTCCCGGGTTCAAGTGATTCTCCTGCCTCAGCCTCCCACGTAGCTGGGATTACAGGCATGTGCCACCACACCTGGCTAATTTTGTATTTTTAGTAGAAATGGGGTTTCACTGTGTTGGTCAGGCTGGTCTCAAACTCCTGACCTCAGGTGATCCACCCGCCTCGGCCTCCCAAAGTGCTGGGATTATAGGAGTGAGCCACCGCCCCGGCCTCTTTTTTTCTAATTGCAATTTTTATTGAGGTAATTGTAGACCCCCTTTTTATTTTTTGCACTAGCATTATGTACAAACCTCTTCTTCACCATACCCTTGTCCAATTTCTTGTCATGTTCTCCTGCCCAAGGATTCTCCGTGGTGATGAATTTTGAGGTAGCCAAAAGCAACAGTGGCTTTGCAAGGGCTTGCTCCTCCCACAATAAAAACTCTATAAACCCTTGTCCTCCAGGTGGTGGATGTGCATGCACCCTGGCGGCATCTGCTGCTCCCTTTGCATAAGACGGGAGGGTATACGTTTCCTGAGCTGATCTGACTCTGAGAGCCAGGGTGGGTGAATGCTATTTTGTTGCTGGTAGAGGGATCTGTGGGCCAATGGAGGGTCAGGATTGGGGTCCTGCTGGGGAGACCATTTAGTCCTCTGGCTCCAGGGTATGGGGGGAGGTCGAGTGGGCAAACACAGGGGAGGCAGGGCATGGTCCAGCGCTCACAGGTGCTAGGGAGGCTCATGCACCACACTGGGAAAAGGTAGGGAAGTCTAGCAGGGATGGGCTGGGGGTGCCAGGGCTGCTACTGGCTGAAAGTCATTTTAGGGAAATTTATTGGGTGAGCAAGCTCTGGGCCTCCCTCCCCATCTCCTGCTACTGAGAAGTCAGGCCTTGCTCTATAAAATGGGGGAGAGGGGTGGACAAGTGCAGTCGCATGCATGGGTTGGGGGCATCTGCAGTGTTTCCCCTCACTCAGCCCTTAACTCTGGGTGGGCTCATTTCTCACATGCAGTGTCCAGGGCAGGCCCCACCCCATCTCCTGGTGGGACTCGGGGTACTGTATGCCTGTCCAGATTAGGAGGAGACCACTCCCTCCTTCTTGCTCTTCTGTTACCCATGGGTCATGGGCTGGGGCTTGTGGCAGGCAGGCAATCTAGGCATCCATGTGTCTCGGGGCTAAGACAGAGGCTGGCAAGGGCTGACTGACGCTGGGTTCTTCTCCTAGGAGCTTCGGCTGGGGCATCTCCCTGAGAAGCAGCATGGAGCAGCCTAACAGTAAAGGCTATAGCCTGGGAAGGACCCCTCAGGGCCCAGAGTGCAGCAGTGCTCCTGCAGTCCAAGTGGGGACCCACAGGGGCCTAGAGTATAACCCGGGGAAGATTCTTCCAGGATCAGACTATGGGTTGGGAAATCCTCCAGCCCTTGACCCCAAGCTCCCACATTTACCCCTGCCCCCGGCCCCACCCACACTCTCAGACTTGGGGCAGCCACGGAAGTCACCCCTGACAGGCACTGATAAGAAGTACCCGCTGATGAAGCAGCGTGGGTTCTACTCCGACATCCTCAGCCCTGGAACCTTAGATCAACTTGGGGTGAGTATGGCAGCCATCCCCTACCAAGCCTCAACCCTTCCTCTGGGCTCCGTTCACCCATCCTTTCATCCTTCTCCCCATCAGTCAGTCCATCTGTTCATTTAGCTGTCTATCGATCTATCCATCTGTCTTTCTATCCATCTACCCCCTATTATCCCCTCATCCATCCTTCCATCCATTTTTCTCACCACCCATGCATCTGTCCATTCATTCGACAACTCATTACTGAGCTCCTGCTGTGTGCCAGGCCCTGGATGGAGCCCTGGAGATGCAGCAGGGATGAGACGCCCACGTCCCTATTGTCATTGTTGTGGGGCAGTGGCTTTGGTAGGGAAGACCCCTTCCCCTGGCTCTGGTTGGGAAGGTTCCACAGATGAGGTGATGTACTGCTGAGATCTAAGAGACAGGATGTAAGAGTGGGGCCTGGGAGCATGTTCCAGGCAGGGGGAGACAACAGGTACAAAGACCTGGGGTCCCTGAGAGAGGGCACGGCTGTGTGAAGAAGAAGGCTAGAATGCGAGGGGAGAGATCGAGGGAGGAGGCTGGGGGCAGGGAAAAGAGAGGGGGGAATGACGAGGAGAGAATTCAGAGTCCTGTAGGTCCCAGGCAGCCTTAGGCTTTAGGCCAGGGAGGGGCCAAGAAAGACAGGGTGAGGACCACCTGATATGCATTAAACCTGCAGTGCCAGTGGCCCTTGGGAGAGGAGGTATGTACAGAGATACCTGCTGGCCTTGCAGTACCTGCTTCATGGCTCAGCCCCGGGATGCACTGTGGAGTGTTCTCAGATCAAGGAGGGGAGCTGGGCTGGACCAGAATGGGGTGGGGCCAGGAAGTCCTGGGTAGCCACAGCTTGTTGCCCACTGTGGCCTTTGAACGGGGAATTGTGCATACTCACTGGTTCTGCCCACTCCTGTGCTCCTGGAGTGCTCCCTGGTGGGTCTCAAGGGAGGCGCCTGGGCTCGGGGTCCCTCCCGGGTCCTGCCTGTCCCTGGGAGGTTGACACATACTCAGGGCTCCATGGTTTGGTTTCAGGAGGTATGTCGTGGCCCCCGAATGAGCCAGAACCTCCTGCGGCAGGCTGACCTTGACAAGTTCACCCCAAGAGGTCAGTGCTCAGGAGGGCTGTGTGAGTGGGTCCCGGTAGGTATTTCAAAGCAGGCTTTTGGCCTCAGGGAGACAGCCTTTTCTTGGCTGTGGGCCCCAGCTTCCTTAACTGTGGAGCGGGGATAATAAGAAACAGGGTGCTTCACAATTACCCACTCATGGTGAGTGCTCAGTCAGCCACAGCTACCGAGTCATTACTCTTAGTGGAGCCATGACCTTGATGCTGGGCTGGGCTGGGCTGCCAGGGGTCAGAGCCACAGCTTTCTTTCCCTGGCTGAGGTCAGAAGGGCATATGGGTGTATTTTCTGCCTCCTGTGGAATGTGGGCCCTGAAGAGGCCAGGACTGTCTGAGTTGCTTCCTGCTGGAGACCCAGCACCTAGAACAGGACCTGGCTCAGATAGATGCCTGGGAGATCCCTGCTGAAGGAGGAAAGGGGGACTCTCCTCTCAGGCTCATGGAGAGTCTCAGAGCACAGCTAGGGTGGCGAGGACTGGGACAGGCCTGCAGGGTGTGGGGCCTTCCCCAGTGGCAGAGGGGAGAACAGGGGCTCCAGGAGAAGCTCTGAGTGGTGGTGAGGAACTGCGCAGGTGGCCTCCCACCTGGCCAGGGTTTGTGCCTCTCCCCTGGCAGACAGGACGTCCCCTTGGATCAGGCCCAGATGCCCTGTGGCTGCCCCTGTCCGCCCCTCCTCCCCACCCCCAGGAAAGACCTGGCTCCTTCCTGCCGCTGTCCACACCAGTCCTCTTGGAGCCCACAGGCCTTAGAAAACATCACGAGCATGTACATTTGCGCACTTATCTGAGGGTCTGGCCTATTGTTTCCAACAGTCTCACAAGTATCTGTGACCCAGAAAATGGTTACTAACCGCAGATCTCAGCACTGGGGGTATTGGGAATGGTGCTCCTGCCACACATGGCAGGGTGGGCTGGGGGTGATTGGCAGATGGCAGCTCTACCCACATGAGAAAAAGCAGCCCCCAGCGGCACAGGGTAGTGTCAATCAGGGCTCTCAGCAACCAGTAGTGGACATTCACTCTGCTGCCCGAGGGCTGGGGTAGCCTGCCCCGGCCCGCGGACGCAGCAGGGTCTGGAGGCCAGGCATGGGTCTCTTCGCCCTGGCTCCTTCTTGGCCACTGAGTGGGTCCTGGGGGTGGAGTGGTGTCACGCAGCCTCAAGAGCTGGTGATTAGGGCTCTGAAAACAGCCTTCTTGGCAGCCCTGAGATCTGGGCATTTTTGATGCAAAGAGGGAGGTCCCTTGACTACTCAGCAGCCTGGTGAGAGCAGACTCCAGCTAATGGTGGAGGCTCCGCTGAGCCTTGGACACTGCCCAGGCACCACCTCTGGTGGCCTCTGTGGGACCCCAGATGCCACTCCCAAGGTGGGCCCTCCTGCAGCATGACCACCTCTTGGTCCCAGGGAGGCAGTAAGGCCCAAGGAAGGGGTCACCAGGGCCCCTGGGACTCTGGACCCTTCTTCCAACTGGAAAATAGAGGGGACCATCAGGAGGCTGCCCAGAGCCCACCCAGGCCCTGGGAAATGTGGCCATCCCCTCCTAAAGCAAATGCCCACACCCCTCTCCCCACCTCTGTGGTCTCACTTTGCCTGGGACTTTCTTCTCCATTGATTATCTGGTGTCACAGGCAAACTGAGATGGATGGTCACCCTATCAATGGGTCTCTCCCCACCAACTCCCCTTCCCCCAGGTATGGAATGGAAGCCTCTGTATACCCTGCTCATCTAAGTAGCGGCAGTCATTTTTTGACTTGAGGGTCCTGCAGGGCTGGAGTAGTGGAGCCACCCACAGTATCCAGGATGCCTCAAGCTGGCAATGGCCTCAGGGAATGAATATCAGACTCCAATATGCTGAGGGGGCCTCTGCAGTAGGGGTGGGAGGAGACCATCCCATTTCATCTTCCTATCCAGTGGTAACACTCTCCCTTGTTGAACTCAACACCTGGCTTGAGCAATGGCCCCTGGTGCTGGGTGGTGTGGAAAGGAGTGGTCAAGCATGCTGGCTCTGGACAGGGAGAGCAGGGCTAGGACAGACCTTCTGGAAGCCACCATCCCTCCAGGCTCATAGCCCCAGGACACCTGGTGCCATGCCTGTGTTCTCCCAGCCACTGCCCAGCCACAGGCAAGCTTTGAGCTTCCCACACTCCAAAGCATACTACCTGGTTGGTAATTTATTTTATGGGGTGGAGGCTGGTTTTTGGGTGCTGGCCTGAGCCCTGAAGCCCCTGCCCCTGCTTCTACCTGCAGTCGGAAGCTTTGAGGTTCCTGAAGACTTCCAGGAGCGCATGGAGCAGCAGTGCATCGGGTCCACCACCCGGCTGCTCGCCCAGACTGACTTCCCACTGCAGGCCTACGAGCCCAAGATGCAGGTGCCTTTCCAGGTGCTGCCAGGCCAGCATCCTCGCAAGATTGAGATCGAGAGGTACGGCTGGGTGGGCTGTGGGGAGACTGTCGGGGAGGTGGCATCCACCCGCCTCAGGGGATGAGGAACTGCAGATCACCAGGTGATAATCCTCATGGCAGAGCCTGTGCACAAGTGTTTAGATCGAATCTTCTAGCCCTTTGGTGTCTTAATAGGAACAATTTACGTTATGGAGTTGGGGAAGGTGGCATTGAGGTCAATGAATGGGACTGCGGGGCGGGACAGAAGGGCAGTTGGAGCCCAGGACACCAGCCCCAGCCACCACACCACTTCCTGATGAGTCTCAGAGGGGTGGAGGGCTCCAGAGGGGTCTCTCGGCCACACCCCTGTCCCCACAACCCCGTAGGCCCTTGTGGACACCCATGGAGCCACCTCACACGAGCCAAGCCATCCTGAGGTCCCCTCCCTGCCCTTGACCAGGAGGAAACAGCAGTACCTGAGCCTGGACATTGAGCAGTTGCTGTTCAGCCAGGGCATCGACTCCAACAAGCTCATGCCCAGGCACCTGGACCACCAGCACCCCCAAACCATCGAACAGGGCCATGACCCAATCTTCCCCATCTACCTCCCACTGAAGGTGAGCCGGGCTTCCACAGATGGTTGAGAGACAGGGGCAGAAGTGCAGGACCCCAGTGGACGCTCAGGAGTCAGATCTGAAAGGGGATTCCCCCACCAGTCACCAGCACACTCTTGTCAAACAGGGCAGGTCAACAATAGGAACCCATCCCAGGTACTTTGAGCATCCTAGATGGGGCAGGTGGGGCCCCCAGCCCCCCTAGAATGCTGAGTCTTTGCTTCTTCCCTGGGCAGCCTGTATGCCTGGCCTCGGCCTCCGTGCCACCCATGGGCAACCTAGATGCGGCCCAGCTGGACTGTGGAGTATCCTCCCTGACCAGTGCCCGCCTCAGGGTAGGCAGCTGCTTCTGGGCTCACTGAAATGGGAAGAGCAGGGATGGAAGAGGGAATCAGTGCCACCCCCGTGGGGTATAAATCAGGAAACGAATCCAGGGAGGAGAAAGAGGGAGCATGGCCTGGCTCTGGCTTTCACCCACCTCCCCTCCTCTCCTCTCTGCGGCCCTGAGTGTCTCTCGCCTGGTGGTCCCTGTAAGGAGGTAAAGCTGAGTCTAGCTAAGGGCTACCTCCTGACAGCCCCGAATCTCACCAGTTCCAAGTTGGAGTAGGGTCCCCAGGAAAACCCAAGGGCCACCTCTTCCCTTGGTCCTGAGCTAGGTGGCCCTGGGCAGTGGGAGAAAGAACCCACCACCTGCTCTGGGTCCCTGGACACCCCTCTGCCTGAGCCTCAGGTGGCTTGGCTGGATGGGGATCCAGGGTTTCACCCAACCAGATGCTGTGTACCCCTGGGAGCAGCAGTGGAGAGGCTCAACCCCCAGTCCTAGCAGTGGAGAGGGTCAGCCCCCAGTGGAGAGGGTCAGCCCCCAGTGCCACCTTGCAGCTCTCTCACCTGGGGAGGGTATTACTTAGGCACCCCATCCTTTGGCACACCCAGTCCCACCTGGGCCCCACTAGAGGAGCTGCTTCTTCCCAATGTTGGCCTGCTTTCTTCCAGGTATTTGACAATGAGGACTTTGACTGCCGGACTCCCAGAGAGTGGATCAACATGGGCTTGGAGCCAGGGTCTCTGGACAGGAAACCTGTCCCGGGAAAAGCCCTCTTGCCCACTGATGACTTCCTGGGGCATGGTGAGCAAGGCCACTCTGGAGTGGGGACACTATCTCATTCCAGTAGCAGCCCTGTCACAGACTCCTGGGCTCCCCTGGGACCTGGCAGCCACCGGAGGCGAGGGGTCTTTCAAGACCTCTCAGCTGGTAGACAGGCCTAGAAGCTGGCCTCACAGAGGCAGGAATGCAGGGACCAGGGAAAACATCGTTGGGAGAGCTGGAAAAGGGACAGCTGGATGGTGTCTAGTGTTTTGAAAAATCTTTGATTTATTGGTAGTAAAATATGTACATGCTCATTGGGAATATTGAAACATGCACGAGGGGCACAATTCCACTCTCCATCCCTCCACCCAGAAGCCCCATTGTTGCAGCTCTAACCATGGCCTCTCAGCTTTCACTTTTGTGTGCACAACACACACCATCACACACTTGCTCACAAACACAAATCCCCATCATCACACACATTGACAAGCACATTCACTGTCATACACACCCCCAACAACCTCTCTTGTGTACACATTTTCACCACACAGAAACACACTCTCCTATTGTCACCCATCCACAACCACTGTCACACCTCACCATGCCCACTTGATGCCACACAGGTTTGCCTTGTCTTGGCCTTGTCAATAATCTGCCCAGGGAGTGCCCTTGGCTGCTCCTTTGGCCTCAGGCCTGCCCCAGCGGCTGTGGAGGCTCTCCCATTTCCTGCTGTGGAAAGCAGTGCCAGGTGGGCATCCGCAGCTGACATCTCGGCCTGCACGGCTGGGTGTCGATGCAACATCCTAGGAAGGTGTGGGCCATCATTTGGGAAGTTGGAGGTGGCTGTTCCCCTGTGCAGGGCTGAAGGCTGCTCTGCTCCCCACCTGGTGGGTGGACAAGATGCTGTGAGTTGGGAGTGGGCCCAGTAGGCCAGCTCCAGGTGGGAAGCAGGGTTGTGATAGCCATGACTGGTTTTAAGCCTGCCCAGTGAGTCCATTGAGCAGGCTGTAAATTTATGTTTCATTTTAAAAACATCTTAATGCTAGAATCAATTTCTCTGAACTAGACAAGAAGCCCAGAATGTTACCTTTACTTTGGACTTAATTACAAAAATAATTTAACTCAATTGTTCCCAGATCGCCAATTCCTGGTGATAAAACCAGAAGGTTTGGGGCTGCATTAGCCTTAAATGCACCAAGTAGCAGCCTCCATCGAGGTGCTCTGCTTACACCCCTTCACATGGCCCTGGTCTGGGGTGGTGGCCCAGGTGGGAGGAGGGGTGAGCAGGGAGAGGCTCTGCTGGGGACCTCTTGTTTTCTGCTGGGAGCTTCCAGTGACATCTTTTCATCTGAGTTGAGCCGAGACAAGGCCAGTATTTTCAGAAAGGCAACCTACTAGGAAGGGAAGGGAAAAGCAAAACAGAGAAGCAAAATAGGTGAGCTATAGACCTTGTTTACCATCCTTTACTCAGCTAGCTGGTGTCAACAGGTGGGGAGCATTTCCTGAGAATTCCAGCCCTTCCTTCCTCAACCTAGTCTGTAGAACTCAAACAAAACAAAAAAAACCAGGGGGCCAGGCGTGGTGGCTCATGCCTGTAATCCCAATACTTTAAGAAGCCAAGGCAGGCGGATCATGAGGTCAGGAGTTCAAGACCAGCCTGAACAACAGATGAAACCCCGTCTTTACTAAAAATACAAAAATTAGCTGGGCATGATGGTGTGCACCTGTAATCCCAGCTACTCGGGAGGCTGAGGCAGGAGAATTGCTTGAACCTGGAAAGCGGAGGTTGGAGTGAGTGGAGCTCGCGCCATTGCACTCCAGCCTGGGCAACAGAGTGAGACTCCATCTGGAAAAAAAAAAAAAACAGAAACAAACAAAACAAAAATAAACAGTTTTTATCTCGGCTCACTGAAACCTCCACCTCCCAGGTTTAAATAATTTTTGTGCCTCAGCCTCCCAAGTAGCTGGGACTTCAGGCACACATCATTACTCCCAGCTAATTTTTTTGTATTTTTGTAGAGACGGGATTTTACCATGTTGCCCAAGGTGGTCTCGAACTCCTGAGCTCAGGCAATCCGCCCACCTCTGCCTCCCAGAGTGCTGGGATTATAGGCATGAGCCACCGCGCCTGGCCTCAGTTTGTTTTTAAGCCACTATGTATTGCGGCTGCTCTGCTGGGCACCATATGTGTGCATCTTCCTTCTGCAAAAGTTTATCGAACACCTGCAAGGTACTAGTTTCCATTCCAGGCCCAGGGACACAGCTGTGACTGAGATGGGACAAAGTCGCTCCTGCCCTTAGTGAGTTGACACTAGTGTGAGCAGGTCAGCTGTGAACCAGGAGCTGATGCATAAGTAGTGTGACTTTCGGCACTGTGAGGAACAGAATGGGGTAACAAGTCAGAGAGTGCCTGGGACAGGGGTGCTATTTTAGGCACAGAGGCTTCTCCTTGGAGAAGGGAACAACCAGCAATGAGGCGACCTGAGTGGAGAGTGTTCCAAGCCGAGGGCACAGGCAGTGCAGAGGCTCTGCCGTGGGAACAAGGTCGAAACTCACAGGAATAGCCAGACATCCAGTGTGGCTAGAGAGAAATGAGTGAGGGGCAGCGGTGGGAGGTAAGCTAGAGAAGTGGGCACAGGCTTTCAGCCCAGGAAACCAGTGGGAGGCCAATCCTGACCAAAGAGCGGCTCCTGCCCTGCCCTGCCCTGCCGTGCCCTGTTCTCAGATGAGGGGCCCAGGGACTGAGCAGCCAGGGGCAGCCTGTGGGGAGGGCTTCACCCTGGCCATGGTCACCTTGAAGGGGGTCCAACTCATTCCTGACCTTTACAACTGGGTTCTCAGCAGGTCTCCTTTAACTTGGGGCTTTCGTGCCACCTGTCCCAGCCTCCCATTGGCCTGTGTGTCTCTCTGCCCTGGTGGAGGTTGTGCTGAGCACCAGGGCAGAGAAGCCTGGTCTTTCTGGCTCCTTCTGCAGCACGGGGTTCCTCAGAGGCGAGCTCGGCTGGGAGGAAGCAGGGCCCTGGCTCTGCTGGAGCAGAGGGGGGCATCCCAGCGGGAGAGACGCCAGACTGGTGATCTCTGAGACCCATTCCCAGCGATGCTGCCAGCACTCAGAGGCCCCTTCCTGCCCCCATGGCGGGGGGCACTGGTGGAGTTTCTCCTCCTGTTTCAGAGGACCCCAAGAGTCAGAAGCTGAAGTACAAATGGTGCGAGGTCGGCGTCCTGGACTACGACGAGGAGAAGAAGCTATACCTGGTACACAAGACAGACGAGAAAGGCCTGGTGCGAGATGAGATGGGGAGGCCCATCCTGAATGCAGGGGTCACCACTGAAGGTATGAGGTCCTGCCGCTGCCCCAGGCAGAACCCCAGCTTGGGCCTGGCCGGCCTGTGACTGAGGCCAACTCCGCCCAGGGCACTGCCAGATCAGGTCTGAATTCTACTTTTCTGTTTGCCCAATGCCCTGACCGGTGAGGACCAGAGGACTCATCACTCAGAGACCCCAGAAAGGGCAAGTGGCCATTATTTGGCATGTCAGCTCTGAGCCCAAGTCCCATCAATAAGCGATGCCTGCCCTGGGTGTGGGATCAAGGGATGGGCACTTGAACAGCCATGCCTGTATAACTCCTTGTCTAAATACTTTTCTTTTTTTTTTTTTTTTTTTTTTTGAGATGGAGTCTGGCTCTGTCACCCAGGCTGGAGTGCAGTGGTGCAATCTTGGCTCATTGTAACCTCTTCCTCCTGGGTTCAAGTGATTCTCGTGCCTCAGTCTCCCAAGTAACTGGGATTACAGGTGCCCACGACCACACCCAGCTACTTTTTTGTAATTTTAGTAGAGACAGGGTTTTACCACGGTGGCCAGGTTGGTCTCGAACTCCTGGCCTCAAGCATCCTCCCTCCTTGGCCTCCCAAAGTGCTGGGATTACAGGTGTCAGCCACCACGCCCCAGCCTTGTCTAAGTGCTTTCACATCCGTCCATGACACCTTGTGAGATGGGCCGGGCAGGAAGTGTCGTCATGCCCATTTCACAGATGCAACAGGGGGTCAGAAGAGGGAAACAATTTGTTCAGGGCCACTGGGCATCCACGGCACAGCCGGCCGGAACCTAGTGTTTCAGCCCAGAAAGCCTGATTGTGTGTCCCCTTCTCCCTCTCACCCGGCCCCCAGGAAGGCCACCCCTTCAGGTCTGTCAGTACTGGGTGCCACGGATCCAGCTTCTCTTCTGCGCTGAGGACCCTTGCATGTTCGCACAACGTGTGGTCCAGGCCAACGCCCTGCGCAAGAACACGGAAGCACTGCTGCTCTACAACTTGTATGTGGACTGCATGCCCTCTGACGGCCAGCATGTCATCAGTGAACAGAGCCTGAGCAAGATCAAGCAGTGGGCCCTGAGCACGCCTCGGATGCGCAAAGGCCCCTCGTGAGTCCCCGCTCGGCCTTCCCTATTCTGGGCATCACCTTCTTCAGGGAACCTTCCCATAGGAAGTTGGTGCTACTCCAGGGTGGAGCTCCCTCAGGGCTCATCTGTTTGAGACTGTCCTGGCTATTGCCCTCTGGACTTGTTGGGGCCTCAAACAATTTTTTGTTCATCTCCAGATCCCTCATTATCCATATGGACTCCTGGATCCTTATTTTATTCAAAGGGTTACAATTGACTACTTTTTAAAAATTTTGATGCTCAAATTGTCCTAGATTTGGCCAGCGGGAGACTTTTCAAGCTAATTCCTGTGTCGCCTTACCATGTTTCCATCATTCTTCAAAACCCTTAGATGATGATTTATTAGCAAGATGCCCCTAAGATAACTTTACTTTCTGGCACAGCAAGAATTTCCAGGCTCATTGTGTACTTTCCCAGGTCCAGTCCTGAAACCAGCTGTTTCTCCAAGGAAGCTCTTTTTATTTATTATTTTAGTTTATTTTTTGAGACAGGTTCTTACTCTGTCACCCAGGCTGGAGTGCCTGGAGTGCAGTGGGGCCATCTTGGCTCACTGTAGCCTCAGTTTCCTGGGCTCAAGCAAGCCTCCCACCTCAGCCTCCTGAGTAGCTGGGACTTAGGCATGTACCACAACATCTGGCTAATTTTGTTATTTTTTGTAGAGACAGATCTCCCTATGTTGCCCAGGCTGGCCTTGAATGCCTAGGCTCAAGTAAATCTCCCACCTTGGCTTCCCAAAGTGCTGGGATTATAGGCATGAGCCATCATGCCCGGCTGGAAGTTCCTTTTAGTTGAGGAATTATATTTAGAAGCCAAGATCTGGGCATTAGATGTGCTCATTGCTACTGGGATATCATTGCTTTGAGACTCCCACAGCAGACAGATCTGGGAAATATATATACAGATGGTCCCCAATTTATGATAGTTTGACTTACCATTTTTCTTTTTCTTTTCTTTTCCTTTTCTTTTCTTTCTTTCTTTCTTTTTTTTTTTTTGAGATGGAGTTTGACTCTTGTCACCCAGGCTGGAGTACAGTGGCTTGATCTTGGCTCACTGCAACCTCCGCCTCCCAGGTTCAAGAGATTCTCCTGCCTCAGCCTCCTGGGTAGCTGGGATTAAAGGCACCCGCCACTATGCCTGGCTAATTTTTGTAGTTTTAGTAGAGATGAGATTTCACCATTTTGGCCAAGCTGGTCTCGAGCTCCCGACCTCAGGTAATCCACTCGCCTTGGCCTCCCAAAGGGATTACAGGTGTGAGCCACCATGCCCAGCCAACTTACCATTTTTCAACTTTATGATGGTGTGAAAGTGATATGCATTCAGTAGAAACTGTACTTCAAGCATGCACACAACCAATGTTTTTTTTTCATTTTCAGTACAGTATTCAATACATTTCAAGAGATTTTAAACACTTTATTATAAAATAGGCTTTGTGTTACATAATTTTGCCCAATTGTAGGCTAATGTGAGTGTTCTGAGCATATTTAAGGTAGATTAGGCTAAACTATGGTGTTCAGTAGCTTAGGTGTATCAAGTGCATTTTAAACTTATGATAAGTTTAGTTGGAATGTAGCCCCACTGTAAGTAGAGGAGCATCTGTAGTTTTATAGTCATGCATCACTTAATGATAGGGACATGTTCTGAGAAATGTGTCATTAGGTGATTTCATCATTGTGCAAACATCATAGTGTGTACTGACACAGACCTTGATGATATAGCTGGCTGCACACCCAGGATATATGGTACAGCCTAGTGCTCCTAGGCCACAAACCTATACAGGCTGTGATTACTGAATACTGCAGGCAACTGTAACACAACGGCAAGTATTCATGTATCTAAACATAGAAAAGGTACAGTAAAAATACAGTATACAAGATAAAACATGGTACATCTATGTAAGGCACTTACCATGAATGGAGCCTGCAGGGCTGGAAGTTGCGGTGGTTGAGTCAGTGAGTGAGTGGTGACTGAACGTGAAGACCTAGGATATTACTATACACTACTGCGGACTTGATAAATACTGTATACACTTAGGCTACACTAAATTTATTTTAAATTTTTCTTTCTTCAATAATAAATTAACCCAACACACCTTAGGGCCAGGCATGATGGCTTACATCTATAATCCCAGCACTTTGGGGGGCCAAGGTGGGTGGATTGATTGAGGCCAGGAGTAGAAGACTAGCCTGGCCAACATGGCAAAACCCCATCTCTACTAAAAAAAAATACAAAAATTAGCTGAGCGTGGTGGCACACGACTATAATACCAGTTACTTGGGAGGCTGAGGCCCTAGAATCGCCTGAACCTGGGAGGCAGAGGTTGCAGTGAGCTGAGATTGCGTCACTGCACTCCAGCATGGGTGACAGAGTGAGACTGTCTCAGAAAAATGTATGTAATTAATTAATTAACTAACTTTAGCTTACTTTAACTTTTCTTTCTTTCTGTTTTTTTTTTTTGAGACAGAGTCTCGCTCTGTCGCCCACGCTGGAGTGCAGTGGCGTGATCTCTGCTCACTGCAAGATCCGCCCCCCGGCGCCCGCCACCATGCCCGGCTAATTTTTTTGTATTTTTAGTAGAGACAGGGTTTCACCATGTTCGCCAGGATGGTCTCGATCTCCTGACCTCGTGATCCACCTGCCTCAGCCTCCCAAAGTGCTGGGATTACAGGCATGATCTATAAGCTTTTTAAAAAAATGTGTGATTTTTTTTTTTGCTTTTTAAACAAAAAAAGCAATGTGTGATTTTTTTTTTTTTTTTTTGCTTCTCTCCCGAGTAGCTGGAATTACAGGTGCCTGCCACCACACCCAGCTAATTTTTGTATTTTTTAGTAGAGACGGGGTTTCACCATGTTCGCCAGGATGGTCTCGATCTCCTGACCTCGTGATCCACCTGCCTCAGCCTCCCAAAGTGCTGGGATTACAGGCATGATCTATAAGCTTTTTAAAAAAATGTGTGATTTTTTTTTGCTTTTTAAACAAAAAAAGCAATGTGTGATTTTTTTTTTTTTTTTTGCTTCTCTCCCGAGTAGCTGGAATTACAGGTGCCTGCCACCACACCCAGCTAATTTTTGTATTTCTTAGTAGAGACGGGGTTTCACCATGTTGGCCAGGTTGGTTTTGAACTCCTGACCTCAGGTGATCCACCTGCCTCGGCCTCCCAAAGTGCTGGGATTATAGGTGTGAGCCACCGCACCCGGCCCTTTTGCTCTTTTTCCCTTTTGTTTTTTGTTTTTTGTTGTTTTGAGATGGAGTTTTGTTCTTGTTACCCATGCTGGAGTGCAATGGCGCAATCTCAGCTCACTGCAACCTCTGTCTCCTGGGTTCAAGTGATTCTCCTGCCTCAGCCTCCTGAGTAGCTGGGATTACAGGCATGTGCCACCACGCCCAGATAATTTTGTATTTTTAGTAGAGACGGGGTTTCTCCATGTTGGTCAGGCGGGTCTCAAATTCCTGACCTCAAGTAATCTGCCCACCTCGGCCTCTGAAAGTGCTGGGATTACAGGCCTGAGCCACCGCACCCGGCCCCTTTTTCCCATTTTTTAAATAGAATTATTCATTTTTTTCCTTGTACAGTTGTTTAAGTTTCTTATAGATTCTGGATATTAGACCTTTGTCAGATGCATAGTTTGTGAATATTTTCTCCAGTTCTGCAGGTTGTCTGTTTACTCTGTTGATACTTTCTTTTGCTGTGCAAAAGCTCTTGAATTAGGTCCCACTCTTCAATTTTTGTTTTTGTTGCAATTGCTTTTGAGGACTTAGTCATAAATTCTTTCCCAAGGCCAACATCCAGAATGGTGATTCCTAGGTTTTCTTCTAGGATTCTTATGGTTTGAGGTCTGACATTTAAATCTTTAATCCTGGCTGGACAAGATGGCTGACACCTGTAATCTCAGCACTTTGGGAGGCCGAGCAAGGTGGATGGTTTGAGCTCAGGAGTTCAAGATCAGCCTGGACAACATGGTGAAACCCCATCTCTACCAAAGAACATAAAAAAATTAGCCAGGCATGGTGGGGCGCGCCTATTGTCCCAGCTCCTTGGGAAGCTGAGGTAGGAGGATCACTTGAACCTAGGAGGTGGAGGTTGCAGTGAGCCGCACTGGTACCACTGCACTCCAACCTGGGTGACAGAGTCAGACCCTTTCTCAGGAAGAAAAAAAAGAACAATTTAAATATGTAATCCATCCTGAGTTAATTTTTGTTTCTGGTGAAAGGTAAGGGTCCGGTTTCAATCTTCTGCATATGGCTAGCCAGCTATCCCAGCACCATTTATTGAATAGGGAGTCCTTTCCCCACTGCATATTTTTGTCAATTTTGTTGAAGATCAGATGGCTGTAGGTGTGTGGCTTTATTTCTGGGCTCTCTATTTTGTTACATTGGACTATGTGTCTGTTTTTGTAACAGTACTATGGTGTTTTGGTTACTGTAGCCTTGTAGTACAGTTTGAAGATAAGGTGATGCCTCCAGCTTTGTTCTTTTTGCTTAGGTTTGCTTTGGCTATGCGGGCTCTTTTTAGGTTTCATATGAATTTTAGGCTAATTTTTTCCTAGTTCTGTGAAAAATGACTTGGTAGTTTGATGGGAATTGTGTTGAATCTGTAGATTGCTTTAGACAGTGTGGCCATATTAACAGTATTGATTCTTCCAGTCCATCAGCATGGAGTGTTTTTCCATTTGTTTGTGTCATCTCTGATTTCTTTTAGCAGTGTTTTGTAGTTCTTCTAGAGATCATTTACCTCCTTGGTTAAATGTATTCCTAGGTATTTTGTGTGTGTGTGTGGCAATTGTAAATGGGATTGTGTTCTTGATTTGGCTCTTAGCTTGAACATTATTGGTGTATGGAAATGCTCCTGATTTTTGTACATTGATTTTGTTTCCCGAAACTTCACTGAAGTTGTTTATCAGTTCCAGGCCTTTTGATGGAGTTCTAATGCTTTTCGATCTGCATTTTACTTTGTTTGATATCAGCGTAGCAACCTGACATTTTATTATTTCCGTTTGCCTGAGAAATCCCTCTATTTTGAGCCTTTCTAAACTAATTCATTTTAGATCAGTTTCTTACTTTCAGCATATAGTTTGGGTTTTATTTGTGAGCCAAATTTAAAACCTTTTTCTTGTAATAAGCCCATTCACATTTATTGGTATGGCTAATAGGTTTGACCTCAACTCAGTCATATTGCTTCATATTATAATCATTATGTGTATTGTAATATAATGCTATGTTTCTTTCTCTACATTATATGTTTTCTTAGTTCTTCTATTTTAAAAATTCCTTTTGGCATTTAGGAAGGTCTGTACCGTTATTTTAGTGGTTTCTTTTATAGTCTCCATTATCCCCTGCTTTCCTACTTAACCCTTTAGTATCTGTCCTGTTTCATTGTTGTTGTTTGTTTTGTTTTGTTTTGAGACAGGGTCTTGCTCTGTCACCCACGCCACAGTGCAGTAGCACAACAATCATAGCTCACTTCAGCCTTGACCTTCTGGGCTCAAGCTATCCTCATACTTCAGCCTCCTGAGTAGCTGGGACCACAGGTGTGAGCTACCACGCTTGGTTAATTTTTGTATTTTTTTAGAGACAGGGTGTCCCTATGTTGCCCAGCCTGGTCTCAAACATTTGGGCTCAAGCAATCTGCTCACCTCAGCCTCCCAAAGTGCTGGCATTATAGGAGTGAGTCACCATGCTCAGCTCTACTTAATTAATTAATTTATTTATTTATTTTCGAGATGGAGTCTTGTTTTGTCACCCAGGCTGGAGTGCAATGGTGCGATCTCTGCTCACTGCAACCTCTGCCTCCCGGGCTCAAGCTATTCTCCTGCCTCAGCCTCCTGAGTAGCTGGGATTACAGGCGCCTACCACCATGCCTGGCTATTTTTTGTATTTTTAGTAAAGAAGGGATTTCATCATGTTGGCCAGGCTGTTTTCGAACTCCTGACCTCAAATGATTCACCCACCTCGGCCACCCGAAGTGCTGGGATTACAGGCATGAGCCACTGTGCCCAGCCTCTACTTAATATTTTAACTGTTAAAATATTATTACTATTCCTCCACACTCATCTCCACCTTTTAGTCTTCAACTTACAATAAACTCTATTAAACGTATCAATATTTTTTCTGAAGTCTCCCGTCATCTCTTGGTTGTATAAAGTTCCTTTTCTAGTAGATTCCTCATGAAGAGCTCAAGGGTATAGAGTTCCTTGAGTTCTCACACGTTTAAAACGTGAAGGACAGCTTGACCAGATATAAAATTCTTAGTTCACAACTTTTATTCTATGAGTTTTTTAAAAATTCTCCACTTTGGTTGCCTTGCCTGTGTGATGCTTTTAAGAAGTCTGAGGTTGGCCGGGCATGGTGGTTCACGCCTGTAATCCCAGCACTTTGGGAGGCTGAGGTGGGTGGATCGCCTGAGGTCAGGAGTTTGAGACCAGCCTGGTCAACATGGTGAAACCCCATCTCTACTAAAAATACAAAAAAAAAAAAAAAAGCCAGATGTGGTGGCAGGTGCCTGTAATCCCAGCTACTTGGGAGGCTGAGGCAGGAGAATTGCTTGAACCTAGGAGGCAGAGCTTGCAGTTAGCTGAGTTTGTGCCACTGCACTCCAGCCTGGGTGACAGAGCCAGACTCCGTCTAAAAAAAAAAAAATTCCCTTGAATTATAGTTTTAAATCTTGGTTCTGTTCCATTCTTTTGTTTTTCTTCATCAAGGATTCCATTATGTATCTATATCTCTATGTATCTATGTATCTTTTTATATATTGCTGCTGCTTTGCGTATCTTTTAATTCAACCAGTTTCCGACCCTTTTTAGTTTTTTCTAATTTTATTTTTTAAAATTTTATTTTCTTTCTTTTACTTCCTTTATTTTCTCTCATTTTTATTCTCTTGGTTATATCCTGCCTTTCTTCAATTTACTTCATTATGCTTTGATTTGACTCTGTTTTCTCTCGGTCACCTTGTAATTTCAGCTTCCTCCCCGTGATACTTTTATTTTCCATTTTTTCCTTGAGCTTAATTAAGTCTCTTTTCTTACCGACATTTGTCCATTTATATGTTTTATTTTTGAATTTCTGATTCAAGGTGGTTTTTCAGATGCCCAAACACTCGTTTAAGGCTATTTAGCTGAAGTATTGTGTTACAGTTTTCTTCTGCTTGGTACTTGTTTATTTTTTTAGGGGTGATGGGAATTTTATCAGTTAAGATGCTCTTGTCTTCTCAAATGTGCAAACAAAGCTAAAAGATGCTCTCTTTTTCTTATAGAAGCAAATGTAGACGGTGTTCACCTATTCATTTCAGGATTTGGAGTGATTTGCAAGCTTTCTAGTTCAAGGGCGCCCTCTTCTGTCAGTATTGCACATTAGTTTTTTTTGTTTGTTTGTTTTTAGAATGTGCTCTGTGTGTGTGTCTGTGTGTGTGTGTGTGTGTGTGTGTGTACACACGTGCTGGGGAGAGGGATGTGGGTCCTCCAAGGTTTTTGTCCTCTTATCTTGCAGAACTCAACATTTCACTTTTGCTTCTTTTCCCTTATCCTCCAGTCTACAAATGACCCCTTTCCTTCTGCCTCCTGTCCCATAAGTCATATGCCTTTCAAAGAACACTGCCTTTGAATTGCATGCCCTTAAGTCCCTTCCTTGTAGTAAGTGCTCTGATTTACCAGGGCTTTTTTTCAGTATTTTTACAGTTAGGGTTACTTTCTCTTTTTTTGAGATACGGTCTCACTTTCACCCAGGCTGGAGTGCCGTGGCATAATCACAGCTAACTGCAGCCTCAAACTCTTGGGCTCAAGTAATCCTCCTGCCTCAGCCTCCCTGGTAGCTGGGACTACAGGCATGTGCCACCACACCCGCTATTTTTTTATTTTTTGTAGAGATGGGGGTCTCACTTTGTTGCCCAGGCTGGTCTCGAATTCCTGGGCTCAATTCATCCACCCACATTGGCCTCCCAAAGTTCTGGGATTATAGGCATTAGCCACTGCGCCCAGCCTGGGTTACTTTCTCTTTCTGGTAGGATTTTATTTATTTATTTATTTATTTATTTATTTATATTTATTTTTTGAGATGAAGTCTTGCTCTGTCACTCAGTCTGGAGAGCAGTGGTGTGATCTCAGCTTACTGCAACCTCTGCCCTCTGTGTTGAAATGATTCTCCTGCCTCAGCCTCCCGAGTAGCTGGGACTACAGGTGGTTACCACCACGCCTAGCTAATTTTTGTATTTTTAGTAGAGACGGGGCTTCACCATGTTGGCCAGGCTGGTCTTGAACTCCTGACCTCAGGTGATCCACCCACCTCGGCCTCCCAAAGTGCTGGGATTACAGGCATGAGCCACTGTGCCCGGCCTCTGGTAGGATTTTAGATCTATCTTAGGGTTACCACTATTTCCCTTTTCTGCAGTTTTTCTTAGACTGCCCTTGTTCTCTGTGAAAACTTGCAGCAAGAGTGTGAGAGACAGCTCACTGGAGATAGATTTTTTTTTTTTAATTTACAGATAATTTGAAGTCTAGGCATTCTGCTGATTCTAGTTGTGCTAAAGGTGTGGGTTTTGGTAGTGTTAGTTTTTTCTTCCTTCCTTCCTTCCTCCCTCCCTTCCTTCCTTCCTTCCTTCCTTCCTAGGATGTGTTGGGAAATTTGAATCGATATAGCCACCTTACCTTGGCTGTCCAGAAGTCTGTTTCTTGAATTTTATTCAATTTATAATGTTTTTGGCTTTAAGTATCAAAGATGCTGGTCTCAGATTGTCTTAGACAGCAGGGAAGTGCATTCCTGTACCTGTAGCAGGAAAACCAATGCAGGACGCCCCAGGGTTGGTGCATCAGGGCCCTGTCTGCAGTGTATGCTGGCTTCATCTTCAGGCGAGATGGCAGCAGCAGTTTCATGACCACAACAAAGGTTGTCTTAGATTGGGTTCCGTAGAAGCAGACCCTGATGTGGGGACTCTTGTGCAAGCGATTTATGAAATCCTCTCAGGAGAAATCTATAAGGAAGTGAAGGAAGCAGGGTATAATAGAAGAAGCAGCTGGTAAAATATGGTTTTAGAAGTCTAGTCTCAGCCTGATCCTGTGGGAAACTCTAGAGCAAGCATGGCACCACCGTATTTGTCCTGGAGGGAGCCAGAACAAGAGGGCTTGACTTTGACTTTTTTTTTTTTTTTTTTTTTTTTGAGACAGGGTCTTGCTCTGTCCCCCAGGCTAGAGTGCAGTGGAGCAATCTTAGCTCACTGCAAAGGGCTTGACTTTTATATATCTGCATCAGTGGTTGATCATAACTGGGACGTGTTCCCACACCTAAACCAACTGCAGTTGGGGCAAGCTCCACCACGACTGGCTTGGACTAGCTGAGATGTACCCCTGTAGCTGGGGCTGTAGTCATCTTCCCCTGAGTCAAGTGAGGAAGGATGGAATTCTGGAACAAAACTGAGGAAGAAGGGAGGGAGTGGATGTCAGGCCAGCAAGCAGCCATGTGTGGAAGTACCCATCTTGTGCCAGACACTGGGTACAGAGGAGTGAACATTTCCAACAAAGAGCCTGCACCCTGGGGACTCTCAGCCTGGCCAGAAAGACAGACAATGAAAAATCTGGGTTTTTAGGGTTCTGATAAGTGCTGTGAAGACCAAGCGAGAGAAGGGAATAGAGATGTCTCAGAAGGGCTTCTTTATATTAGGCGGTCAGGGAAAGCCTTTCTCACAGTGGTGATAACATTTGAGTTGAGGTCTAAAGTAAGGGAAGAAGAGGATTCTGGCAGAAGGAGCAGCAGTGCAGAGGCTGAGGTAGGGACAAGTTTGTGGTACTTGAGGAGCAGGGCAGGGTTACTGTGGTTGGGATGCAGAGAGAGATGTTGGTCTGGGAGGCTGGACCACATGCAGGGGCAGAGACGCGGCCACAGGCCGACAGTCTGTGCAGGCCATGGGTGGTGGTGAGCAGAGGAGTGGCTTGATCGTTTACATGTTTAAAATATATTTTTTCCAACTCAAGTAGAGAATGAGTTGTAAGGGGGCAAGAGTGGAAGCAGGGAGATCAATGAGGAGACTAATGCCATAATCAGGGCCAGAGATCATGATGGTGGCTTGAACCAGAATAGTAGCTGAGCAGCACGGGAGAAAGAGATATATTTGAGGTTTCCTCAGCGGTGGAGCCAATGAGAGCTGCTAATGGACTAAATGCAAGCTCACCCCAGGTCTGGGGATTTCCAATCTCAAAGCCCAGTTTCAGGATCAGGTGCAGGGGTCACCCACCCTCAGGCCCAGTCATGGTGTTGCACATCCAGTAGCAGGAAGAGACCAGGGACCCCTCCGTAGGGCTTTGGTCAGTAGGGTGTGTGCAATGCTGTTCAGAGACAAGGAGGCTAGTGGGGATAGGGGGCAAGCGAGGAACAGGGGATGGAGAGAAATGAAGAGCTTGCCTTCTGACATGCTGGTTCTGACACGTTGTAAGGCATCCAGTGTCAGTGTTGAGTGGGCTGGTGGATAAATGAAGGGAGAGAACTGCAGATAGGTGTGAGGGTTCTGGCTGAATAGAACAGGTGGTGTTCAGAGTCCGAGGCTGGAGGAGCTCACCTGGTGGGAGGTATAGCTGGGGAAGACGAGGGGTCTCAGGACCCCTGGCACAGGCCAACGTTTAGAAGTCAGGGAGGTGAGGAAGATCCAGGGGAAGGGTGTCCCAGAAGCTCCGTGAGGACAGCGGTGCAGCAGAATAGGAGGGAGCCACTGTGCCAAGTCTCTGAGAGTCCAGTGAGATGAGGCAGAGCCTGGAGTGGCCTCAGGGGTAGCGAGGGAAGAGATGAGGATGGGAAGAAGTGAGCACACCAGTTTTTCATAAAGAAACACAAAGAGATAAAGTCAAAGGAGGGAAGGAAGTCAAGGGGCGGCTTCTAATGTGGGACATACCAGAGTGTGTGGGGACCCCTGGGAGGGCGTGGGAGGGAAGGCAAAGAGACTGAGGTGGCTGAGCTTGCTGGGCTTTTCCTGAGAGCAGGGCATGCCTTCTACCCTGGCAGAAGGCAGGGAGATTCCGGGGTGTGAAGATGGGGTCATTTCTGTCCAATGGCTTCTGAGTTCCGGATGAAATTCGAGGGACTTCACCCAGTGAGGGAGGGTGTGTCTGTGAGTTGGCAGAGAAGGTGAGAGAGAGTCTTTTCCAGGTTCCGAGGGAGTGAGTAGATTTCTAGGCCAGGTTGAGGGTGTGTTGAAGGTGAGACCAGTCCCCTGCCTACGAAGTTCTCCAACATCCCGCAGCTCTGGTGCAAGTGTGGGCTGCAGGAAACTGAGATTCCCTTGTGGTGCCATTACCAGGGCTAAAGGGACTATTCAGATGTGGCAGAGGTGGGAGGGAGGGAGAGATCGATGGCAGAGACCAACTCAAGGAACAGAAAGGCCTGTCCGCAAAGGACAGAGATGCCAGCTGGCTCAGATGAGGCCTGAGCAAGCCAGGTGCCGGAACACAGCGGCATAGGCAACGTGTGCTGAGGAGTGAGTGAGCGAGTGAGTGAGTGAGTGAAATGGCCTCCAAGGGGTCTGCCTATGTGAGGACGGGGGAGATGGTGTGCACGCTCACCCCAGGTCTGCTGATTTCCGATCTCGGAGCCCAGTTTCAAAGTGAAGTGCAGGGGTCACCCACCCTCAGGCCCAGTCATGGGCACATCCTGAGTTCTCAGCACCTTCCAGGCGCTGCCATGATTGCCCAGTGAAAGCAAAGGAGCTCAGTGGCAGGCATCTTCCACTGCACCATGGGGCAGCAGGCGGGGGTGCTGCAGGGGAGGTGCAGGCTGTGAGTGGCAGCTCTCTGAGGCTTCCAGGCCCAGGACTTCCTGCACCCCGTCCCACTGCTCTGGGGCCTGCCTTGGCTCCCAGAGACTGGCAACAGAAAATGGGGACAAGGGGCAGAAAATGGGGGACAGAAAATGGGGACAAGGGGGAAAGAAGCAGAGGAGGTGCACTTGGAGGTTAGTGGCTCAGGGCCGGGTGGGGGTGTGCCCATGAATCCAGAAGGGAAGCCCTAAATGCGTGTCCCCAGGTCCATGCCAGAGCAGAGCTTGGGCCCCGGCTGGGGTTCACAGGGTGTGGAGCCCCTGATTCCCCCATCTCCCATCTCTATGGGCAGGGTTCTAGAGCACCTCAGCAGTCTTGCCAGAGAAGTGAGCCTGGACTATGAGCGCAGCATGAACAAGATCAACTTTGACCACGTTGTCTCTTCCAAGCCCGAGACCTTCTCCTACGTCACCCTCCCCAAGAAGGAGGAGGAGCAGGTGCCTGAGCGAGGTGAGGGTCACTGGACCAAGATGGGCTCCATGGCCATCCACCTGGCCAGAGCCCCCTCCCACCTTCCCCTCCAGGATTGTCTGCCCTGCCATTGTGGGCGTCATCAGCCCAACACTCCCTGCACCTCCCCTGTCTCCAGCACTTGTCCCACTTCTCCCTGCTGCCTGGAGGGCTCTGGACCAGGGGAAGGGAAGAAGGCTCTTTTTGAACTTATTAGTGAGAATAGCACAGAAGTTGCAAGGTGAATGTGTACTAGGAAACAATGCTTCAGCAGTAGGTGGAAGGGGCTCTGCTGATCAGACCTAGAGGATAGTCCTTCTTCCTCCAGTAGCAAGAGAGGAGACCGAGTCTCAGAGCAGGACCCCGGGGCCCAAGAACCCTCCTTGCTTTCAGCTCACCTGCCAGCCTTCCTAGACTCAGCTTCCTGCATGTCATGTACTCCGGATGCAGGCTGGGGTGTGGACAGTGGGCATTCCAAGAGGTTCTGGTACCTACCCTTTCCTTCCTTGGTGCCCCAGGGCAGGCTGTGGACAGACCTTAAGCTTGTGTGCAGCACGGGCAGGAGTGGATGAGGAGAGGGTTCTTGGTTCTCATCTACTTCTCAGAGGAGCCTGTGACTAGGGGGTCCTGGAAGGAATTCCTTTACCCATCTCAGAGTAGGCACCTCACTGAAGAGCTTCAGTGCCACTCCGGCAAACTATGGAAAGGCGGGGCTCTGGGAACGCCAGTCACTCTTCAGGGAGAAGGCAGGAGTCATGGCCCTCCTTCAAGCACCCTGTGGATCTGTCCTGTCCCCTGGTTTGGCCAGGCAGGGTCTGATACTGGCCCTTGGCCCCTATCCCTGCAGGGCTGGTGAGTGTCCCCAAGTACCACTTCTGGGAGCAGAAGGAGGACTTCACTTTCGTGTCCCTGCTCACACGGCCAGAGGTCATCACGGCCCTCAGCAAGGTGAGGGCCGAGTGCAACAAGGTGACCGCCATGTCCCTGTTCCACTCGAGCCTCTCCAAGTACAGCCACCTGGAGGAATTTGAGCAGATCCAGTCACAGACCTTCTCCCAGGTTTGTGGGCATCAAGGGCACAGGGGGCAAACGCAGGGCAGACCCTTGGAACTGGCAGGCACAGGTCGGGGCTGCAGCGGAAGGCCAGGGTCAGTGGGCCACATGGTGAGGCTGTGAGCCCCTGCTTTTCTCAAAACCTGGCCTCAGCCTCTTCCTAGACCTTATTGGAGGCTGGGGTGGGGACCAAGGGTAATGACTCATCTTGGAGAGAAAGGGAAAACCAGGGCAGGCTCTCTTTCCAATCCCTTTCCATCCCAACTCTGGTTGCCTCTGAAGCAGATCCCTTGTCTTAGAAGGGGGAGCAGGAACCTCAGGCACCCCCATGTTGACCTGTGGATTGGGGTATGAGGGAGGTGGGGGTGCACCCCCTCTGCACTCAACTCTGTCTCTGTCTGTCTCTCCACCTTATTCTCTATCTTTCCCTCTCAGCCCATTTTTGTCTTGTTCTCTGTCTCTCTGCTTCTCTCATCTCAATCTCTGGGTCTCTGTCTCTCGCTCACGGCTGGAGGGAAAGTCCTGCTTCTGCTGTCCTGTCCTCCCTCCCTCCTTTCTTCCCTCCTTCCCTGCCCAGCAGCTCTGGGCCCCCAGGGTCACATGAGGCTGTTGGTTGGCAGGGCTTGGCAGTAAGTTGGGGTAGGGGACATCCCTCCACAGTCAGATGAGCCCTGAGCCGCCCCAAGCACCCTGGTGCATAGAGTCCCTGAGTGCAGCTATAGGTCGTGGGTCCCCAGGGTGGCCATATGATGATGCCTGTGGCCACTCTAGGTGCAGATGTTCCTCAAGGACAGCTGGATCAGCTCGCTAAAGGTGGCCATGCGCAGCAGCCTGCGCGACATGAGCAAGGGCTGGTACAACCTCTACGAGACCAACTGGGAGGTGTACCTCATGTCCAAGCTGCGCAAGCTGATGGAGCTGGTGAAGTACATGCTGCAGGACACACTGCGCTTCCTGGTGCAGGACTCACTTGCCAGCTTCTCACAGTTCATCAGCGACACCTGTTGCAGCGTGCTCAACTGCACCGATGACATGGTCTGGGGTGACGACTTAATTAACAGCCCCTACAGGTGGGGCCCGGCGGGGCGGAGGCACCTGTTGACACCAGGTGATGTGTCACCTGCTGGGGATGGAGCAGGGTCAGGGACCAGGGCCAGGGTGCCCATCCATGCCAGGTCCCAGGCAGTAAGGAGAGCCGAGCTCCCTGCAGGCTGCTGGGCAATGTCCTGCCAGCCCTGGCTTGCATTGCTTCTGGTGACCTTCATTCACTCAATCATTGAGTTACTCAGTGGAGAAATATTCTTTGAACACTTGCCATGAACCAGGCATGGTTCTAGGGGAACAAGAGAGGCCCAGTCCCTGGTCTCATGGGAAAGACAGGCAGCAAGCAGATAAATACATACACACAGTCATTGCCGGTTTTGGCAGGGGCCATGATAGACACTGGGGGTGGGTCAGGGAGGAGGTGGCATCTGTGCCAAGACCTGAGATGTAAGAAGAAACAAGTTATGAGGCGATGTGAGGTGGAGGCAGGTACAGGCGGAGAGATCAGCATGGGCAGAGGCACCGAGGGGAGGATAGGCCTGGCGCAGTTGAGGAAGGAAAGGCTGGCCAGTGTGGCTGGAGTCAGGGAGGGGAGGGAGGGCTGCTCAGGATGGAGTGGGAGAGCTTGCAGGGACCAGGCCAGATCTCTTGGGGCCTCCTGAGGTCTCAGCTGGGGGCTGGATTTATTCTAAGTACAGTCAGAAGCCATCAGAGGGTTCCAGCTGGGATCCAGGCTTGGTTCTTGCTGTGTAGCGAAGATGGGAAGCCAAGGAAGATGGGCTCCCGGGGAGAGAGTGGGGGCTACAATGCCTAGGCCCTGGCAACCTCAGCACAGGGGTGGGGGGCCTCCCTCTCGTGTGGTGCTCATGGACCTCAGGTCACCTGAGGAGCAGAGGAACCTGTTTGGTTGGCCTGGGTCTTCCTCTCTGGTAACTTGGAGGTGTGTGGGACGAAGGAGAAGGCAAGTATTGTGCATGGAGAGGCTCAAGAGTCATAGCGCTGGCAGGAAGGGCAGAGGGCTGCTCCTGCACACAGGCCTCCTAGGCCTCTGCCCACAGTCAGCTCGCCATTGCCTGCAGGCCCCGGAAGAATCCCCTGTTCATCATGGACCTGGTGCTGGACAGCTCTGGGGTGCACTATAGCACCCCACTGGAGCAGTTTGAGGCATCTCTGCTGAACCTCTTCGACAAGGGCATCCTGGCCACCCATGCCGTGCCCCAGCTGGAGAAGGTACGTGCTGCAGCCTGAGCAGGCCCCAGGCACCTGCTGCCCTGGCTGCTGATGGCTCCCTGAGCTCAGGGTGCTGCCACAGTTCAACTGTATCACAGGCCTCCTGTCGGGCAGGCAGCATGCTCAGCCCTGTAAATCTCAAATATCCCATTTAATCCTCATCACAAGCTGCACTGTGACCTATTAACACTCGCATTCTGTAGGTGGGGCTTGGAGAAGTGTAATAGCCTAAGATTGTGTAGCTGCTAATGTCAGATTTTGTAGGTGAGGCTTGGAGAAGTGTAATAGTTAGCCTAAGATTGCATAGCTGCTAAGTGTTGGAACTGCGATCTGAACCCTGGGCTTGCTGGTCCTCTGCTGCCACAGCCAGATCTGATGTAGACCCCACGCTCTTGATCCCACCCAGCTCTTGGCCTCTCTCTTCATCTCCAGAGGTGGACACAGGCCGGCTTCCACATACAGACCCTCTGTCCAACGTCCCCACCAGTCACTGCCACTGCACACACACCCAGCTGCACACAGCCCACTTCCAGACCCAAGAGCCTCTGTAGCCCTAGCCCTTCTTGTCGCCTTTGCTGGTCAGTTAGAGCCTTCATGACCCAGCTGTCTTTTCTGCACCTTTTCTTGGTCCTGGGCTGAGTCAGGCCCAGGCAGAGTCATGCCCAGGCAGAGGAAGATGCTGCCCCTTGGTGGGCCTCACAGGGGCGTCTGGCCTTGTAAAGAGACAGCACAGCAAACCCCCTTCTCCCGCTGCATCCCTCCTTTTGTATTTGGTCACCCTGCCACCCTCTAGGCTTCAGGCCACATCCTGCCCCTGCTTGCCCTGCTCCTCGGGAGGACTCCCCATCTCCCCTCTGCTCATTCACCCCCTGGCTCATCCAGGTCTGCCCTGCCACATGCCTTCCCTCTGCAGCTGGTGATGGAGGACATCTTCATCAGCGGTGACCCCCTGCTGGAGTCCGTGGGCCTTCATGAGCCACTGGTGGAAGAGCTACGGGCCACCATTGCCAGTGCCGTGTCCAAGGCCATGATCCCACTGCAGGCCTACGCCAAGGAGTACCGAAAGTACCTGGAGCTGAACAACAATGACATTGCCTCCTTTCTCAAGTGCGTACGTGTGCCCATGCACGTCGGAGGGTGTCTGTGTGTTTGTGCATGTGTATCCCCTGCCCACCCTGCTCACCATCCTCTGCCCCCTCCCGTGTGCTTGCTGTCCTCAGAACCTACCAGACGCAGGGCCTGTTGGCCCAGGAGGTGCGGGAGGTAGTGCTCACCCACCTGCGGGAGAAGGAGATCCTGGACAGCTCGCTGCCCAGCAGCATCATCATTGGGCCTTTCTACATCAACACCGACAATGTCAAGCAGAGCCTGTCCAAGAAACGCAAGGCCCTGGCCACTTCCGTGCTGGACATCCTTGCCAAGAACCTGCATAAGGAGGTGGATAGCGTAAGTGCCCACCTGCCCCGCCTCAGTGACCACAGCAGCACACACCACAGCAGCACACACGGACCCTCACATACATGGCAAGATGTCCCCAAGCAGGGTCTGGGGTGTCTGTGGATGCCCAGGCCAAGGGAAGGAGCTGGAAATCACCCTGCCCCATCCCTGCCTGTCTGCAGAGAGCTGTCCTGTATGGGAGGTCCCAGGAAACGGGGGTTTCCACCTCCTTCCCTAGACTCTTAGAGGCCTGGAAAGCCTCACGAAGGACACCCTTGACGGACTTGTTTCATGGAGCTAGGGGATTCGAGTGCAGGCCTCAGAAGCCCTGCGTGTGTTGGTAGGGCTGGAGGAGGCTGGAAGGGTGAGGTGTGCCGGGTCATACCCTTGCCCCACTGACAGTCCTCAGCAACCCAGGGAGCCCACCAGGAGCACCCCTCTTGGAAAGCGCCGCAGGATGTTGTGGTGGAGGGGACAGTTACCTGTCGGGAGATGCTGGAGACCAAGGAGGAAGAGCAGGTGAGGGAAGGCAAGGGAGCAGCATGCTGCCCTCCCCAGCGCCTCCTCCCACTGCCAGATCTGCGAGGAGTTCCGCAGCATCAGCCGCAAGATCTATGAGAAGCCCAACAGCATTGAGGAGCTGGCTGAGCTGCGAGAGTGGATGAAGGGCATCCCGGAGAGGCTGGTGGGCCTGGAGGTGAGGCAGGCACACGGGCACTGGGGCCAGGGAGGCACAGGGCTGGTGTTAAGAGTCCGAGGGCTGGGGCAGGCAGGGGCTGGGAGGTCGGACTCAGGAGGCTGAGGGTAAGGTAGTTGGACAGAGGACAGATGGGGTTTAGGGGGTTGTGAGCCGGGGCTTCAGAGCTCTGCTGTCTGGGGGTAGGGGGGAGCTGGAAGCTGGAGGTGTGGCAGCCATGGCTCTAGGAGCCCTGAGCCTGATGCTGCCCTTGCACCCTGGGCCTCCTCCCCTGGCCCAGACCTCCCCATTCTGAAAGAGAGCAGCCCCTCTCTAGTACCCGTCTCTGGGGAGCCAGGTTCCGATTACCCACCACCTCCCTGGCACACGTGAAGTTCTCATTACCACCTGTCTGTGCAGGAGCGGATTGTGAAGGTCATGGATGACTACCAGGTCATGGATGAATTCCTCTACAACCTCAGCTCAGATGACTTCAATGACAAGTGAGTGGGAGCTTGGCCCCCATGCCAGGTGCGGGGTGGAGCATGAGGGGAGCTGCTGAGCTGCAGAGGCTCCCAAATGCCCCAGCTGCCACAGTCTGTGCAATCTCCCCAGAAACACCCCACTGAGATTTCAGAGGCCAGGGCTCCACACATGGGCCGGGACCAGCCAGGGCCAGGTGGCCGAAGGAATTCATTTGGGCCTCTTGGCCTCAGCTGCTCCCCAACCCTGTCTCTGTCCTGTCAATGGCCTGGCACATGTTTTGCTTGTTGTTTTTTGAAACAGAGTTTTGCTTTGTCACCCAGGCTGGAGTGCAGTGGCACGATCTCAGCTTACTGCAACCTCCGCCTCCAGGGTTCAAGTGATTCTCCCTGCCTCAGCCTCCTGAGTAGCTGGGATTACAGGTGCCCACCACCATGCCCGGCTAATTTTTATATTTTCAGTAGAGATGGGGTTTCACCATGTTGGCTAGGCTGGTCTCGAACTCCTGACCTCAGGTGATCCACCCGCCGCGCCCTCCCAAACTGCTAGGATTATAGGCGTGAGCCACCGCGCCCAGCCTGACACACGTATTTTACTGTGGACCTAGGGTTTCCTGTTTGTGGCTGGTGCCCTTTGGGGTTCTTGGGAGCACTGAGAGAGGCAAAGCTCAGCCTGGTGGGCAGTCCCTGGAGAGGGGCATTTGTCCCCACCCAAGTCAAAAGCCTTGTGGGAAACAGCCTTAGGTGCCCTTTTCCTGCCAAGCCTTACTGAGGCCGCCAGAGACCCCACACCCAGTGCTGCCTCACAGATGTTGGGGGAGTCAGGACCATCAGGGCCCTGCCCAGGAGAGGGAGACACTGGCAGACAGGGCATCTGGGTGCTCAGGGGGAACTCCCCCACGACCAGCATCCCTAGGCCAGCTGCAGGTGGAAGCCCCACATCCCACAGACCCCCTATGTCAGCTGGGCAAAGGGAGTTGGTCTGACCTGAAGGCAGCTGGCCTGAGGGCCCTGGCTAGAGACTGTGGCTTTGCCTCCTCTGAGGAAAGGCCCCTCTGGCCCCTGAGGCTTAAGAGGGGAACTTGGCCTCACTCTTCTCACTTCCCCTTGGTCCCCATCACTACACTGGGCACCTTGGGTCTGCATCTCACTGGATGCAGACTGCAGCTCCCAGGGGGCAGGGCAGCCTCCCTGATGGTGGCAGTCGCGCCTCCCAGCTCACCTGTACTTCGCAGCTGTCTGGCCCCAGGTAGCCTCCACAGCTGCCTGGATTTCCCCTGAACCCCTTCTCACTGGCTGCCTGGGTGCCTGGTGGGATGCCCCTGCCTGGTCTTGCCACTCCACCACTTCAGCCGCGATATTTCTCCCAATCCCCACCCCCATCCCGGCCAGATGGATTGCCAGCAACTGGCCTTCTAAGATCCTTGGGCAGATAGAGCTGGTGCAGCAGCAGCATGTGGAGGATGAGGAGAAGTTCCGCAAAATCCAGATCATGGATCAGAACAACTTCCAAGAGAAGCTGGAAGGGCTGCAGGTGGGGCACAGCTGCAGGCTTGGTGCTGGACACAGCCCCCACCACACGCACGCACAGTTCTCCAGGGCCTGGCCTCACTTCTTGCATTCAGGAGGTGCTGAGTCAACATGTGATGGGCGGGCAGATGGATGAATGAATAAATGGCTGAAAGAATGAACGCAAAGGCCAAAGAGATGCCTGGGCAGCAAGCTCCAGAAAGATTCGGAGTAGTAAAGTCCCCAGCTCTTCTGTTGTGTCCTTGGCGGCCTACTGGGCAGTGGGCACAGTGTCAGTGCATTGGGTCTCCCCTGGCTTTGCTGTGAGGAACCTGCTCACTCCAGGAGAACAACCTCCTTAGAACTCGGAGGAGTGGACGTCCTGGGACCTCTGGTTCCCTGGGTTTGCATGGGAAGGCCTGGACACAAGTGGGGCTGCAGGGGCATCTGACCCATTGCTCCTTGGCCTGCAGCTGGTAGTAGCTGGCTTCTCCATCCATGTGGAGATTTCACGTGCACACGAGATCGCCAACGAGGTGCGGCGTGTCAAGAAGCAGCTGAAGGACTGCCAGCAGCTGGCCATGCTCTACAACAACCGCGAGCGCATCTTCAGCTTGCCCATCACCAATGTAGGCCTCCTGCAGGCACCCTGCCCCCATGCCCCCAGGCTTGAGGAAGCAGCTCATGTAGATGCAGCTGCCAGGAGGCAGGGCTCTGGCATTTGGGGGCAGGACCCAGCAGGCTGCAGAGTGGAGATAGCCCAACCCTGGCCCTCAGGTTGAGGAGGCCCCTAGTACAAGGCAGGTGGCCTGAGGGTCAGCCCAGGTCTGGTGCAACAGCTCAGAGCCCAGATCTCAGGTGGGAAGAGAAGAAGGGAGGCCAGGCCCAGGTGTTTGGGGGCACGGTCAGGGACATCAGCCAGGAGCAAGGGAGAGGGAGAGGACCTGGCCCAAGAAGGGGCAACATGGAGAGAGACTGGGAAGTGTCCCAAGACAGCCCCAGCCCTGCCCTCCTGTCCCTGCAGTATGACAAGCTCTCCAGGATGGTGAAGGAGTTCCAACCCTACCTGGACCTTTGGACCACAGCGTCTGACTGGCTGCGCTGGTCGGAGAGCTGGATGAATGACCCCCTCTCTGCCATCGATGCTGAGCAGCTGGAGAAGAACGTGGTTGAAGCCTTCAAGACCATGCACAAGTGCGTGAAGCAGTTTAAGGACATGCCAGGTAGGGAGCCAAGCCGGCCAATCCCCTCCTCCCTGCCTCTGCCGCCTGCCTCTCATGCGTTTCTGTCTTACCCGGCAGCCTGCCAGGAAGTGGCCTTGGACATCCGGGCCCGCATCGAGGAGTTCAAACCATACATCCCACTGATCCAGGGGCTGCGCAACCCTGGCATGCGGATCCGGCACTGGGAGACACTGTCCAACCAGATCAACATCAATGTCAGGCCCAAGGCCAACCTGACCTTTGCTCGCTGCCTGGAGATGAACCTGCAGGACCATATCGAGAGCATCAGCAAGGTGGCTGAGGTGGCTGGCAAGGAGTACGCCATCGAGCAGGTGGGTAGCCACCAGCGGGCCCAGCCACTCCAGCCAGGCCCTGCCGGACAGCCTGACCTCCTGCTCTGGCAACCACAGCCACTTGGGAGGATGACAGTAATAAGCCCCATCCCTGGGGTCATGAGGCCCAGGGGTTGAGATGCATTCTATTAAGTGAGTTAATAATGCACATAAAATTCTTGACAGTGTCCACCATTGCTATTATTTTTCAGTTACTCCTCTCAAGAGCCCCAGGAAGGAGCTAATAGCATTAGCCTCAATTTAACAGATGTGTCAGGCCGGGTGCAGTGACACATGCCTGTAAATCCCAGCACTTTGGGAGGATGAGGAGGAAGGATCGCTTGAGCCCAGGAGTTTGAGACCAGTCTGGGCAACATAGGGAGACCCCCATCTCTACAAAAAATTAAGATATTAGCCAGGCATGGTGGCACATGCTTGTGGTCCCAGCTTCTTGGGAGGCTGAGGCTGCAGTGAGCGGTGATTATGCCACTGCACTCCAGCCAGGGAGACAGACTGAGACCCTGTCTCAAAACAAAACAAAAGAAAACAAACAAACAAAAAAACAGATAAATCAATTAAGGCTCAGAAGGGTTCAGCAACTGGCCAGGATGACACAGTAAATGCCAGAGGTGAGACCAGCGCCCACACTCCTCCTAACCTTAGCTGCCTCCCAACATGTGCGTACAACCACATGCAGCACATGTGTAACAGTGAACTGGGCTGAACACAGTGGCTCACGCCTGTAATCCCAGCACTTGGGAGGCCGAGGCGGGTGGATCACCTGAGGTCAGGAGTTCGAGACCAGCCTGGCCAACATGGTGAAACCCCATCTCTACTAAAAATACAAAAAATAGTGGGGTGTGGTGGCACATGCCTGTAATCCCAGCTACTCGGGAGGCTGAGGCAGGAGAATTGCTTGAATCTGGGAGGCAGAGATTGCAGTGAACCAAGATTGTGCCACTGCACTCCAGCCTGGGCTACAGAGCGAGACTCCACCTCAGAAAAAAAAAAAAAAAAGAGTGAATTGGCCCTGAATTCAGATGAGGGGCTCACACGGGACTTGTTGCCAGACAAGCCGAGAGTATTTGCCAGAGCGGCCATGTGGAGGTCATGGCCAGGTACTGTCTGCTGCTTCCCTGGGCAGGGCTGGTCAGACAGCATCAGGACCAGCCCCTCCCAGGACTCAGCCTGGCTTGTCCCCGACCCCAGGCACTGGACAAGATGGAGAAGGAGTGGTCGACCATCCTGTTCAATGTACTGCCCTACAAGGCGACAGACACCTACATCCTGAAGAGCCCGGACGAGGCCTCACAGCTGCTGGACGACCACATCGTCATGACCCAGAATATGTCATTTTCACCCTACAAGAAGCCCTTTGAGCAGCGCATCAACTCCTGGGAGAACAAACTGAAGCTGACCCAGGTCGGCCCTCCCCCCAGTCCTTCCCTCATCGCTCCCCCACTTCAGAGAGCCCGACCCACAGGTGTCACTGATGGTCTCCGGGTGGGGTTCAAAGCATCGCAGTGCCTTGCCCTCATTCACACAGCCCCTGGCTCTCTGGCAGGCCCCGCCCTACTGCATTCAGAGGAGGGCAACTAGGATGGGCTCTCCATCCATGAGGTTCAGCTACTGGATGAGGCAGATAAGGGTGCGTAGGGGCAGCATTTGGGTCCCAAAATGTGGTTGAGGATAGGCCTGAGAACTGCCAGGCGGCCTCCCCAGGGCTGCCTGAGCTTGGGACAACCAGGTCCTCCAGTACTGACACTTTCTGGGCCGGATGTCCCAAGGTCCCAGAGCACCTCAGTGCCCTTTCCCACTCTGTCCTGAGCTTCTGTTCTCATCTCATTTGGAGCTACCTTGGTTGAGGGGACTGGGCCACCAGGGACTGCACTTGTCTTGGGCTCTCAAGGCTAGAGGCAAGGGCTGCCCACAGAGCCCTGGAGGGCAGTCCCGGGGCCAGCCTGCAGGTGTGATATCCCCTTCCCCGGGCCTCCCTGATAGCTGCTCAGAGACCTCCGGCGAAGGCCAGAAGCAGGTGGGGAGGGCTCATCTGTGTGCCTGGACCACCCAGAGATGCCTGAGCTGGTCAGCACTATCCCCAGTCCCCCTCTGCTCACGCTGTCCACTCGACCTGGAGTTTGACACCCGCCTTCCATCTCCTCCAAGGCCCAGCAACAAGCAGCCTTGCCGACTCTCCCTCACCATCCTTCAAGGGGTTCCCACCGAGGCCATTGTCGGTGCCTCTTTCAGAGTCCACTACACATGCCGGGCCCATGATTCAGGGGCAGAACTGGCCCCTTAGTGGGCTGTGGGCCCCTCGAGGGAAGGGACCAGGCCGCATTCCCCTGTTTCCCCTAGTGCCTCCCAGGGCCTGGCACAGTCCTGACACTGCTGACTGTGACCCCCATCCCATGAGGAAGAAATGGATGAGTGCGTGAGTTTGCGCTGATGGGAGAAGACAAGAGATACATCCTGAATGGGGAATTTGGAGGCAGAAGGGGGAAATGGCTCATTTTGAAGATGTCTCACCCTTGGACTCATGTTTCAGAGAGTATTTTAGGACTCTCACACTCAAGACCCATTGAATCTCAGAGAATCCTGGGGTCATGGACCCAGAAGTCCTTCCAGGAAGGAGGCTGGTTTGTCTCCCAGGCACCGAGTGTTTCCTGTCACTGCAGGCTTTGCTGGCGTGGGTGTGTTCCTCCCTTTGGAAGAGCAGCTCCCCCGGCTCCTTTGGAGGCTTGGGCGTCCTGTGGGGATGTGGGACTTCTCTGGAGGGCAGGCATCCCTGTATCCTCTTTGTTCCCTGGAGTATCACAGATGACAGCACCATCTAGAAATCTCCCTGTAGACACTGGCTTTGGTGTCCAGTGCTCTGCCCAACATGCTGGTGGGGTGAAATGTCCCAGTCATTGGGACAAACCCCAGCTTGGACCCTGACAGTCCATATCACACCCCTCCCTGCCCCTCCCCTCCCCAGGAGGTTCTGGAGGAGTGGCTGAACTGTCAGCGGTCCTGGCTCTACCTGGAGCCCATCTTTAGCTCTGAGGACATCAACCAGCAGCTGCCTGTGGAGAGCAAGCGCTACCAGACCATGGAGCGGATCTGGAAGAAGATCATGAAGAATGCCTACGAGAACCGGGAGGCAAGCTCAATGAGGGTGGGAGGGGCAGCTGGGATCCCCAAGGGCCCTGGTCACATTGCTGGTAGCCTCCTAGTCTCTTCCCTCCCTACACAGAAAAGGCTGGTGGACAAGCCTGAGGATTTGATCTTGAACCATGTCCTCCAGAGTGGGCTCCCCAGCCTCAGAGTTGCTCCTTAGAGGCACAGTCACTGACGGTTTTTCTCTTGGAGATCCACAGCCCATATTAACGTTTTTTTTTTGTTTGTCTGTTTTTTTTTTTTTGTTTTTTTTTTTGAAACAGAGTTTTGCTCTTGTTGCCCAGGCTGGAGTGCCATGGTGCAATCTCGGCTCACTGCAACCTTCACCTCCCTGGTTCACCTCCCGGAGGCTGAGACAGGGTAATCCTGTCTTAGCCTACCAAGTAGCTGGGATTACAGGCATGCGCCACCACGCGTGGCTGATTTTCTTTTGTATTTAGTGGAGCCGGGATTTCACCATGTTGGTCAGGCTGGTCTCAAACTCCTGACCTCAGGTGATCTACCTGCCTCAGCCTCCCAAAGTGCTGAGATTACAGACGTGAGCCACCATGCCCGGCCCATATTAGCATTTTAGAAGCTCTGACAAGTCCTGCAGCAAAGCAAACTCTTTAGCTTTGTTTAACTCTAACTTGTTTGACCGTAGAATTTTTTCTGTGGGGCTGATGGTTGCAGCCACTGGCTCAGGGAGAATTTTTCTGCATCTTCTTTCCCAGGCCCCGCTGAGGGGCTCTGGCTGGTGTGGGTGCTCTGGGATGAGCCTATCTTGCTACCTGGACCATGCTCACTGCCCATTTCTGTGCATGGCCCGGGCCCTGCAGGTGATCAATGTGTGTTCCGACCTGAGAATGCTGGACAGCCTGCGGGACTGCAACAAGATTCTGGACCTGGTGCAGAAGGGCCTCAGCGAGTATCTGGAGACCAAGAGGAGCGCCTTCCCCAGGTGGGCGCCACCTGGCCATGCCCACTCCGCCACTGTCTGCCCACAAGGCTGAGGTGTCCAGGGCCCTGCTCAGGCTAGGGTGCGGGGATGTCAGCAGGACTGGGGCAGCTGGGGCCCAGGGAGCCTGCACGACCCGCTTCCTCACCCCTGTTCCCCTGGCAGATTCTACTTCCTGTCAGATGATGAACTACTAGAGATCTTGTCGCAGACAAAGGACCCCACGGCCGTGCAGCCACACCTGCGCAAGTGCTTCGAGAACATCGCTCGGGTGGGCAGCTGGGCCCGGGGCTCAGGGCTGGGAGCATGGGGCATCTTCCCAGGGAGAACGTCCCTCCCTTTGTGATGAGCCCTTTTAGCAGGAAATGTGGCAAATGACATTCCTGGTCTTTGGAGACACACCTGGGGCCTGTGGGAGGAAGGTCAACTGCAGAATCCCCAGCTCAGGGCTGAGGGCCCTGGATTTCCAACTCACCAGGCGCTCCCTGTGCCCCCAGCACACTGCAAAACCCATGAGGCCAGAAGCCTGTGGCCTGCCTTGTCTTCCCTCATCTATGCAGGAGGCCGGGGACATGCAAGGCAGTCAGCCTCCTTCCCTAAAGCCTGCTTCATGCCGGGCCTGGGCTGGGGCCTGACCACTGCTGGGGAGAAGGCAGGCCATCCAGCCTGGGAAGGCCCAGCCAAGATAGACTCTCGGGGGGACGGGAAGGCAGGGCTTTCTTCTTGAGGTGGAGGGCACCGGGCAGGCTTAGCGCTGGGGCTGTGGTGGCCAGGGCATCTGGGCACACCAGGGTGACCCCACTCCTGCTCCTCCACTGCTTGCAGCTGCTATTCCAGGAGGACCTGGAGATCACGCACATGTACTCAGCCGAGGGGGAGGAGGTACAGTTGTGCTTCTCCATCTACCCCTCCAGCAACGTGGAGGACTGGCTGCGGGAGGTGGAGCGCAGCATGAAGGCCAGTGTGCACGACATCATTGAGAAGGCCATCAGGGCCTACCCCACGGTGAGCCGCCCGCAGCCCGTGCAGCCTTCCACCCCTGCACCCCTCTGCTCCCTCTCAGTGCCCCTCCTGCTCTAGCCGGCCTCGTCCTCAGGCTGCAGCCCTGAGGTCCCTGGGGGCTCAGGCGGGATTCTGGAGTCTTTCCTTTCCACACACACTCCAGAAAGTGGGACTCACTCCTAATCATCGGGATGGCTGTTCTGGTTCCCAGCACTCACTGGGTGCCAGGCTCCAGGCTGGGCCCTCTCCTGCAGTCTTTCTCTCAGCTCCATGACCATAACCGGCAGCTGGGCTCTAGGTGACTCCCCAGCCTGCAGAGTCAGTTCAGAGATATCTCTGCCACCCTGAGAAGCCCAGAGCATAAGGGCTTCCCTGCTCTGAAGGGACTGGTGGCATCAACAACTGGAGCCAAGTCTGAAAGGCCAGAGCACAGACAGCATTCAGAGGAAGAAGAAAGAATGGGATTGGGGCTGCGGCTGTCCAGGTCAGCCTGCCCATGCTGTCTTCCCAGATGCCCAGGACCCAGTGGGTTCTGAACTGGCCTGGCCAGGTGACCATCGCTGGGTGCCAGACCTACTGGACCATGGAGGTGGCAGAGGCTCTGGAGGCCGGCAACCTCAGAAGCCAACTGTTCCCCCAGCTCTGCCAGCAGGTTGGAGTCAAGAGGACCCCTGTCTGTCCCCCTCCACCCCCTACATGGCACAGGAGGGCCCAGTCCCTCCGGAAGCTTTCTCCTATAGTGAGCCTGGAAGAGGCCTGGGGTTGGGTCTAAAGGGGAGGTCAGACACCCTTGAAGTGTCTCACAACCAGCCACCCACAGGAAGGACGGGCCTGAGGCGATGCCCCCTCTGCAAGGGTCAGTGAGGGAGCCACGCGCCTGGTCCCTCCTGCACAGTACCACAGGCACCCCTTGCCCTGTGCTCCAGTGCCTTGCCAGGCTCCCCCTCCCGGCTTTAAGGGTTCAGACAGCACGACATGCTGCAGGGAGGCAGACGCCAGGCATGTGCCTCTATTCTACTTCCTTCCTTCCCCTGCCCGGTCCCTGCTCCCCTCCCAACTCAGACCATCAGAGACCCCCAGGATAGAGGGACTGTTTGTGGCAGAAGCCCACCCTCTGTGAAAGGGGAGGGTGAGCCTCCTCGTGGTACCCTGATGTTTGACAGTGCACCCCATTTCTGCAGCTCAGTGATCTGGTGGCCCTTGTGCGGGGGAAGCTGTCCCGCATGCAGCGGGCAGTGCTGTCAGCGCTAATCGTCATTGAGGTCCATGCCAAGGACGTGGTGAGCAAGCTAATCCAGGAGAACGTGGTCAGCGTGAATGACTTCCAGTGGATCTCACAGCTGAGGTGAGGACATGGGGGGCGCCCCCAGGGCCAGAGCAGCTGCCAGGAAGGGGCAGGGGAAAAGAGAAAAGTCAGTTAGCAATAAGCTGGTCTCTGTCCTTGAGGTTCTGGGACAAGCTGGGTATGGGTACCTTAATGCCCTCATTCCCAAAAAGAACCCTCTCTCCTTGACTATATACCCTGCCCAGTGGCCCATTGCCCCATGGCCAGGCCCTCATCTCCCTGCACCGCCAGGTACTACTGGACAAATAATGACCTGTATATCCGTGCTGTGAATGCTGAGTTCATCTATGGCTATGAGTACCTGGGCAACAGTGGGAGGCTGGTGATCACGCCCCTCACCGACAGGTAAGCGTTCCCCTCTTGCTCCTTCCCACACTGAGACCCTCCCTCTAGTTCTCTCTGGCCCAGGAATCCAGGGACCATGGCCACTCTGGGGTGATCTAGTCCATCAGAGCAGTACAGGGTTAGGACCAAGGGCTTTGGGCTCAGACCTCAGTTCTGCCCATCACAGGCGGAGTGACTTCGGGCAGGTGACTTGACCCCTCTGTGCCTGAGTTTCCTCTGAGGCCTCCTCACGGTGGTAATGAGAATTTCATGAGCTGATACATGTAGAGCTCTCAGCACAGGTGTGGCACTCAGTGAGCATCTAATGGGTATGCACTTTCCTGTTTTTATCCGTCAATTCCTCCTTTAATGTGCCAGAGGAACTGAGCTGAGAGACATCATGGGTGAGCCCTTTTCTAATAGTTCCCTCCTAGCTCAGTCAGTCATGTCATCTTGCCGCCTGTGTCTAGCACTAGCTGGATTTTCAAGCTGTGTTTTGAGTGAGGGAAGTGAAGTGTGGCCACATGTCGGCCATCCCCAGGGGTCCCTGGGCAAAGCTGGGCAGGGTGGTGAAATGGGACAGGGAACGCGCTGGGCAGGTGTCCACAGGCTCCAGTCCTGACCCCGGAGCCAGGGCTGGGCACACCCCAGCCCACCAAAAGGGGACGGGGCGAGAGGCCCCAGTCCACAGGAAATTCCAAGGAAAGGGGGAGTGTCCAGGCCATGTGCGGCCCGAGCCCACCTCCTCTGTCTCCTGCAGGTGCTACCTGACACTGACCGGAGCTCTGCACCTCAAGTTTGGGGGTGCCCCAGCTGGCCCAGCTGGCACAGGCAAAACTGAGACCACCAAAGACCTGGGTAAGGCCTTGGCCATACAGACCGTTGTGTTCAACTGCTCTGACCAGCTCGACTTCATGGCCATGGGCAAGTTCTTCAAGGGCCTGGCCAGGTGAGGCTGGGCATGAGCGTGGCACAGGATGGGGTGGGACAGCCTAGCTCTCCTTGGGGAGGGCTAGGTGAGGGCAGTGCCTGAGAGGGGCCTCGAAGGATGGTGGAGGGGACAGAAGGGGGTAATAGGCATCACGGCTTGGTCCTGGGGGCATTGGGGTGGGGAGTGGCAGTGGGTTGAAGACTGAGCTGATGGAGATTGCCCCTGAGGGCTTCCTCCCAAGTGGAGTTGGAGGGGGCCCTCAGAGGGAGGTGCCCAGATTGGGCTCTGAACACATGTGCCCCATCCAATGTTCCGGCCTCACTCAGTGCTGGGGCCTGGGCCTGCTTCGACGAGTTCAATCGCATCGACATCGAGGTGCTGTCTGTGGTGGCGCAGCAGATCACCACCATCCAGAAGGCGCAGCAGCAGCGGGTGAGCCCGGGGGACCCACCTTACTCCCTCAGATCTGCCATACTCACGCCGCCATACTGCTCCCCATTGCAGGCTGAGAAGCCAGGCGCTAAGGTCCACCCTGGGTCCAGCCTCTCTTGTCCCGGGGGCACACCCTAACCCCAGTCTGTGGGCAGCTCCCAGGCCAAGCTGCGGGGGATGAAGGGGTCCCCTCCTCATTACATCCTGACCTTTATGGAAAGCCCCAGGCATTGGTCCTTTCTCTAGCCACGTGCAGGGCGGCCAGGGACCTTGTTCTGGGGACAGGAGCTGAGAGGCTAGCAGTTATCCCCTCCCCCACTTCCCCTAGTCAGGCTGAGCTTGGCTGGAGCTGGGGAATTGGGGGTGGAGCGAGTGGGAAGCAGGAGATGTGGAGACCTCCAAGGGCCTGAAGCCAGGAGCTGGAAGGCCATGGGTAGCCACTGGGGCCTGAGGTTTCAGGCCAGATCCTGAGAGAGGATACAACCCATGATCAGGGGTCCAGGCCTGGCCTACCAGCTACAGCCAGGACAGGGGCATCAACAGGGGACAAGGGGCCCACTCAGAGGAGGGGACAAGGCTGGGCACCCTAGTCCCAGGCAAGTCAGCCTCTCCCCACTGCAGGTGGAACGCTTCATGTTTGAGGGTGTGGAGATCCCACTGGTGCCATCCTGCGCAGTGTTTATCACCATGAACCCGGGCTACGCTGGCCGCACGGAGCTGCCTGACAATCTGAAGGCAAGTGCAGGCCCAGAGTGGCCCAGGAAGCACCAGAGCTCTAGCCTGAGTTCAGAGATGCTAAGCCACTTATGCAAGGACACAGTTGCTTGGACTCCAGGGACTGTGATTCCCTATGGTAGCCCCTTAGCCATGGAGGGGAGGCCTCAGGGCCTCAGACTTGTCCTCAGGGCATGGGAGAAGTCAGGCTGCCTATGGATGTGGTGTGGAGGGGGAATCTAATGAGACCTGTTCACCCTGGGCCTTCAGGAGAAACAGGAAAACAGGAGCCAAGAGGGGCATCTCCTGGGAGTCATGTGGGGGCAGGTTTGGATCAACACCAAGGATCCACTCTAATGGCAGAGCTACCAGTCTCAGGGGAGTGAAAGCCTCAGCTGTGGCAGGCTTGGTGCAGCAGGGAGTCCCAGCGTGTTAGGGAGGAGGGCCGGATGAAGCTGGGGGTGCTCTGGGGGTGAGCTCTGTTTGCTGTTCACATGTGCACTGTGTGTCCCAGGCGCTCTTCCGACCCGTGGCCATGATGGTTCCAGATTACGCCATGATCACTGAGATCTCCCTCTATTCCTTTGGCTTTAATGAGGCCAGTGTGCTGGCTAAGAAGATCACAACCACCTTCAAGCTGTCTTCTGAGCAGCTCAGCTCCCAGGTGTGGTCCTGCCCTGATGGGTTTCCAGGGTCTGAAAACTTCTGCCTGCTCCCAGCCTCCAGGGCACCTGCTGAGGGCCAGGCTCTATGCCCGGTGCTTTACAGGCATTACCTTGTCGGCTTCTCCCAGCAACCCTTGGAGATAGGAGTTACATGCCCATTTGTCAGCTGAGGACACCGAGGTCCTAGGTAGCTAAAGGTCTGGCCAGGCTCATGCAGTACACAGCAGCGCTGGAGCAGGAGCCAGGAACAGATGCCTGTGTGGCTACTTCAGGTGCAAGGGCCTTGATCATTAGGGCACCAAGAGCTTCAGAACCCCAGGCTGGGGAGCAAGTGCACCTGGGCCTTGTGGGGACCAGAGTAGGACAGCCAGGCCCTCCGAGCCTCCCAGCACCACCATCCTTCCACTCAGCTTGCTGAGCCCAGATTCCAAGGACAGATGGGGTGGCCCAGGCACCAGTGCTGGTGGATGAGCTTTCCTGTTCAGCTTGGTTCCCAAACAGGCCCCCACTTTGCAGCAGCAGAGACGAGTCCCACCTCTGGGCTGACATGCTAGCAACTTAGTTTGTCTTCCATCATGATTTCAGAAAAAAATCCCTGTTGTCACCCTAATGGGCCTTCTCTGGGTCACCTGCTCATCCATGAACACCAATCACTGTGGCCAGGGGTAATCAGTACTACCTTTGGCCAGATGCAGTCCACCAAAATCTATGAGCTAGAAGAGATGCAGCCTGTTACCAGGAAAAGCAGTGGCAGTTCATCACAGTGCACTCCTGGGTGCCGGCGCTCCCACACACCCTTCTTTCCAAAATGCTCCCCACCCCCAATCAGAGCAACTATCCCACATGGTTTTGGAAATGCACTCAACTCTTCCCAAATAGAAATGACCCAAAGTCAAGCCCAGCCTCTTCATGCAGCTCCAAGTCCGAGATTTCTGGAACATATGCTAGTCTATGGGTTGGGTCTAGATGGAGTCCTCTTGGTTGGGCACCATGGGGCAGAATGATTAATTTAACTATTTCCAACTCACTTACTGTGTAATGAAGAGAAACAGGCTGGGGGAAAAAGCATGGTGGTGTGGCCAGAAAGACGGGTCTGGAGAGATGTTATGGGAGAATGTTAGAAGGAAGCTCAAGGGCCATCAAGGCCAAGCTGATTGTTGCACAGATGGGAAACTCCTTCATTCACTTTTCCAGCACAACTAGAGGGCCCTCCTGCCCCTGGCCATGTGCTGGGACAGTGACCAAAGGATGCAGAATGGGTATCGGATAAAGGAGGGGGCTATCGGGACAGTAAAGTGCAGGGTGCCCGGGGAGCCCAAAGAAGGTGCACCTGCCCAGGCTGGGCATGTAGGTGGTCCCAGCAGGTCTGCAAGGGAAGTGCTATGAGCTGGTGATGAGACTTGGCCAACTGCCAGGTGGGAGGCAGAGTGTTCCAGGCAGAAGCCTTGGAGAGGGACAGTGCTCACCCATGCCTCCTTCTGTATGGCGACAGGATCACTATGACTTCGGGATGAGAGCCGTGAAAACTGTGATCTCGGCTGCTGGGAACCTCAAGCGAGAAAACCCCAGCATGAATGAGGTGAGCTCCACCCAGCAGGGCTCCAGGAGTGGAACTCTGGGAGGGCTCCTGGGCAGCTGGAGGGCAGCTGGCCCACTGCCCTGAAGGCTCAGCCGGCACCTGCTGCAGGAGCTGATCTGCCTCCGGGCCATCCGTGATGTGAACGTGCCCAAGTTCCTGCAGGAGGACCTCAAGCTCTTCTCTGGCATCGTGTCCGACCTGTTTCCCACCATCAAGGAGGAGGACACGGACTACGGCATCCTGGATGAGGCCATCCGCGAGGCCTGCAGGAACAGCAACCTCAAGGATGTGGAGGGTGAGCCTCGGGCCCTGAGTGTTCGTGGAGGGGCTGGCCATGGCCACCTTGGAGTCCAGGTCAGGGGGACAGAGACAGGACAGTCCAACCCCAGGGGCCCTCACACCTGGCCAAGTGTGCTGCAGGCCCGGGCTCTCAGCCGAGCAATCCAGAGGCAGGGCAGATGTCCCGGCCCAGTCTCCACCAAAACCCGCCTGGTGGTGGGGAGGCAGGCGTTGTCCCCTTCCTAGGCCCTCCTTCCCGTGTGGGCTGAGAGCCCCGAGCTCCTCTTGGGCCTTGCCTCATCAGGGCCTGGCCCTCACTGGGATGTGACTGGAGTTTCAAGGCCATATTCCTTGCACCCCAGCCCACCTCACCACAGCCACCACTCACCTCTTCCAGAGGCCTCTTGGCTCCACCCCACTAGCGGGACTTGCCCACGTTCCTTGTTGAGTGACACCCCTGGCGTCACTGCGCTAAAGAAAGAACATTTGGGCCCTTCCTTCACTGACTTGTTGCAAAGGCCACCATGTGTCTGGGAGGGCTGGGGGGACACTGCCCTCAAATAGACTCCCTCTCATCCCGAACCCTCGCCCCTCATAGTAGGATGAGGGTCTCAGTTCATTCCCAGCCAGCCACCCCCTCCAGCAGGTCCTTTGGTGGGCCTGCAGGAGGAGCTCCTCTGGGAAGCCATGGCCAGTCACCCTGGCCACACAAGGCCCTTCTCGGGACCCTAGGCAGTTCCTGCTCAGCCCTGCAAGGCCTCCCCCAGGTGCCCTCCATTGTGCTTCAATTCCATGTGCAGCTCGAATGCTTCCTCCTCTGGTCACCTCCTGCACCCCCGACCCTAGCAGGCTTGTTGAATGAAGCCTCAAACTCTTCTCTCCCTCACAGCCTTAGGTCACCTTTGCCGTCCCTGGCTAATTGGGCCCTATTTGGCAGGAACCCCCGGACCTGCAGGGCCATAGCCACCACCACCCTTCTTGGGCCAAAGTGAGGCATTTATTCCCTACCCCTGTGGGCCTGGCTTCTGCCTGCTGGCAGCTGCCTCTATAGCTCCCAACTGACCCTAGGATCTTGTCTCTAGGAGTTTGCTCATAGGAGTCAGCACTTACTTGGGGTGGTGCTCTCAGCAGGCTGGGGCTGAAGTTGGGGCCTGTGACAGCTGACACTGAGCAAGCTGGTGATGGCTGACCACCTGACCAATGGCTGTGAAGGAACGGTAGTCACAGTGGAAAGAATGGCTAGCATTTACAGAGTTTCTACTCTGCCAAGTTCTGTGCTTAGGGCTTCACCTGCCCCTGCCTATGATGTAGGTGCTACCACCATCCTCATTTTATAGATGAGGAAATTGAGGCTCAGGGAGTGCAGTGACTCACCCAAGGTCACACAAGTTAGTGGTGTGGCCAGGACCCAAGCCCATGCTCTGACCCTTGGGCCCCATGCCATGTCCCCCAGGCTTCCTGACAAAGTGCATCCAGCTCTACGAGACCACGGTGGTACGACACGGCCTCATGCTCGTCGGGCCCACAGGCTCCGGCAAGAGTACTGTAAGCAGAGCCAAGCTTGGCAGCCAGTGTCCGGATAGTGGGCCTGTAGGGGGGTGCAGCTTCAACAGGGGTTGGCCTCCATTTGTGCCCCTTGGCATAGAATACCCCTCCCCCTCCCCTTGGCCCCCAGCCCACTCTAGCCCTGCTCTCTGGGAGCCTCACTCTCAGGCGGTCCGTCTCCCAGTGTTACAGAGTCCTGGCAGCTGCCATGACGTCACTGAAAGGGCAGCCATCCATCAGTGGTGGCATGTACGAGGCTGTCAACTACTACGTGCTCAACCCCAAGTCCATCACGATGGGCCAGCTGTACGGGGAGTTTGACCTCCTCACCCATGAGTGGTGAGTGACCCCCCAGCCTCACCGGTGACCCCCTGCTCCCAGACCTCTGGAGGCTGTGGGCTGCGGTCACCCCTCCCTCCATTAGCCCAGTGGAAGGCCGGGCTCTGCAGCCCAACGCTTGGGATTCTATTCTCCATTCTACTTCCTCGCTGAGTGACCCTCCTCACCCCCCAGGCCATGGTTCCCTCGTCTGCAAAGCGGGGACAATAATGGCACCATGCTTATGGTAAGGCAAGAATGACTTAACACGCTCAGTGCCTCTGCAGTATCTGGCCATTGTCATGACCTGAGAGAAGCTGGTGGGCCCTCTCCGGGCCCCTGCTCCCAGGCCGGGGTGTGCATTTTAGGGGAAGTGCACTGAGATAGGAGAAGGGCAGCTGGATGGAGACTGCTGAGACGTCGGCACCTCAGGGGCTTTTCTCTAAGGCTATTCTGTTTCTCCAGGCAAGAGTCTCCAGTTCTCTGCTGGGGGTGTCTGCTTGGCTCCAGTGTTCTGGGAGCCCTGTAGGGGATGGTCACTAGGGAGGGACAGTCGCCCACCTTCCACAACGTGAACCTGTACTGCTTCCCCCATTTCTGGTGAAGATTCTCCCCCATATCCACTCCAGTCTCTTATGTAGGTAGGTGAGGGGGCTGGGGGTCAGACCAGAAAAAAGTCCCCTGTTAAAGAAAAAAAATTATTCAATGATCCTTTTTTTTTTTTTGAGACGAAGTTTCGCTCTTGTTGCCCAGGCTGGAGTGCAGTGGCGCCATCTCGGCTCACCGCAACCTCTGCCTCCTTGTTCAAGCGATTCTCCTGCCTCAGCCTCCCGAGTAGCTGGGATTACAGGCATGTGCCACCATGCCCGGCTAATTTTGTATTTTTAGTAGAGACAAGATTTCACCATGTTGGTCAGGCTGGCCTCGAACTCCCTACCTCAGGTGATCTGCCCGCCTTGGCCTCCCAAAGTGCTGGGATTACAGGCGTGAGCCACTGCACCCAGCCCTCAATGATACTTTTTAAAGCATGCTGAGGAAGAACATATTCAGGAGCATGGCAGGCACAGGGACCACTGCACTGGGGCCTTATAGTTAAGGGGAGAGACTGGGCTCTGAATACAGCATGGGCCAGTGGGAATCTATAGCCAAGGGGCAGGGTGAGCATCAGTGGGTGGAAAATCCAGAGGAAACATCAGTGGTGAGGGGGATTCTGGTTGAACCAATCTAACAGGATTCCAACTGAAGACAGGCCTCAGCGTAACCAGACATTGCCTGGGGGTGGTGCAGGGAAGGAGCCTCAAGAGTGATCAGTTATCAAGGGTTCTGGCTAAACTGACTTAGCAGGGTTCTTTACTGAAACTGGATTTTACAAGGACGTGCATATATGGGCACCTAGGAGAAGGTTCCGGAGCCTAAGGCTGGACCAAGCACAGCATCTTCATCAGCCCTACCAGCCCCTTCCCTGGTGCGTGCTGCCTCTGAGGTCTGAGTCCCCTGGGTTCTGAGGCAGGACCTGGCCACTTCTCACCACGCTGCTTTCTCTGCCCTGTCATTTACCCTCCTCCATCCTTGTCCATTGTCTTCCAGAGCTGCACTTCCTCCATCTCTGCTATTGCCTCCTCCCCTGCTCCCTTTTTCCTGTTGGGATTTCACCTTTAATGGGGCTTCAGCAGGGCAGGGACATAAGCACATGTTTTCATTACACCATGTGACACCAAAAAAATCCCACTTTTCCTATTATAATTTTTAAAAGAACAAAGAGATTGAAGGAAAGTAGAGCCCGCCCACCCGGCGGCCAGGCTTCCCTGGGAGCCAGCTGTGCTCGAAGCACCGCCTCCCTGATGTTTCCAGCCCTCTCCTCCCTGGCGCTGCAGGACAGACGGGATATTCTCCTCGTTCATCCGGGCGGGGGCCATCACCTCCGACACCAACAAGAAGTGGTACATGTTCGATGGGCCGGTGGATGCCATCTGGATTGAGAACATGAACACGGTGCTGGATGACAACAAGAAGCTGTGCCTCAGCTCTGGGGAGATCATCAAGCTCACAGAGGTGCACCTACCTGTCCACCTGCCCACTCTCCTCCAAGGCTGGGTGGGCCTGGAGGCTGCATCATGCTGGCCAAACTCTGCCCCCTCACCCCTTTCTCTCAGGGCCATGGGTCCATCTCAGGCTGTCACCCTGACTCAGCAAGAGCCCTCCTGCTAGCAGGAGCTTAGGCTCAGCTCCTAGTGCCCCTCCCTGAGCTCCCACACCTCAGGGTGTCCCGCACAGTTGCTCAGAGCACCCTTTACACAGACCCTCTTTCTTTTGTGCTCGAGCCCACCAGGATGCCTGTCCCACTGCTCCCCGGCTGATGATGCCTCTTGCCTCCCAGGCCCAATTTCAGCCATGTTGCCCCAGTCAGGTCAGGTGGGGTCAGGTGTGCACCTGGCCCTGGCAGTATGCCCGGGGTCTGGGAGATGGATGGCATAGACACCACGGGGATCTGTCTGGTGTGTGAGGAGCAGTTGTCAGAGAAAGAGGGATATGGCCTGGGCACAAGAGCATCTCAGGGGTCTACACTGAGTCCAGCTCTTGAATCCTTCTAAAAGCAAATACCTGGCAGTCAATGTGGACCTGTGTCTATGTGCACAGGGGTGGAGGGCTCTGGAGCAAAATACACAGTTCCCATCAGATGTGCCCAGGCCTCCAGGGACCCCAAAATGCTCTGACCCCAGTCTGGTCAGCGAACCTCAGGAATCTCCTGACTTGGGGTCCTCCTCAGGGCTCCAGGGAGAGCCACGTTATCAGCTGAGGACCCAGCGGTTCCTGTCCCACCCAGCACTGCCCCTGCCCCACAGCCTGCCCACACCGCCCACTTACAGGATGTGCAGCCCCTCCCCGCAGCCCTGCAGCCCTTTCTCCAGGCCTGAGGACTGGCAGCCAGCCCACTCATTTGGTTCGTCTTGGCACCAGGCAATGACCATGATGTTCGAGGTGCAAGACCTGGCGGTGGCTTCACCAGCTACAGTCTCCCGCTGTGGCATGGTGTACCTGGAGCCCAGCATCCTGGGGCTCATGCCCTTCATCGAGTGCTGGCTGAGGAAGCTGCCTCCCTTGCTGAAGCCCTATGAGGAGCATTTCAAGGCCCTCTTTGTCAGCTTCCTGGAGGTGAGTGAGGCCACGGGTATGTCTGACCCTGGCAGGGCAGCAGGGCACTGTGGCTGCCAGCCATGAGAACTGGGTGCCTACTCCCTGCAGGAATCCATCTCCTTCGTTCGGTCCTCAGTGAAGGAGGTGATCGCCTCAACCAACTGCAACCTGACCATGAGCCTCCTCAAGCTGCTGGACTGCTTCTTCAAGCCCTTTCTGCCTAGAGAGGTACAGCCCTGAGAGTGGGGCTAGATGCACCTGGTCCCTCTCCCCACACTGCTCTCCTTGCTCTCTGGGGCCTGAAAGAGAGAATTGGATTGGTGCAACATGGTGCAACATGGACAAGACCACCTGTCCAATTGGCTGTAGAGAAACAAAGCTGTGTAGCAGAGGTCAAGACATGCCCCTGCCCCACTTCCTCAGGCCGCTTGATACTGTTCCTGTCTCAGCCTGATACTGTTCCCTTCATCCCCAGGGCCTCAAGAAAATACCCTCTGAAAAGCTGAGTCGCATCGTAGAGTTGATCGAGCCCTGGTTCATCTTCTCCCTGATCTGGAGCGTGGGTGCCACTGGGGACAGCAGTGGCCGCACCAGTTTCAGCCACTGGCTAAGGCTCAAGATGGAGAACGAACAGGTGAGAGCCGGCGGCCCCCAGGGACCAGGAGCCTCAGTCCTACTGGGCCTCACAGCCTGCTTCTCCTCCTGGTTCCCGGCAGCTGACTCTGCTTTTCCCAGAAGAGGGGCTGGTGTTCGATTACAGGCTGGAGGACGCGGGCATCAGTGGCACCAACGACAGTGAGGATGAAGAGGAGGAATACAAGCAGGTGGCCGCAGGCCCTCCCCAGAGACTGCACAGGGAGGGACCACTGGGTGGCTGCTGTTCCCGCAATGAATTATGGCCACACAGGGAGCCGTCACATTGATGGCCACCAGGTCTCAGGCAGCGGTTATTTGCATCATCTCATGAATCCTCATGGCCCTGTAGAGTGGTTATTATTGTGCTTGTTTTCCAGATGTGGCAGAGCTGTACTTGAACCTAGGGCTGGGCTAAGAGGGGAGACATTCGAGTACCTCCCTTTCCAGCCATATGCACTGCCTCTTCCACATTGATGCGGAGCCCAGGGACTGGCCACCTCAGTTCCACTTAAAAGCCCCATTTTCCCAGAGACTGGGCTCCCGAGGGCTGGGGGGCAAGCTCTTGAAGCCTGCTTCAGTGTCCTCATCGCTACTATCAGCTAGCAAGGGCTCCATGAGCTCACCCTCATCCCAAGGTCAAGACCCCAGCCCAGGAGGACAGAGGTGGAAAGGCGTCTGCAGAGACCTGTCCATTACTGTGCAGCGTCCTGCTGGGGGCTCCCAGGGCACATTTGGGTCTAACGTTTAAGACTGTGCCCAGTGGGATGCATTGGTTTGGCCATAGTGATCCCCCCATCAGGGGACGTCTGCAAGCTGGGTCAGGGCTGCTGTGAGTGAAGGGATTTGTGCAGGCGGGGACAGTGTTGGGAAGACTGGACCTAGTGGCCTCTCAGCTTCCAGCTGACACCAGTGCCCATGGTTCTGGCCCCCACATTTCTCGGGTAGCCTGAAACTAAACAGAAAACCCCTTTGCATTCTGGGTTGTTCAATTCTCGGAGCTTCTCCTTTCTGCAGAGACTCAGGGCCTGGCAGTCCTTAGGGAGCCCCCAACCTGGGCAGGGAGAGCCCTCTTATGCAGTTGTGCTCAGAGTCCCCATTCTTGGCTGTTTGTGCTGGGAGTCCCCCTCCCCATGCAGAAAGCAGGGCACAGGACTTTCCATTTCCGCCGGAAGCAGCCCTGCACCTGGACCCGCTTGCCAAAGCCCAGCCGTGCAGCTCCTGGCCCTTCTGCACTTGGCCATGGGGCCGCAGCCAGGAGTGGGGCAGGGAGGGGTTCCAGGCCCACTGCTGAGCCACCTATGATTCCAGGTTGCCTGGGTGAAGTGGATGGACTCCTCAGCTCCATTCACCATGGTACCAGACACCAACTACTGCAACATCATTGTGCCCACCATGGACACCGTGCAGATGTCCCATTTACTGGACATGCTGCTCACCAACAAGAAGCCCGTGAGCACCCCCCCAGGCCCTGCCTCCACTGTCCCCAAGGCCTATATTGGGGGTTGACCAGCCTCCCACATGGATGCAGGGGCAGCTCCTCCTGTGCACCAGGCCCACCGCATGCTCCTGTGCCATCCCCGCTCTGCCAGGTGCTGTGCATTGGGCCAACAGGCACGGGGAAGACGCTCACCATCTCTGACAAGCTCCTCAAGAACCTGGCACTGGATTACATCAGCCACTTCCTCACCTTCTCAGCCCGCACTTCAGCCAACCAGACCCAGGACTTCATTGACAGCAAGCTGGACAAGAGGCAGGGCACCCCTCCCTCCTTCCTCACCCCTGCATCCTCCCAGCCTGGCCGATCCAGCTGCTGTCCCACCTCTCCACCAAATTATGCTCCTGGGTTTGCCAGGAACCTCCCAGGGGGAGCTGACAGCCCCCCAATGGGCCCAGGGTTCCCTCACAGACTGCTCCAGAGCCTTCCCTGTATCAAAAATTCCTACAAAGCCAGTCAGCGAGTGGGTGCTCGCCCTGGCTGTGCCCTTGGACAGGGCCCTGGGTCTGTCTGTGAGAAGCCTGTTGTCCATCTGCCTGGGAGGCGAGACTCACTTTGAGGGAGCTCAGACTCAGGTCAGCCTGTCCCAGCTGTCCCAGGACACTCAGAACAAGGATGAGGGTGGGTCAAGGCATCTAGCAATTTGGAGGAGGCTAAAATTTAGCAAGGGCTTCCCAGAGGCAAAGCTGCCACCCGTTCGCCCCTGGATTCTCAGAGGACCTGGTGCCTGTGGGTGCTGGGCTCACACAGCCCCTCCCCTCAGGCGGAAGGGTGTGTTTGGACCACCTCTGGGGCGCAACTTTATCTTCTTCATCGATGACCTGAACATGCCGGCCCTGGAGACCTACGGTGCACAGCCACCCATCGAGCTGTTGCGCCAGTGGATGGACCACGGCGGCTGGTACGACCGCAAGATCATTGGTGAGTGTGGCCGGCCTGGCTCACAGGGCAAGGGCTACGCGTGCTGTGCAGGGGCACAGGAGGCACAGCACTGAAGGCCTACAATACTTTAAGGCACCCACAAAAATGTTTTAATTTCTCTTAAAATTAAAGGGGAGGAGGGGGGCCGGCTGGGGGAGGGGCGGAGAGACGCCGCCGCCACGGCTGCCGCAGCCTCTGGAAGCCTGGAAAAGGGGAAGCGAGAGCAAGTGAATGTCTCAGTCCCCAGGTGGCGGTGGTGGCCGCGGGGGCGCGACGGCGGGGCGGGGGCGCTGCTGCTGCGGGGGCAGGAAGCGGCAAGGGCGGTGGCGGCCCGCTCCAGCCATGCCGAATAAAACAAGAAGGAGAAAGAATCACCAAAAGCAGGGAAGAGTGGAAAAAGTTCAAAAGAAGGACAAGACACAGTAGAATCAGAGCAAATTTCCGTCAGGAAAAACAGCCTTGTTGCTGTCCCGTCTACAGTGTCTGCTAAAATAAAAGTACCCGTCTCTCAGCCCATAGTGAAGAAAGACAAACAGCAAAATTCTTCAAGGTTTAGCGCAAGCAGTAATAGAGAACTTCAAAAACTACCATCCTTAAAAGATGTTCCTCCTGCTGATCAAAAGAAGTTTTTTATCCAGAAGTTATGTCAGTGTTGCGTCCTTTTTGACTTTGTTTCTGATCCACTAAGTGAACTAAAGTAGAAGGAATTAAAACGAGCTGCTTTAAGTGAAATGGTAGAATATATCACCCATAATTGGAATGTGATCACAGAGCCTGTTTACCCAGAAGTAGTCCATATGTTTGCAGTTAACATGTTTCGAATATTACCACCTTCCTCCAATCCTACGGGAGCAGAATTTGACTCAGAGGAAGATGAACCAACGTTAGAAGCAGGCTGGCTTCATCTACACTTATTTATGAATTTTTCTTAAGATTTTTAGAGTCTGCAGATTTCCAATCTAATATAGCGAAGAAATATATTGATCAGAAGTTTGTATTGCAGCTTTTAAAGCTCTTTGACAGTGAAGATCCTCAGGAGAGAGATTTTCTTAAAACCACCCTTCACAGAATCTATGGGAAATTCCTAGGCTTGAGAGCTTACATCAGAAAACAGATAAATAATATATTTTATAGGTTTATTTATGAAACAGAGCATCATAATGGCATAGCAGAGTTACTGGAAATATTGGGAAGTATAATTAATGGATTTGCCTTACCACTAAAAGAAGAACACAAGATTTTCTTATTGAAGGTGTTACTACCTTTGCACAAAGTGAAATCTCTTGAGTGTCTACCACCCCCAGCTGGCATACTGTGGAGTGCAGTTTTTAGAAAAGGACAGCACCCCCACAGAACCAGTGGTGATGACACTTCTCAAATGCTGGCCAAAGACTCACAGTCCAAAAGAAGTAATGTTCTTAAACAAATTAGAAGCGATTTTAGATGTCATTGAACCATCAGAATTTGTGAAGACCATGGAGCCCCTCTTCCGGCAGTTGGCCAAATGTGTCTCCAGCCCACACTTCCAGGTGGCAGAGCGAGCTCTCTATTACTGGAATAATGAATACATCATGAGTTTAATCAGTGACAATGCAGCGAAGATTCTGCCCATCATGTTTCCTTCCTTGTACCACAACTCAAAGACCCATTGGAACAAGATAATACATGGCTTGATATACAACGCCCTGAATCTGTTCATAGAGATGGAACAAAAGCTGTTTGATGACTGTACACAACAGTCCAAAGCAGAGAAACTAAAAGAGAAGCTAAAAATGGAAGTACGAGAAGAAGCATGGGTTAAAATAGAAAATCTAGCCAAAGCCAATCCCCAGGTACTAAAAACGAGAGTGACATGAAAACGTCCAGGGTTACTTGAAATGTTTTTATAAGATAGGACTATGTCTTCACCATGGGGGCGGGGGGTGGGGCTCGATTTCACTAACGTTGTATATGAAAATGTCTGCAATAAAAAGTACTTTTGAACTTTGTAAAAAAAAAAAAAGTTAAAGGAGAGGAGCATGAATTTTTAGGGCAAAGAAAAATTTTCCTGTGTAATATTGATGTATTTGTCTTTATTCCAGTACTGTTCTAAAGTATAATTTTGAATTTTTGTATGGAGAAGGGGCCACAAAGGTCATAATGCAGCCCTGGCCAGGGCCCTTCCTGACTTCCTGCCCCTACTCCAGGTGCCTTCAAGAACCTAGTGGACATCAACTTTGTCTGTGCCATGGGCCCCCCGGGTGGAGGCAGGAACACCGTCACCCCGCGGCTGATGCGTCACTTCAACTACCTGTCTTTCGCTGAGATGGACGAGGTCAGCAAGAAACGCATCTTCTCCACCATCCTGGGCAACTGGTTGGGTGAGTATTGGTGGGGGTGAGCATGGACAAAGGCAGAAGCCCAGGCCAGGGAGGCCACACCAAGGACAACTGGGTGGCCACCAGAAAGGGTGGAGTGGCCAAACCATGACCGCAACCCTGGGTTCACCTCTCACTCAGCTGTGTGATCTTTGGCAGCTCATGAATCTCTCTGAGCCTGTTTCTTCATCTGTACCTACCATTCCAGGTCGTGAGGGTTAAGTATGATATTGCATGTAGAGCACCTAGCATGAAGCCTGGCACGTGGTGATTGCTGGATGTATGATGCACACAGATATGCACTCACTCACATACATACATACGTATACGTTAGTACTTGCCCAGAAACTCTGGGGAAGGCATGTTACTTTTGTAAATCAGGAAAAGCCACAAGATAGGATGGACGGAGTGTCTCTGAGCCTTTATGGGGTTTGGGGAAAAGCTTACCCCAAGATGCTGTTTCCCCCACCATCTCACCTGGCCAGGGTGAGCAGCAAGAGGTCCACCTAACCCTGAGCCCCGTGTTTCTCCCTCCATCCTCTAGATGGACTCCTTGGAGAAAAAAGCTACCGGGAGCGTGTGCGTAAGTGTGGGCCTGGGCGGGAATGGGGCACTGGTTCCAGGAGGAGCCCTGGGCTCTGGTTGGGTGTGTTGAGGCTGCGACCAGGCGCCGTGGTGAACCATCCTCAGGTTCATGCAGGGACCTTGGGCCACTAGGGTGCCAGAGCGAAGGTTGACACAGGCACTGGCTGCCCCATAGGCTCATTCACCCATTCTTAGAGCCCTTCCATGCCTGCGTTAGTGTCCAGCTGATGATAGATGCAAATTAAATGCAAAATGAATGCATAAATAAGGGAATCCAACAAACTCCCACCCTGTGTGAAGAATCAGAACTCCAGGGAGCAGGTGTGCACAGGAAAGCCGGGAGTGGTTTGTGCGGGGCAGGCATCGTGGTGAATCTGCCCGTCGTCGCGGCAAGGCGGCTGACCACTGCAGTCCCTGTCCTTGCCCAGGCCTGCCTCCTCACCCTGCCTTCAGCTGAAAGAGGCTGTCGAGAAACAGCTCCCTTTTGGGTCTGCACCCACCTGCTTACCTGCGCCCTGCCTTCCCTCCTGTGGCTGGGAACGGACTGCTGCTCCACAGCAAAGCCCAGCCTCCTCCTGGGCCTGCCTGGGAATGTGGCACCCCTCTTCCCCGCCAACACCAGTGCTCCCTTCGCCACTGGGCCTTCCACAAACAAGCCCCATTCTCCATCTCAACCACCAAATGCAAAACAGCCTCTCTGGGCCCCCTTCCCACCTGCCCCAGCCCGTCACTCTACCTCTCTGCTCACCTTGATAGCAAAACTCCTCCAAAGCATTGTCTTTCCCGCTGCACCCGCCCTCCCCTCCCACTTTCCTGTGAATGCACCTCTCACCCTCTGAGAGTTCTTGTCACCAGTTGCCTTCTGTGGCCAGACCAGCGGTCAGCCCTTGTTCTCGCCTTCCCAGGGGTCAGTAGTGCTGGCCGGCAGACATCCCCTTCCTGCCACGGGCTTCTCTCAGGCCTCCCCCATCCCTGGCTGCCCATTCTCGGCTGGACTGGGGCTTGGTCTCCAGCCTCCTCTCCCTCCAACCACACTCTCCTGAGACAGTCCCATCCCGCCTCTGACGGGGAAAACCATCTTTGTGCTGGCAACTCCCAAGTCTACCTCCTCAGCCCAGACCTCTCCCATGAATGCCTGATTCCACATCTTCCCTGGGATGTCCACAGGGTATCTCAGGCCAAACCTGTCCAGAGCCAAACTCCCGAGTACCCCGGTCCCCGCACTCTTCCCATCTCAGGCAATGGCAGCTCCATCCTTCCAGGTGCTCCCAGCAAGACGGGGTCTTGGCGCCATCCTCCATCCCCCCTTCCCTCACCCCACAGCTCACCTGTCAGGAGGTCCCATAGGTTCTCCCTTGAGAACCCATCCCAATCGGCCACTGTTCACCACCCTGTCCTTGCCCACCCAGCCAGTGCTGTAGCCCCGCCATGGTCTCCTGGCAGCTGCCTTCACCTGCCTAAGGTCTATCTTCCGCTTGGGGCCACAGGGACCCATGAAATCATTCCATCAGTCCACACTCCTCCTCTCTCACCCATCGCATCCAGGCAAGAGCCCGGGTCTTGACAATGGTAGGCAAAGCCATCCTCAGTTCGCCCTGCCTCATCCTCTGATCTCACCGCCTCCTGCTCATCCCCTCATTGCTGGTCCTTAAGATGCCAGGCCTGCTCCCACCTCCAGGCCTTTGCCCTTGCTGTCCCCTCTGCCTGGGACAATTTTTCTCCAGTTATGTGAAAGCTTGCATCTCACTTCTCTGCTTGACCCCCCTTCCTCAGTGAGGCCTCCCCCAGCATTCCGTAAAATCGCCCCCAAGCCCAACTCTGGCCCTCCCCGGACCCCTCTCCTGCTGCAGGGCTGCCCGTAGCCCTTGCCACCTATTTGCTGTCTTTGTTACTTGCTAATCCACTCATTGTCGTCCTTACCAACAAGAGTGTCAGCTTGAGGGCAAGGAGTGTGTCTGTTTGGGTCACTCTGTGCCCAGTGCCTGTGTCAACAGACAGGCCCCTCTCCTGCCCTTTCTTTCCATTTTCTCCACTTCTCCGCCAAGTTTCCACTGACAGAATTTGGGTTCCCAGCACAGAATTGGATAGTTTTCAAAGAACAGGCCGATAGGTGTATGAGTGGTAAAAATGCAGGCTGAGGGGTAGGCAGCCCCGAAGTGGGTGGTAAGCCCTCAAGGTCGGGGGTGTGCTCCAAGCCTCCCCACGCCCACTCCGGCATCTTGAGGCCTACGTGGATCATGAGACCCTCCCCAAGTGTGGCTCAGAGGTGGAATGTTCAGGTTTGGGCACAGCCTCCATAGGACAAGGCAGTAATGGCCCCGCCCAGCACTGACCCCACGAGCGCCCCCAGTTCCATGATGAGTCCCAGTGCTCCGACAGGCCATGTCAGCATAAAGATATAAGGGGTGCAGAGCAGGAGATTCTTCACCTCCCCCAAGCTGGGGGCATCCGAGATGGGGCCAAAGGGTACGTGGAATCCAAGCCTGAAGGCTGGGGAAGGGGCTTGGTGGGGGGCACAGCACAGCAAAGGCAAGGAGGTCAGGACCTGCAGAGGCGGCAGAGGGAGCTCCTGGCATGTGACCCAGGCCATTCTCCTATTCCCCCAGCTGGGGCCCCCCACATTGCCCACTTCACGGAGCCCCTTGTGGAAGCCACCATCATGGTGTATGCAACCATCACCTCCCAGCTGCTGCCCACTCCAGCCAAGTCCCACTACACCTTCAACCTGAGGGACCTCTCCAAGGTCTTCCAAGGCATGCTCATGGCTGACCCGGCCAAGGTCGAGGTGAGGACCAGGCAGGCACCCTCCCCAGTGCCCACACTGCTCTCCGCATCCTCCCCAGCCCCACCAATTTCAGGCCTTCCTGCCCAAACAGGCCCTGAGTGGGGCTTCCTGGAACATGGAGGTGCCAGGCCCTCCAGAGCCCAGCCTTGGTGCAGCTGAGCCCAGTCTTGTTAGTTGAACCCACACCTGGAATGGTGGCTGAGACGGGGATCACATGAGAGAGCCAGGGCAAGACGAGGGAGAAAGAGGGCTTCTGGTTTGGGCCCTGCATGTGAGAACGCTTGAGGGACAGTGAGCAGGGTGCCCTCTGGGAACCAAAAACCCCAGGTGGAAGGAGGGGGAAGTGTAGCAGGGAGCCAGGTGTCAGGGGCACTGGCAGGGGTGGGTCCAGGCACTAGGCACGGTGGGGGGCCAACATGGAGCTTAAATTTGTTCTGAGGGTGTAATGAGCCGTGTGGGTGGGCGGGGGACAGACCTGCACTTTGGAATGGGACTGAGCGGCCAGTGTGTGTGTAGCCCAGGCTAAGGAGATGGGGTGAGCAGGACAGAAGCTGACCCTGGCCTTGTAGCCACGCTTGTAGCCAACAAAGTCTACAGAAAAGGCTGGGAGCTTCCGGAGGGCAGTCCTGCCACCCAGGGAGATGCAGGGAAGCTGGGACAGAGGCGGCAGCTGAGATGGAGAGAGGGGGCAGGTTCAGAGGAGATTGGTGGGTCATGTCAGTGTGGCTTGGTGGGTGGTTAGATGTGGGGTGTTGGGAAAGTGTTAGGAGCATCAAGCATCCCTCCCAGGTTTGGGGTTAGGGGAGCGACAGGGGGCTAAAAGGTGGAAGTGAGGTGCTTGTGACAAGCTAGCAGAGCCAGACACCCAGAGGGCACTTGGCCAGCTGGACTCGGAGCTGAGGCATGAGGAGGCCCAGGCAGCACTGTGCAATCCACCCCATCCTCAGCCAGCCAGCAGTTGCACTTGCCAGCAGCCCCCACACACTGTCCCTGGGCCATGGTGGGAGAGCCAGGCTCCAGTCAGGGCCCCAGGAACTGGGGCCCACCCTCCCTTGCCTGGTGGTTTGAGAGATAGCTGAGGGCTTGGGGGCCAAGGACAGGCACCGATGCTGGGGCTACTGCAGGACCAAGTGCAGCTGCTGCGACTGTGGTATCACGAGAACTGCCGCGTGTTCCGGGACCGACTGGTGAATGAGGAGGACCGCAGCTGGTTCGACCAGCTCCTCAAGCGCTGCATGGAGCAGTGGGAGGTGACCTTCAACAAGGTCTGCCCCTTCCAGCCCATTCTTTACGGGGACTTCATGTCACCAGGCTCCGATGTCAAGTCCTACGAGCTCATCACCAGTGAGAGTAAGGTGAGGGGCCCAGGCAGGCGCCCTGCCCCTGGTGGGGTCCTCTTCAATCTGCCTCCCTGGGGCCCAGGCCCCCTGCAGTCACCACTAACAGACTACCACACTATAACCAGGGGGCCAGGACGCGGGGTAAGACAGCCAGCTCCAGGAGACTCCCGGCATGCCCTTGCTCTCTCTGGGTACCGGTTTCTTCACTTATCTCTGAAAACCAGCCTGTGGTCCAGCTGAGATGGGCTCTAGACACAGGGGCAATCATCCCTCCACAAGGGGCCGGGGGCGGGGCCTGGGGCCATGGGTCTCAGTCAGGACCCCAGGGAGGCAGGGAAGAGGCCTCACTTGGTGGCCCCAGTGCTGCATGGCTGAAGCAGGCCTCCTGACAGTTTCTCTCCACACGCATCCTCTCCTAATTCCAAGAGCTCCCACCAGGGTCACAGGGTCAGCACACCCTGGTAAGCCCCAGAAGGAGCAGGCAGGGCTCTGACCCAACTCTCAGGCCTCCATGTGTCCCTGGGTCAGGCCTCGTGCAGGGGGGCCTGGCTTCTTAAGGCCCAGCGTCCCCACCATGCACAGGAGGAACAGGGTATGCTGTGGCAGGTGAGCTCCCCGTCAGGGAGGGCCCCAGTACACGGTGCTCTGATCAGCCGAGCCCATGATTGGAGTCGCCCCAAAAGTGACAGCAAGCAAGTTCCTACAAGGGACTGCCCCCAAGCCATCCCTAGATTGGGCTGGTTGAGATTCCAAAGAAAGAAGCATTGAATTACAGGGTAATTAGTCCAGAGCATTTATTAGGGGAACTCACATACAGGGGAGAGCAGAGATGTTCTAGCTCAGTATGTGTGCAACAAGGGAGTCATATGAGTTATGGAGTTCACATGAGGACTGAAGGATTTGGGTGGGCTGGGGCTAGCTTCTATGTGTTTAACAATATGCTTGATCCCCCCGTGGGTTTTATTTTTGCTTTTGTTTTTGTTTGTGTGTGTGTGTATGTGACTGGGTCTTGCTCCATCACCTAGGCTGGAGGGCAGTGGCATGAACTTGGCTTACTGCAGCCTCTACCTCATGGGCTCTATCAGTCGTCCCACCTCAGCGTCCTGAGTAGCTGGGACCACAGGCACGCACCACCACGCCCAGCTAATTTTTATTTTTATTTTTTATTTTTTGGTAGAGGCAGAGTTTCGCCATGTTGCCCAGGCTGGTGTTGAACTCCTGGGCTCAAGTGATCCTCCCGCCTTGGCTTCCCACAGTGCTGGGATTACAGGCGTGAGCCACCGCGCTAGGCCAATCCCTCAGTGTTTTGAGCAACAATCTAAGCAAGTTTATCAGTGTCTGGGAATGTTCAGCTTGGGCTCGAGCCTGCAGGGGAAACATGCAGCTGGCCGGGTCACAGGTGGTCAAGGCACCTGTGCTTCTCAGTCAGGACAGAGAAGAAAGCGGGTGGGTGGGGGGAATCGGGGAGACCCTACAGTAAGAGAGACCCCGCCTTCCCCATCCTCGCCTTGGTGCACAGATGATGCAGGTGATAGAGGAGTACATAGAGGACTACAACCAGATCAACACGGCCAAGCTGAAGCTGGTCCTCTTCATGGACGCCATGAGCCACATCTGTCGCATCAGCCGCACCCTACGCCAGGCGCTGGGCAATGCACTCCTGCTGGGCGTGGGTGGCAGCGGCCGCAGCTCCCTCACAAGGCTCGCCTCGCACATGTGAGCGCCTCCAGGGCGTGCTGGGCAGTGGGCGGCCAGGGCTGGCTGGTCGGTTTGACTGACCCATGCTTTTGCACAGTGGTAGAGGCCTCGGGCAACCCTGAAGTAGGCCCGTGCAGCCTACAGGCTTCTGGAAAGACTAGTAGCAGGATCTGGGCTCCAGGGAGAGGCAGCAGCAGTGCCTGTGGTGCTGTAGGGAGGGAAGTGTGGTGCAGGCATCCCAGAGGGATTACTAGGGGAGGTGGCCAGGGCTGCTCTCAGAATCAGAGCTGGGAGGATGGAAGGGAAGGGCATTTGGACTGAGGGAACAACTTGGGCAAAGGTCTGAAGGCAAAAAAGCAGGTTCAGGGCCTGAAGGGTCTGCAGGTCTGCCCAGGATGGGAGCAGAATTCCAGGTGGTCAGGGTAGGGTGTGGTCACCCACCACCCTTCAGCGTCTGGCCCCAAGTCCCTGGCATGCTTCAACCCAAACTTCTGCCTCCAGGGCCGAGTACGAGTGCTTCCAGATTGAACTATCCAAGAACTACGGCATGTCCGAGTGGCGAGATGATGTGAAGAAGGTCCTGCTCAAGGCGGGCCTACAGAACCTACCCATCACCTTCCTCTTCTCAGACACCCAGGTGCCACTGCCACAGCAGAGGGCAGGGCTCGGGGGGGCTGGACACAACCCCATCTGAGCATAGCATCCCGGAAGGTGGCCAGTCCTTCATGCCCAGCTCACAGTCAGGGCAGATCTCAGAAGAGACCACCAGGACCAGGTGGGGCCACAGATGGGCAGGTTGAGAGCATGAGACCAAACCCAACCTCTCAGAGCTAAGGTGGGGTATAGATCATCACTCATGCCCCGAAGGTAAAGAAGGCCCTGGTAGCATAGCACCCCACTCACTGGCCAATGGTGTCCCACCTCAAGGACCACAGGGCTTGTCCCCAAAGTGCTAGGGACCCATGGCTTCCCTGCTCCCTCTTGGGATGGCATGAGGCTTCTCCCTAGATCTCTGAGAGGTTGTCTAGGGTCACACGACAGAACAGGCTTCAACCTGGCTGGTGGTCAGGGTTGGGCCCAGGGGCCCAGCCTGAAGCCCCTGAATGTGCCCCATCCTAGACAAAGGCCCCTCTGCTCCCAGCCCTGTCCCAACCCCAGAGCTCCCTTCAAGGCAGCCACTGTGAGTCAGGAAAGGGAGGATGCCATCTAACACAAGCCAGGCCCAGGCTGTATGAGATGGGCAAGGACCTATCTCTGCCCGTGGCCATGGTTTCCTCTTGTGAGTAAACTGAGACATGGAGAGGGGCGAAGAGGAAGATGCCACAACCCCCAGTGAGGACCCAGTGTCCTGCCACAACCCAGTGGTTTTCAGAGCTTCTACATGGGGGCAAGTCCTAGACTATGACTACAGGCTAGTCTGTTATGAGGTCACTTTTGTGACTCTGGGCTTCTCTGAGCCTTAGTGGTACAGTCTGTCAAATGGAGCTGTTGTGAAGGTCCAGCGAGACTGTGGTCATATAGTCCAACATGCAGGGGCTTAGCTCCCCACTCCTTCACCCCTCCCCAGATCAAGAACGAATCCTTCCTGGAAGATATCAACAACGTCCTAAACTCTGGTGACATTCCCAATCTGTATACTGCGGACGAGCAGGACCAGATCGTCAGCACCATGCGGCCCTATATCCAGGAGCAGGGCCTACAGCCCACCAAGGCCAACCTCATGGCTGCTTACACAGGGCGTGTGCGCAGCAACATCCACATGGTGCTGTGCATGAGGTACAGGCAGCTGTCGCCAGGCTGCGCTGGGGCAGCGGAGCTGGGTGTGTACATGGGCTGGCCCCGGGGACACTGGATGCCATGCGCTGGGGCCTGAGATGAGGAGACGCGGCCCTGGGCCTGGCCATCATGCCATTGGGCCCAGGCTGCTGTGCTGCTGTGTCCTGGCTGCCATGCCACAGGGCTGTGCAAGGGCCCTGGGTCCTGGGCTCCTGGGGTCGTTGGTCAGTGTCTCTGGACCTCATTTGGATTCCTGACTTTCCAGCCCCATCGGAGAGGTCTTCCGAGCTCGTCTGAGGCAGTTTCCCTCCCTGGTCAACTGCTGTACCATCGACTGGTTTAACGAGTGGCCGGCAGAAGCCCTGAAGTCTGTGGCCACCGTGTTCCTCAATGAGATCCCAGAACTGGAATCCTCCCAGGAAGAAATCCAAGGACTGGTGGGTGTCTTGCTGAAGCTCAGGCCCTTGGGGAGACCTGTTTAGCTTGGGGCATGGGCTCAGGGTCACCAAGGTCTGGGTGAGATTCCCAGGCCCACCACCGAGGGTAAGCTTTTGGTCAGGCTGTGTTTCCTGTCTAAGCCTCCATTTCCTCATCTGTAAATGCGCAGAGCCACAGGTCATCACAGTGACTAGGGTGCTGCGCACACAGCTGCACGGGTACTGCTTCCCTTATTCCCTGAGGGCCCCATGGTGCTTTCTTCCAAGAACCCCCTGATAGAACTCCAGAGATCACAGATGGGGGTGTAGATTTGCCTGGTCCAGCCTGAGACGGTGACAGTCCCAACATTTCCCTACCAGCTGTGCTGAGGCCTTGGGCCCTGTCTCCCCCTAGATCCAGCCTCTGAGGGGGAACCACCTCAGGGCTCTCAGAGAGAGGCAGGTCATGGGGGCTGTGAAAAGACCACTGGGCCAAGAGCTGGGAGACAGCTAGGTCCAAGTTCAAAGCCAGCCCAGCCCTTGACAGCTATGTGAACTTGAACTAACCCCTGGACTTCCCTGGGCCTGGGGTTTTTCATCTGCACAAAAGGTGACCTCGACCTGGAGGTCGTGAGGCTCATAGAGTGAATGTGAGAGGCATGGAGGTTCCTGCTGTGGCCCCCTCCTCGGCCCAGGTTGCAGTGGCTGTGGGCACCCAGTCCCTGTCTTTCCTGGGGCCTCTACCAGGCCGGCATCCATGGTCTTCCTCCCCCAGATCCAGGTCTGTGTGTACATCCACCAGTCGGTGTCCAAGAAGTGCATCGAGTACCTGGCAGAGCTGACCCGCCACAACTATGTGACCCCCAAGAGCTACTTGGAGCTGCTTCATATTTTCTCCATCCTCATCGGGCAGAAGAAACTGGAGCTGAAAACTGCCAAGAACCGCATGAAGAGCGGCCTCGACAAGGTGGGCCCAGGCGAGTCCCCGTGGACAAGGTCAGCTGCCTGCAGGCTGCCTGCTCACTCAGCCCTGACTCCAGGGTGACACCATGCTCCGCCTTTCAAACTGCAGCCCACGACGTTGAAGTGGGTGGCTTCCCCCCTCATCAAAAGAACAAAAGTTGCCAGTCAAGGGCCAGGCCAAAGCGTGGCACCCCACAGATATTTGGGGGACTGATGCCCTTCCTCTGGGGTCGGCTGGGCAATGTGGGGGCCACCGAAGCTGCCGGCCACAGCTTCTCTCTCATGAATGAGGGCGGCCCAGCAGGCCCTGTGCTCTCTCTGTCCCTGCCACACCTGTTTTCCTGTCTCTGCCCTGACCCCTAGCTGCTGCGCACTTCTGAGGATGTAGCCAAGATGCAGGAGGACCTGGAGAGTATGCACCCCCTGCTGGAGGAGGCTGCCAAGGACACCATGCTCACCATGGAGCAGATCAAGGTTGGGGTGCTCCCGAGCCCCTCCCCAATGCCTGACTCTGAGGAAGCTCGGCACCCCCACACAGGCGCAGGCTCGCTAGCTGCCTGGCCACTGCAAGTCATCTGGCCTCCGTGTGCCCCAGCTTCCTCAATCAGTAGCCATCCATTTTGTCATGGAATGTTTGCCCAGTAGCTCTTCTATGCCAGGCACTGCACTGGGCAGGGGGTCGGTGAGGAGCAAGGCAGAGGAATCTGAACGATTCCAATAACCACAACCCGGAGTCTGCCCAGCACAGGGCCCCATGTTGGAGGGCCCGATCCTCATGGCAGACCTTGCAGTTTGTGTATTCCTTATGACAGCTTTCTGGAAGGAATAGTCAAGTGTCCTGCTCGGCAAAGTCAGTGCATTGCAAAACTTCCCAGTAGATAGAAAGAAGCTAGAAGAAAGGCAGGAGGAGGGTCTTTCTCTGTCTTGCATGAAGGTGCCTGCAGGCTTAGGGGGCCCTGCCTGTGGGGCACTTACATCCAAACTTGTAAGGCCCCAAGCCACACGCCAGGCCCATGGTGAGCACTCAGGAGGTGGAAGGGGCTCCTGGTATTCCCAGACCTCTCTGGCCTGTCACAGCTGGAGGGCCCTTGGAGAACAGGGCACCCCAACTCTCCTTCCATCTGGGGAGACTAAGATGCAGAGAAGAGAAAAGGGGGGAGGACATCCCTATGTCTCCCATCCCCAGGTGGATACGGCCATCGCCGAGGAGACCCGGAATTCAGTGCAGACAGAGGAGATCAAAGCCAATGAGAAGGCCAAGAAGGCACAAGCTATTGCTGACGATGCCCAGAAGGACCTGGACGAGGCGTTGCCAGCCCTGGATGCGGCTCTGGCCAGCCTGCGCAACCTCAACAAGAACGATGTGACCGAGGTGGGCAGCAGGGCATCTCCTGGCATTCCCTCTCATATGCCTCTGTCCTCAAGCCTTCCCTCTGCACATCCCCTGGGACCCAGCAGCCTGCCCCACCCTCCTCATTCCAGCCCCCAGGGCCCAAGTAGGAGCATGGGCACCTGGGTTGGGGAACAGAAGGAACTGTGGGCTGAGGCCAACCTCGGTGGATCTCTGGATATGCCCGTGTCCTGTGGTAGTAGAGACTTGGTTGGTAGGGCCAACCTTTCTGGCAGGGTCCCTGCCGAGGGGTGCCCACTGGGTCTGAGTCTTCCCCACTTGGTGGCTGGGCCTGCAGGTACGTGCCATGCAGCGGCCACCCCCGGGTGTGAAACTGGTCATAGAAGCTGTGTGCATTATGAAAGGCATCAAGCCCAAGAAGGTGCCTGGAGAAAAGCCAGGCACCAAGGTGGATGACTACTGGGAGCCTGGCAAGGGGCTGCTGCAGGACCCGGGCCACTTCCTTGAGAGCCTCTTCAAGTTTGACAAGGTAAGCATGCCAGGCACCCTGGCCAGCCAGCGAGTGAGGACAAGGCCCGCCCGGCAGGACAGTGAAGCTGGAGAGGAGCTTGCCCCACCACATCATCTGCATGTGCAGTGGCCTCTGTCCTGTCTCTCTCTGTCCACCTCCACACCACCAGCACCACACAAGGGCCCGAGGGCCACACAGATGGCTGGAACCAGAGCCTGGCCCCAAGGGGTTCTCAGTCTGGTAGGGTGACAGACCCACCCACAGAAAGGTATTGAGGAAATTGGGACCTGGACAGGCTCCTGTGCCCCATAGGAAGTCACCCATGGTCATTCCAAGTCTCCACAGCCTGGGGATTCTCTTTCATGCCCTTTCATCCCAGAAACCCCCAGGCCTTGGCCAAGACCTTCACCATCTGCCCAGTCATCCCCTCTCTCCCTCAGCCTTAGCACCTGGGGCCCAGCTTCCCTGTCTGTCTCTGGGTTTCTCTGTCCATCTGGGGCCATCAGTATCCTTGGGCACGTGGTCTCTCGGGGGCTGTGCCATGGTTAAGTAGCCTGGAGCTCATAACCTCTTTGGGGGTTTCCTCTGCATCCCAGAAATTAGCTAGGGGGCAGCTGCCTGTCCCACACAGGCCACCATCCACTGTGTGTCAGTATCAGGCCCTGGGCACATCCCACACCCATTTAAGCAGCATCTGGACCCCTTATGGGCTACCCCATTCCTCCTTCTCCTCTTCCATCAGACAGGAAACTAGAGGCCCCACAGGCCTAATCAAGTCCCTCTGAGAGAAGCGCCCAAGTCAGGAGTGCTCAAGGCTGGTGCTTAGGCTCCCCTGGGCCCAAGCTCTGACCCCTGGGAGCTCGTGAGCAATGCAAATACCTGGGCCTATTATGAACTACAGGGCTGGACTCTCCCTGGGTGGGACAAGAGCCCCAGGGGGTGGGGTAGGCCCTTGAGGTTAAACATGAGCCTGGTGGGCCTCAGAACCATTCACTCATCCCAATACCTGCTGATGGTCTTGCTTTCAGGAAGTAGCCCTTGCCTTTAAATGAGCTTTTAAGTGGGGTCTTGTGTGTTATGTGCTCTTGAGACTGCCGCAGTGTCCCAAGGAAGACCTCCCTAATCATATGATCTAAAATCCTGGGGACCAAAGATTACCTTCTGGCCAGCCTTTCTGGGCTATGTTGTTCCTTAAGGAGAAAGAATCTGTACTGAGGCCTGCACAGGGCATAAAAGCCAGGGTGTCCCTCAGCAGGCCCCACATCCCAGCAGAGCCCTTCCCCTGTCACCCTTGAGAAGCAGCCTCTTGAGACCCAGGCTTCCCACCTCAGGACAACATTGGGGATGTGGTGATCAAAGCCATCCAGCCGTACATCGATAATGAAGAGTTCCAGCCAGCCACCATTGCCAAGGTGTCCAAGGCTTGCACCTCCATCTGCCAGTGGGTGCGCGCCATGCACAAGTACCACTTTGTGGCCAAGGCCGTGGAGCCCAAGCGGGTGAGGGCTGAGTGGAGCTGGTGGGGGAGGGCTCCCCTCCCGGGGGTACTTGGCGAGCTAATCCTGCGCCCTCCGCCCCACAGCAAGCCCTGCTGGAGGCCCAGGATGACCTGGGGGTGACACAGAGGATCCTGGATGAGGCAAAACAGCGCCTTCGTGAGGTGGAGGACGGCATCGCCACAATGCAGGCTAAGTACCGGGAATGCATTACCAAGAAGGAGGAGCTGGAGCTGAAGTGTGAGCAGTGTGAGCAGCGGCTGGGCCGAGCTGGCAAGGTGCGCACCCTCCTCCTGCAAGGCCTGCAAGCGGGCCCGGCCCAGACAGGGGCCAGAAAGGACCAGGGCGCCGGTGGGTCCTGGGGTGGCTGTCCACACCCCCTCCCTGGCAACCCCAGGTGCCACAGTGGGTAGGGCCAGCCCCAGGCCCCTAGCCCAGCCTCCCAGAGCCCACCCCACGGGGCTGCCCCTCCAGCTCATCAACGGGCTGTCGGATGAGAAGGTGCGCTGGCAGGAGACGGTGGAGAACCTGCAGTACATGCTCAACAACATCTCCGGCGATGTCCTGGTGGCCGCTGGCTTTGTGGCCTACCTGGGCCCCTTCACGGTAAGAAGTCCCCACCTCTGTCTCTGACCAGCCTCGCCTTCCCAAAGAGACCCTTCCCCCTTGAGGCCTCGCCTCCATGATAGGCAGCCTGCAGGTGGCTCTCCGCTCACTCAGTCATTCAACAAGCACTTAGCAGGCTCCCTCTCTGAGCCAGGCGCTGTAAAGCACTGGGGATACAGCAGTGTACAAAACAGCCAGAAAAGCCACCTAGTGGGAACATAGAAGAGCTCACACTTCTGCACTTGCTGCATGCCAGGCACTGTTCTAAACATGCCACCTGTGTCCCATTTAATCCTCATAGCCGCCATTACAGGCAGGCATCGTTAGCTTTGCCCGTTTCACAGATGAAGGGCTGAGGTTTGTGGAGGCCAAGAAAGTCACCCGAAGTGGGATTAGAATGCAGGTATCTGGCTCCATGTCTGAGCTCAGATCTCTGCAACTGCCAAGCACTGTGGCTTAGTGGGAGTTGGGAGGTCTCTGTGAGTGTCATGGTGGGGTGGTCCTGAGTCTGGCATCTCCCCAGGGCCAGTACCGCACGGTGCTCTACGACAGCTGGGTCAAGCAGCTCAGGAGCCACAATGTCCCACACACCTCCGAGCCCACGCTAATCGGGACGCTGGGGAACCCTGTGAAGATCCGATCGTGGCAGGTGCCCACCCCAGGGGCAGGAGTGCCCAGGCAGGGCCTGTGGTGTGGTCCAGGCTGGGCCAGGAGCCTTCTGCCTCCTTCCTACCCTGCTTTCCAGGGCCTGGCTCGGAGCTGCCTCTGCTGAACCCTCCTGTGCCCAGCAAGAGGGTGGTAGGAGGACAGGAGGAGAAAGCTGGGCTGAGTGTGGCACAGATGCTAGCTAAATGTGGGGAGAGGGATTAGGGGTACTTTTAAGAGTGTGATGGACCAGGCGTGGTGGCTCACGCCTGTAATCCCAGCATTTTGGGAGGCCAAGGTGGGTGGATCACCTGAGGTCAGGAGTTAGAGACCAGCTTGGCCAACATGGTGAAACCCCCTCTCTACTAAAACTACAAAAATTAGCCTGGTGTAGGGGCACACACCTGTAAGCCTGTAATCCCAGCTACTCAGGAGGCTGAGGCAGGAGAATTGGCTTGAACCCAGGAGGCGGGGGTTGCAGTGAGCAGAGATTGCGCCACTGCACTCCAGCCTGGGTGACAGAGCGAGACTCCGTCTCAAAAGAGAAAAAAAAAGAGTGTTGGGTGGAGGTTGAGAAACAGTGTCCACAGTAGGGTTTAGAAGGGTTGTCTGGTCAGATGCAGTGTAATCCCAGCACTTTGGGAGGCCAAGGCAAGTGGATTGCTTGAGCCCAGAAGTTTGAGACTAGTCTGGGCAACATGGCAAAACCCCGTCTCTACTAAAAATTCAAAAATTAACCAGGCATGGTCGTGCATGCCTGTAGTCCCAGCTTCTCAGGAGGCTGAGATGGGAGGATCACCTGAACCCAGGAGGTGGAGGCTCCAGTGAGCCAAGATCATGCCATTGCCAAAAAAGAAAAGAAAAGAAAGCTTTCCTAAAGGAAGTATCTGAGTGAGACTCTGAAGGGCAGGGAGAGTTGGCAAAGAGAGGTAACCAAGAGGCCATAGGCAGAGGCCAGGCGTGGGCAGAGGCCAGGAGGGTCAGTGGGGTATGGGCTCTATGAAGATGGTCTCATCAAGTGAGCACTCAGTAGGCAAGAGGACAAAAAGGCACAGCGAAGGAGGGCCTTTCTGTCTGTGGGTTTCTCTGTCCATCTGGGGCCATCAGTGTCCTTGGGCCTGTGCTCTCTCAGGGGCTGTGCCATGGTTAGGTATCCAGCCCAGGAGCGAGGGAGAGGCGGGAGTCCTGGGGGTGAGGCATTGCCTACATTGTCACCTGCCCCCAACCTCCAAGGGGATGCAGTAAGGAGAGGGAAGTCCATAGCCGAAACACGAGGCCGGGAGATGCTGATGCCCTCAGTGACCCTGCTTGCAGGAAAGCTCTGACCCAGTCCAGTGCCTGGCTCTCCACAGATCGCTGGCCTCCCCAACGACACACTGTCAGTGGAGAACGGGGTCATCAACCAGTTTTCCCAGCGCTGGACCCACTTCATTGACCCTCAGAGCCAGGCCAACAAATGGATCAAGAACATGGTGAGCCCACCCACCAGGCACCACCACCCCACCCCAGCCAGGCATAGCAAGGGCAGTGGTGAGCCGCAGAGCCTCAGGCTGGCTCTCAGTCCCTGCAACCCCTTCTTTTCCCCTTCCCTTACAGGAGAAGGACAATGGGCTGGATGTGTTCAAGTTGAGTGACCGCGACTTCCTGCGCAGCATGGAGAACGCCATCCGCTTTGGCAAGCCATGTCTCCTGGAGAACGTGGGCGAGGAGCTAGACCCAGCCCTGGAGCCAGTGCTGCTCAAGCAGGTGGGTCTGCAGTGGTGATGGCAGGGTGGCAGTAGGCCTGGACAGGGCAGTCCCCTTCCCCTGCCCCACTGGTGATGCTCAGGCCACAGTACCCACCGGTCCCACCCACCACAGACGTACAAGCAGCAGGGAAACACGGTGCTGAAGCTGGGGGACACGGTGATCCCCTACCATGAGGACTTCAGGATGTACATCACCACCAAGCTGCCCAACCCACACTACACGCCCGAGATCTCCACCAAACTCACCCTCATCAACTTCACCCTGTCGCCCAGGTGAGCCCCCACTCTTGGGGACGCCCAAGCATCAGCTCTGCCTCTGCCTGCCCAGCTGCTCCTCTCCCACCCCCAGGCCGGGAGTCAGTGGGACTTTCCCCCACTCAAAGTCTCCACCAGTTTCACCCCAGGCACTCACATTCGAAGCCTTTCTAGCACTTCCACCAGCTCCTCCTACCCACTACTGTTTCCACCTAAGAACCTTCATCCCCACCTCATCCAGATCCCTGGTCAGGGTCCCCAGCCTCTGTGTCTAGCACCAGCCTCACCTCCTCCAGGGACCCCTTCTCTCCTACTGAGCCCTCGCCAGGCCCTGTGCCCTCATCCTCAGAGCTGACCCAGAGCCCTGAGTCGGGCACACTCTGGCTCTTTGAATCCAAATGCCCTGCTTCTTATCCTTGCTGCCACGAGCCTGGGCACTGTGGTTTTCGCTGGCCATCCATACACAGCCCACAGCCCATAGGCCTGCTTTGTGCTAAGGCCTCCATTTCAGTGGTCAGTGTGAACCTCTCCACAAAGCAGGGGGCAAAAACACCCTGAAGGCCTGCCCTGGGTATCACAGCCCCCACTTGCCAAGGAGGTATTGTCCAGAGACCCCAGCCGCTCACACATCCAACTGCTCAGCCCCTTCTAGGATTCCAGGCTGCCACCCAAGGTCTCACTGAGAACTGATGTCTTTGAAGGCAGGCTCTGCACTAGCCCTGCAGCCTGAGATGGAGGCTAGGCCTCCTAGGCCAACACTGGCAAGGATGCTGGGCTCTTGGAGCCCCAGAAGCACAGGTGGATGGGTGACCAGGTTCACGACTAGCCCTCCGGGGCCCACCAGGTATTACAGACTTGGTGTCCCCTGCCCCCGGCAGTGGCCTAGAGGACCAGCTACTGGGCCAGGTAGTGGCAGAGGAGCGACCCGACCTGGAGGAGGCCAAGAACCAGCTGATTATCAGTAATGCCAAGATGCGCCAGGAGCTGAAGGACATTGAGGACCAGATCCTGTACCGGCTCAGCTCCTCCGAGGGCAACCCTGTAGATGACATGGAACTCATCAAGGTGCTGGAAGCCTCCAAGATGAAGGCTGCTGAGATCCAGGTCAGCTGCTGCCTGCCCACCCACCTGCCCCGGGAGTGCCCCGGGCCTGCCCCCCACCTCTCCCTGCCTGCCCTAGGCCTGCCCCCCAAACCCCCTACCTTCTGCTCTTTGACCCCTCCCCCCACCCACTACACCCACAGGCCAAAGTCAGGATTGCAGAGCAGACGGAGAAGGACATCGACCTGACGCGCATGGAGTACATACCCGTGGCCATCCGCACCCAGATCCTCTTCTTCTGTGTGTCCGACCTGGCCAACGTGGACCCCATGTACCAGTACTCCCTTGAGTGGTTTCTCAACATCTTCCTCTCGGGCATCGCCAACTCAGAGAGAGCAGGTAGCACCGGCATGCCAGGCTCCTACCCTGCACAGATATGACCCATGTGGACACATTTCCACTGTGGGGCACACACAAACTCACAACTGTGTTCACTGGCGTACACTCTCCTCTTAGACTCACAATACATAAGAATGCACACAGCACGCCTACCCTCCTCCGAGCCCCTTCACTGGGAACACCAAGTGCCCAAGAGGAGGCCCAGGCTGCCCCTACGGCTGCTGGGGAGACTGGCTAGGCTGGGCTGGACCCCGGGGCTCTTCCTTCCTCTCACCTCTCCGCGCTGCCATCACTTCTCCACTCCACAGACAACCTGAAGAAGCGCATCTCCAACATCAACCGCTACCTGACCTACAGCCTCTACAGCAACGTCTGCCGCAGCCTCTTTGAGAAGCACAAGCTGATGTTTGCCTTCCTGCTGTGTGTTCGCATCATGATGAACGAGGGCAAAATCAACCAGGTGCTGGCAGAGACACCCAGGACAGACTGCCTGAGGGGTGGCCCTGTGGCAGGGCCTGAGAACAGGGTGGAAGGAAAGGGAAAGCCAGGCATGAAGGCACCGCGAGAGCAAAGTGGCAGAGGAAACAATTCCTTGATTAAAAGCAGCCAGGGCCGGGCACGGTGACTCATGCCTGCAATCCCAGCACTTTGGGAGGCCGAGGCAGATGGATCACTTGAGGCCAGGAGTTCAAGACCACCCTGGTCTCTACTAAAAATACAAAAATTAGCTGGGTGTGGTGGTGCACGCCTGTAATCCCAGCTACTCAGGAGGCTGAGGCAGGAGAATCGCTTGAACCCAGAAGGTGGAGGTTGCAGTGGGCTGAGATCGTGCCACTGCACTCCAGCCTGGAAGACAGAGCGATATTCTGTCTCAAAATAAATAAATAAAAGCAGCCAGAAGACCCTGGGTTAATTGTGCTCCAACCAATGGCTCAAGGTTCAAGAAGGCCAATGTTGTGAGCACAGGCCTTCTCGAGCCTTGAGTGTGCTGGTGAGCACAAAGACTGTCCCCAGGGACGGACTGTCCTGAGCCTCCCACACCTGCTTGGCCAGGAACTCACACTCTCATGAAGCCCTATGCATTTCGTGGTGCAGCGGAAAGCCCTGCCGAGACAGTGAGAGTGACAGCCACCACTGTCAGAGCCCTAACTGCGTGCCTGGCACAGGACTCTGGCCTGGGAAGCAGTCAGCCTTCTGATTCTTTCTACTCCCAAATGAGGAGGCAGAGGCCCAGAGAAGTCACATCTCTTGCCCTAAGGGCACACAGCCAGGAAAAGGCAGGGTGGGAACACTAACCCAGACCTGTTTGACTACCATCCCCAAGGGAGACTCAGTTTCTCCAGGTGAGGGTGGTTAGAGAGGCACTACTGGGTGGGGGTGCCCAGAGCAGGAGGAGCTGGCCAGGGCCTGGGCATCAGCCTCCTCCTGTCCCCTGCCAGAGTGAGTGGCGATACCTCCTGTCTGGGGGCTCCATCTCGATCATGACTGAGAATCCGGCACCGGACTGGCTGTCAGACCGGGCTTGGCGAGACATCCTAGCACTCTCGAACCTGCCAACCTTTTCCTCCTTCTCTTCCGACTTCGTGAAGCACCTCTCAGAATTCCGGGTCATCTTCGACAGCCTTGAGCCCCACCGGTTAGCTGGGCCCCAGAATATGGCAGGATGAGCCCATCGAGGGGATGAGTCCCTAGGAAAGGCTTGTCTGGGCGCCTTCTCTAAGGGGCCACCCAGGGTTGCCCTGTGGCTGTGGCCACATCTCCTCTGTGCCTCCAGTGCCATACCCCTGGGATAGCCCACTCTCCCCAGCTGTCCGGCTGGCCGAATCCCTGGGGCCACCAACCTCCTTCCAACAGGCTGGCTCTCAGGGAGGTGTGGGCCACTGTTGCAGGGAGCCTTTGCCTGGCATCTGGGACCAGTACCTAGACCAGTTCCAGAAGCTGCTAGTCCTCCGCTGCCTGCGTGGGGACAAGGTTACCAACGCCATGCAGGACTTTGTGGCCACCAACCTGGAGCCACGCTTCATTGAACCCCAGGCAAGTGCTGGAACCCTGGCAGGACTGGCACCTTGAGCTTGTCCCCACCCTGGGTCCCAGGGCCCTGGCTGCATCTGGATAGACTACTTGGCCAGGCCAGGACCCCTGCTTGCTCCCTAAAGGCTCTGAGGTTCCAGCCCCCACCAGGAAGCCCACTGGGGACCACTCTGAGAACCCCAGATCCCCCTCCCTTGCCCCGATCTCTCTGCAGCCCCAGGTGGTCTCAGCATCTCCCCCTGCCCTTGCAGACAGCCAATCTGTCAGTGGTGTTCAAAGACTCCAACTCCACCACACCCCTCATCTTTGTGCTGTCACCCGGCACAGACCCTGCTGCCGACCTCTACAAGTTTGCCGAAGAAATGAAGTTCTCCAAAAAGCTCTCTGCCATCTCCCTGGGCCAGGGGCAGGTCAGGGCTAGGCAGGGAGGAAGGGAGTGGGCTGGGGGGTGGGCAAGCTGGCCCCCTGCTCAGTGCTCTTGCCCCTGCAGGGCCCTCGGGCAGAAGCCATGATGCGCAGCTCCATAGAGAGGGGCAAATGGGTCTTCTTCCAGAACTGCCACCTGGCACCAAGCTGGATGCCAGCCCTAGAACGCCTCATCGAGCACATCAACCCCGACAAGGTGTGTTGCCCTGCCCATCACAGACCCAGTGGGGCCGCCTCTGCATCCATCAGGGACTAATGAGGCAGAAATAAGAGAATCATGCCAAGCACTCTGCCCAGCCTCTAGCACGTGGCAAGTGCTCAGCAACTGACATGTGCCACACATCGACATCATTAATCCTCTCAATCCACCCCCACCCCCAGTTACCTGTACAAGCGGTGATGTGACTTGTCCAGGGACACCCAGCACAGACCGTGACCTGGGACTTGCCAAAGCCCTTTTTTTTTTTTTTTTTTCAGACGGAGTCTCACTCTGTCACCGGGGCTGGGGTGCAGTGGTGCAATCTCGGTTCACTGCAACCTCCACCTCCTGAGTTCAAGCGATTCTTCTGCCTCAGCCTCCCGAGTAGCTGGTAGTAACCCGCCACTATGCCCAGCTAATTTTTTGTATTTTTAGTGGAGATGGCATTTCACCATGTTGGCCAGGCTGTTCTCAAACTCCTGACCTCGTGATTCGCCTGCCTTGGCCTTCCAAAGTGCTGGGATTACAGACGTGAGCCACCGCGCCCAGCCAAAAGCCCAATTCTTAACCAGTTGTCTGTGCAGCCTCGCCTGACCCACCTCAGGGTCCCTGGGCAGGAGGGAGCCTGGTGTCAGGGTGGCCACCAGATATGGGTCTCAATGCTCACGTGGAGCCATGGCCACCAGGTACACAGGGACTTCCGCCTCTGGCTCACCAGCCTGCCCAGCAACAAGTTCCCAGTGTCCATCCTGCAGAACGGCTCCAAGATGACCATTGAGCCGCCACGCGGTGTCAGGGCCAACCTGCTGAAGTCCTATAGTAGCCTTGGTGAAGACTTCCTCAACTCCTGCCACAAGGTGAGGCACACTTGGTGCAGGCCTACCCTACCTGCCCCCGTCCCCGCTCCTCACCTCCCCTGCCTCCCACCTCCCCCAGGTGATGGAGTTCAAGTCTCTGCTGCTGTCTCTGTGCTTGTTCCATGGGAACGCCCTGGAGCGCCGTAAGTTTGGGCCCCTGGGCTTCAACATCCCCTATGAGTTCACGGATGGAGATCTGCGCATCTGCATCAGCCAGCTCAAGATGTTCCTGGACGAATATGATGACATCCCCTACAAGGTGGGCCTGGGGCAGACTGGGGCCTGGGGGACTGGGCACTTAGGGGAGCCCTCACCCACCCACCCCATAGGTCCTCAAGTACACGGCAGGGGAGATCAATTACGGGGGCCGTGTCACTGATGACTGGGACCGGCGCTGCATCATGAACATCTTGGAGGACTTCTACAACCCTGACGTGCTCTCCCCTGAGCACAGCTACAGCGCCTCGGGCATCTACCACCAGATCCCGCCTACCTACGACCTCCACGTGAGTCCAGCCCAAAGGGCTGCACAGGAGGGGCCTGCCAGCCTGGGGTTCTGGGGTACCATGAGCACCTTGGTGCTGGGTGGGAGGAGATGCAGCCCCCACCCTCCATCAGCTGTCTTTTCATCAGTCAATCCATCCCATCCCACAAAGACAGCCTTGGCGAGGGAGTCAGACCCTGCCCACTGGGGCTTGCCTCTGTGAGTGAACTCCTGGTCAGCCACTCCCTGGGTGGAATTACTCAGTGAAGGCTTGGGGCAGCTCCTCCAAGGCAGTAACCAGGCCCAGACTCCACAGTCAGGGAGGGCTGCCACAGAAATGATGCTTCCCCTAAGATGTGTGAGGAGAAGCCATGAGCCAGGGCTGGGTTGTGTGGGTCATCAGTGCAAAGGGCCTGTGGCAGGAGGGAGCCTGACAAATTTGGGCCACTGAATAGAGGGGCAGGGAATGGATGGCAGTAACAAGGAGGCTGGGAGGGAAGCAAGGGCCACACCACACAGTGCCTCAGAGGCCTGGAGTCCCAAGAGCAGGGACATGCATAAGGGTTATGAGCAGGAGTGACAAGTGGGGAATGTGACAAGTGGGGATGTGCTCCATTGGAGGGTAACTCTGAGGGCTGGGGCAGAGCAAGCCAGGGGCTTCCATGTTGGCCTCCTCTCTCCTAGGGCTACCTCTCCTACATCAAGAGCCTCCCACTCAATGATATGCCTGAGATCTTTGGCCTGCATGACAATGCCAACATCACCTTTGCCCAGAACGAGACGTTCGCCCTCCTGGGCACCATCATCCAGCTGCAACCCAAATCATCTTCTGCAGGCAGCCAGGGCCGGGAGGAGGTGGGTGGTGTCAGAGTAAGGGGCCCAAGGGCTGGACGGGCTGGGCTTCACCATCCTGCCCACTCCCCTGTGGGAAGGACCCCTATGCATGTGGAATCCCACAGGGGATAAGGGGGCCCAGCCTTGACCCCACAGTATTCCTTTGCCCCTGCAGATAGTGGAGGACGTCACCCAAAACATTCTGCTCAAGGTGCCTGAGCCTATCAACTTGCAATGGGTGATGGCCAAGTACCCAGTGCTGTATGAGGAATCAATGAACACAGTACTAGTACAAGAGGTCATTAGGTAATCACCCCGCCATACCCCTGCCCCGAGTCAGCGGCCACTGGACTGTAGAGAAATGACAACAGGGGTTACTATGGGCCAGGTGCCATGCCAAGTGCTACACATCCTCTAACTCAGCTATTTTTTGTTGTTGTTGTTGACACGGAGTCTCTCTCTGTTGCCATGCTGGAGTGCAGCGGTATGATCTCAGCTCACTGCAACCTCCACCTCCCGGGTTCAAGCGATTCTCCTGCCTCAGCTTCCTGAATAGCTGGGACTATAGGCGCACACCACCTAATTAGCGCGCCCAGCTAATTTTTGTATTTTTAATAGAGACGGGGTTTCACCATGTTGGCCAGGATGGTCTCGATCTCCTGACCTCATGATCCGCCTGCCTCGGCCTCCCAAAGTGCTGGGATTACAGGCATGAGCCACCGCACCTGGCCAACTCAGCCATATTTTTATTATTCACATTTTGTAGACGAGTAAACTGTGACCCCAAAATGTTCCGTAAGCTATCCAAGTCCAACTTCACACATGTGCTAAGGGCCAGAGCTGGGATTTGTACCCAGGCCACCTGACCCAGCTCTCTGCTCTTAGCCTCTATGTTTTGCCATTGTTTTTCACTCTGTGGCCTTGAGCTGCGGAGCATAGCTACTGCCACGTGACCCCAGCCCACTACCTATTCTCTTGCCACTGGCCTCACAGGTACAATCGGCTGCTGCAGGTGATCACACAGACACTGCAAGACCTACTCAAGGCACTCAAGGGGCTGGTAGTGATGTCCTCTCAGCTGGAGCTGATGGCTGCCAGCCTGTACAACAATACTGTGCCTGAGCTCTGGAGTGCCAAGGCCTACCCATCGCTCAAGCCTCTGTCATCATGGGTCATGGACCTGCTGCAACGCCTGGACTTTCTGCAGGCCTGGATCCAAGATGGCATCCCAGCTGTCTTCTGGATCAGTGGATTCTTCTTCCCCCAGGCTTTCTTAACAGGCACTCTGCAGAATTTTGCCCGCAAATTTGTCATCTCCATTGACACCATCTCCTTTGATTTCAAGGTCTGGGCACAGCCAGGGCCAGGTCAGGTGACAGGCTAGGGTACAGCCCAGGGAGGAGAGGCTCTGAGGCCACGGTTGGTTGGCAGTTGGGGGACCCCTAAGCCAGGGCATGGAAAGACCCAAGCCAGAAGAGGCCATGAGTCCCAGGAACGGGTCTGGGCTGGGTCCATCAGAAATCCACAGGGGCAGGGCACAGACCACAGGCCATGGGCTAAAGTGGTAGGTACGTGATGATGGGCAGGCAGGCAGCATTAGGCAGCTCTCTCAGAAGGGAGTTTTGTGCCTCCTAACCCAGATTCTGGGTATTGTTATGTGTGTGGGGTGTGTCTGTGTCTACCCACAGGTGATGTTTGAGGCACCATCAGAGTTAACACAAAGACCCCAAGTAGGGTGCTATATCCATGGATTATTCCTGGAAGGTGCCCGCTGGGATCCAGAGGCCTTCCAGCTGGCTGAGTCTCAGCCCAAGGAGCTGTACACAGAGATGGCCGTTATCTGGCTCTTGCCAACACCCAACCGCAAGGCCCAGGACCAGGACTTTTACCTGTGCCCCATCTACAAGACACTGACTCGTGCTGGTATGAGGCCTGGGATGGGAGCCTACACTATGGGCGGGGACCCAGGACTAACCCAGCCCAGCCCAAGCCAGTCACTTATCCAGGTTAGCTGAACAAGGAAGGACAACAGAGATTTGGGCCAGGCCAGCAAGCAGCAGGCAGGTTAATGCCCAAGGCCTGCCGTCTGGCTGTGGGGAGCACCCCTGAACTCCTATCCTGCATGCCTCCCTCAGCAGGCCCACCTTGGGCCCCAAGAGCCTACAAGCCCCAGCCTGTCATTGGGAGTTCAGAGGGGTAACTGAGGCCCAGGGCAGGAACTTGTTTGGACTAGGTCCATCAGAGAATGAAAAGTGGCATCAACTCTGCCATCCCTATCTTCAGTCCCCAATACAGTAACCCTGGGCAGGCTTGAACCCTGGCCAGACCCCCTCATCAGGTAGGCTTCCTCTTGGGTCAGGGCCCCCTCCCTGTCCTCAGCTTAGTCTGCCCACTGCCCTGCCCCTACGCTATCCCTGCTAGTAGTAATAGGGCATGACCTAACCCGTCCCCCTCCTTGCCCATTCCAGGAACACTATCAACCACAGGACACTCTACCAACTATGTCATTGCTGTGGAGATCCCCACCCATCAGCCCCAGCGACACTGGATAAAGCGTGGTGTGGCCCTCATCTGTGCCCTGGACTACTAGACTCAGACAGAAGGGCTGGGGCCATTAAAGCTGAATTTTCTAAGCAGTCCAGCTGTGCCTTAGCTGCTTGCATGAGGACCCCTCTGCAGGACTCACTGCCAGGGGGCTGGTGAGGGGCTGCAGCAGCCTCAGCAGACGATGCAGTCGGCAGAGGAGAGCGGGACAGAGGCGGCAGCTTTGACCTGCTTTACCTGTCCAAAAGCAACAAGGAAGAGATGCCCAGCGCCCTCCCAGGGAGAACACACCAGGCGAGATTAGATTAGAGGCAGCCCCGCCTCTTTGACCCACAGTCCCAGCACCTCTCCAGGCTGCAAAGCCACAGATTTGGTGAAAGCCATGGCCCTCTCCCCAGAAAGTGCACCCTGTCTACAGTCCACCTGAAGTCCCTCCTCAGCTCAGGTCCTAAATCCCAGGCCTAGGATTCCAAGGATCTCTGGCCCAAGACAGCTGGACACTCAAGGATCATATACTTCTTACCTTTCTGGTCCCAGGGCCCTAGGCCCATGAGGTCTAGTAAGGCCCAGCCTCCATATCTCAGGCCAGCAACCACAGGAGGGTTCATTTCTCAGGAGATTCTTAGGAGAGTTTTATTCATTCATTGATCCAGTATTTACAGGGGCTAGAGGGGTCAAGCTGTGCTCAGCCCAGAGGCAGCTGCCACACTTGCCAGCACCCCCCACTCAGTCACTATGTACAGATAAAGGGGCCTGCTTGGATCACCTTTTTCAAAGCCATCTGGCAGAGGCCATGGGGCTGTGTTGGGGCCTGGGCTCCAGAGGCACTGCTGGGCCCATTACCCCTTGGCATCAGGTCCTCTGGAACACAGGGGCTCCAACGGGTTGTCTTGATCCTGCTGTCCCCCACCCTGAGTGCCTTGCAGAGGCTGAGGAAACTGGAGTAGCAGGAAGAGCTGAGTGGTGCCAGCTTCCTATAAGCAACCCTGTCTCTGCTACCCCTGAGAGGGAGACATGGTAATACTGAGGGGCTGGACAGAGGCTCTTCTGAGCCTCAAGCGCCAGGGACAGAGACCTAGAGCCCAATTTAGGCCCATAGCTAGGGCCACAACACTGAAGGCGAAGAGCCCTAGAACCTTGCTATGGAGAGCAGTCTTGAACAGCCTGGCTAGAACAAGGAAGACAGTTCACAGGCCACTGAACAGTTCCCACATGCTCTGCTCAGGCCATGGGATCCCAGCAGCCTGCTCACCCCAACCCCACTGGGACACCCTACTCCCAACCCAGCCCAGTGCTGGGTCCCTGAGTTTGGCACTCTCCTAAGAGGAATGAAGAGAGAAGACCTGGCTTCCTTACAACAGGGACAGGCTGGTGGCTGGGGCTAGAGCAGCAGGGCCCAGAGCCCAGGGCCCACCCAGGCCCCCAGCTAGGACCCTGTAGTTGGGACCGTGGCATGATACAAGGACCTGGGCCCACCAGGACAGCTCCTAGGAGAGAAAGCATAGTCAGGTAGGAACTTATGTCAACATGGTGGCATGTTGGGTTGGAGCCCAGAAAAATAGATGTCTCTGATAGGTAAAATATATATTCTGCTGCCCAGGCAGAAGGGCCAGGTCCTGCTGCTCCACAGCCGGCTGTGGAGGAAGCTGCAGTACCTCGCTGTGCCCCAACTCCAGATGCTGCCTCCTGAGCACTATGGGGCTGATCTGCCGTGTCAGGCCTCAGGGCACGATGGAAGGAATGTGGCCTGGTTCCTCCCATTCCCAGGGCCTGGACTCTCCAGCTGGGACTATTCAGTAATACTGGGAAAAGGGGAAGTGGGGCAGGGAAGGACCCTGGTGAGGGCCACACGGCAAGAGTGGGCTGCAGAGTCAGGGCCAGCAGTCCTCACTGGCGCTTGGCCTTGTAGGGGCGAGAGCGTTTCCGCCGGTCAGGCTTCCGCTGCTTGTGGAGCCGGCCGATGCTGACCCCTTGGCGCCGCCGCACGGAGATGTTCTGCTCCACTAGGTTGGCCAGCATGCCTGCGAAGAGGTAGAGACCCTTGAGCAGGTGCTGGCTGCCTCAGGCCAGGAGCTGAGGCTCTCATGGCCCTCCCTGTGCCCCAAGGTCTGCTCAAGCCTCAGGAGAGGCCAGGGGAGGGGAGCTGAAGGACACGGCCCTCAGCAGGGCATTCCAGTTAAGACAGCAGCGCATCCCCTCACCTTCCTGAGCCAGCATGGAGATAAAGGTGCAGATGAACTCATCGTAGTTGTGGGTCCTTCTCTGGTCATCAATCTGTAGGAGAGAAGAAGACTGAGAGCACTGGAGCCAATCTTGCCAGAGCAGCCACCAGTGGACCTCGGGAGAGGCCAGATCAGGCAACTGGAGAAATCACCCACCTTGAACTTCTTCCTCTTCTCTACCTCCTCCTTGAGGCACGCCTCATAGTTTGCAATCTCAGCCTCCACACACTTCAGCAGTGCCAGCAGCTCCTGCCAAAACCCAGCATTGCACCTCTGATCGGGGCGGGCCAGCAACAAAGCCCCACGAGCAATAGGCAGCTAGAGGCAAGGATGAGCAGCGAGTCCATGCCTATCAAGGCCCCTGCCACCACCCAACCCAGAAAGTCTTCTGGCACATGGCTCCAGCCACCAATCTTCACACCAAAGTTCCAATCAAGAACTTGGCACCTGGGCAGGAGGAGCTCAGGCCTTACCCTCTGCCAGGATTAAAGGAGAAAACCACAACGGAGGCTCACCTTGGGTGAGTATTTCTCCCCACTCAAGGGCTCGCCAGGCCTCACCATCCCCGTCTTCTCTCTGCTGTCCGTGGCTTCCACGACCTCCTTCTCCACTGGGCTGCTGGACCCCTGGCTGCCTTGGATTGGTCTGATGGAGGGCGAGGAACCCTTCCCACCCTCTGGGAAGAGAGGTCACAAGAAAATCATCAGAGTGCAGGACACTTTGTGGTCACTTGGCCACTTCCCTCCTCCCTCCTGGGTGCACCAAGTGGCCAGTGAGCCAGTCCAAGGCCCACCTGTCAGCGCCAGGGGACTCAGCACCCCATCCTCAGCCAGGTGCAGCAGGCCTGTGCTGATGACAGGACCCAGATCACGGACAGCACGGTTGTAGCGTATGCAGTCAACACGCAGCAGGCTGTCATCCTCTCCAAAAAGCACCTTGGAGATGTGGGAGGTGACAGGGCTGGAGGGCCGCGTCGGGTTGGCTGAGCGGATAGGCGAGCGCAGTGGCGAGTTGAAAGCACTGCCGATCTCAGAGGCCGTGTCTGTACTCTCATTGCTGGGGGTGGGTGAGGGCTGCGAGTGTGTGGGCACTGCCACAGCCGGACTCCCAGCCCCGCTGCTAGTCTTGATGGACAGAGGAATTGAGAGGTCCTTCTGGGACTCTTTGAGCTTCTCAGCCAAGACGTTGATGGTGTTGGGCTGCAGCACTGACAGTTGCCCATCAGCAGAACCGCTCAATGCCCCTGGCTTCCCTGTTCCCTTCCCCTTATACCTGTGGGGCCCGAGAAGATGTGAAGCAAGGGAACGGGCCAGGTGACCATACCCAGCAGTACCCAGAATGGCTTAAATACATCCCGACCTCCAGGGGCTGACCCTAAAACTCCTTATACTTGGTCCAAGCAACTTGAACTAGCCATGCTAAGCCTGGCATCAAGTTCTGACAGCTGCAGCCAAGTGTCCTCAAAAGACACTTCCTCTATTCCAGCCATCCCACTCCTGGCCTTTTGCCAATGCCCTGTGTTCCAGCAAAGCTGCCTCCCCACCACCCACATCTCCTCCATCCCTGCCCCAACCAATCCTTCAAGGCCTGGCTAAAAGGCCACTTCCAATAGGACATGATATAAGCTTACGTGCTCAGCCTTACCCCCCAGCCCACCAAAAACTTCCTGGGGACCTGGGGTCAGCCCCATCATGCCAGCCTCCCCCAGGGCCCCAAACTCCGCAGGTGCTCAACATTATCTGCTGCAGGGCATTCTCAGACACAGACTGAGATATTCAGGATGGGATCCGAAGCACCTAGAACCTGGTAGCCTTAGAAAGCTGGGCTGACCTAAGGGCAGAGTTGGTGTTCTGCACGTCATCCTCCTCGTCATCCTCATAGTCATCCTCATCATCTGAGTACTGCTGGGGTGGGCGGACTGGAACTCGGCTGCGGCCCACACCTGCCGCCAGGTCTTCTTCCTCCTGGGACAAAGACCAGGGCAGTTACAAACAAGTGCTGCTCGGCCCAGGCTGAGCCTAGACACTCACAGCCAGAGAGAAAGCCAACATGGTTTTCCAGACTGAGTCAGCGGAACCCCTCCAGCTGTTCCATGGCCTGTCCTTGGCTTGTGGGGAGGCTGCCACCCACTTACACTGGATAGAACCCCACGGAGGGGTTTTAAGAGAAACAGAGTGCCCTGAAACACATGCCTTTATTTTGCCAGTAAAACCCAACCCATGAAGTTGTACCAAGGAGCGTGACCTAAACATTTAATCCCACAGCCACGTAACTAGATTAAATTCAAAGGAGCTCTCCCTGCCTCCCTAAGCTCCTGCTGTTGTGGGGGCCTTTTCATATCAGGCAGAGGAACCTAGCAACCCAGGCCCAGGCAGCTTGACCCAGCCATGCCAAGGATGAACACCAAGGAACCACATGGGAAAATTGCCTGTTGCAGCCTCTCAAGAGAATCAAGTAGAGAATCCTGCAAGGGTGCTCCCAGCTTACCTGCATGGGGGACTTGGCATAATTGTGATTGTCTAGAAAGGCCGGCAGCCGCTGGACAATGGGAGTGGGGTTGGGGTGAACCCCATTGAGGCTGCTGCCTGGAGGCTTCACCACTAGCTTGGGTTTGTTGGGAGGGCTGTGGGATGGGGCTTGTGCGCATGAACCAGCCGCCTCCTCTGCACCATCTGAGACAGGGCAAGAACACAGGCAGGACCTCCAGTAGGATCTCCAAGAAAAGCTCACAGTCTCCCCGGCCCTGTGAACCAGCACTTCCCAGAGAAGAACAGCCCAGCCAGCTGGTGCAATGGGAGTCAGCAAGCTCTAAGTCATGATCCCGCAATGAGACAGGGCAAAGAATGAGATGGGAAAAAAGAAGCAGGAAGAAAAAAAAAAAAAAAAAAAAAAAAAAAAACCGCCTCTAGAGAAAACAAGAAAGGGAGTGTACATTACAGAGAAGGGCCCAGGGGCCTGTGGTAACAGCGGCCCTTTACAGGTGCCTTTCTTTAGGGAAGGACTGCTCTCCCTCTACCTTCTGACGGGGGAAGAACACTGCCCAAGGACATCCCCAGAAAAAGACTTTCCCTGTTTAGGCCTCCCATGTCAGACATTAGCGGGTGGCTCTGAGGTCCACAAGAGGTCCCAAACCCCCCAGTACCTGTGTGGTTGCCCTCAGAGGCTGCAGGGGCCCTGTTTGCTTCCAGCACCAGCGGGGACTTGTTGCTGGCTGACTTGGACTCCTCAGGCAGCTGTGACTCTTGAGACTTGTGGGTCTGAATCAGCTCTGGCTGTGTTACTCTTATCAGCTAACAACAGAATCCAGGGCTCAGAGGAGAAAGGGTAGACCCGGGCTTCTACCTTAAATAGCTAAGGGCTGAGGACCTAAAGGAATAATGGCCTTGGCTCTACCCATTCACTCACAGGGAAATAAAACACCCAAACCCAAACTTCCTTTTAGAAGCTATTCTCCCTCCCCACTCCAAGTCCCACCTTTCCCACAATGGGGGCAAAGAAAAGATGTGGTTAGCTGAAGCCCAGATCTACAAGAGAGTATGTTCACGAATCAGAGACAAATGCTGTGGGGGAAGGGAGGAGGAATGCAGGGAGGGTTGGGCTGGGCAGAGGCCAGGAAGAAAGGGCACCTACCTGCTGCAGAGCCTCTAGTACTGTCTGACGGTTCACCTTCAGCACATGCAGCCTGGCCTCATACTTGATCCTGCGGTCGGGCACCACTGCCATCAGGTTGAAGCGGATGTCGTGGTAGGGCTCCCTGCAGTCACAGCCGCAGCCGTGAGAGCAGCTCCCGCCCCGGCCCCGCCATCAGGTTGAGGCAGATATCCTGGCAGGGCTCCCTGCAGTCACACCTGCAGCTGTAGGTATAGGCCCCACCCCAACAGGCAGGCAGCGACTAGCCATACATGCCAGGCACCTGAGCTGGTACCTTCCAACAAGCTGTATGAGGGGCCTATCTGGAAGTGAACCAGCAGACCTGGGCTGCCTAAGGCTCCACTGAGGCCTGCCCCTCCCCCAGCCCACCCAGGAGCAGGCCACAGGCAGCCCAGGCAGGAAATAAGACAACAAGTTGAGAACCCATGATCTAAGCCTGATCTTGCCAGATTCACCATATGGCCTTGCAATTTACAAATCACCTGGATACTCTCTGTCCCTCCCAAAGTAGGTACAGCTCCAGAGAGTAGAACAGGGCAGGCACAGGGCCCTTACCCTGCAGTGGCGAGGCCGATACGCTCCATGATGACCCGCCGGGCCTTGTCTGTCCACTCCTCGTCCTCCCCCCAGGGCCCTAGTGGAGACCAAGACAAGGAATCAGCGAGAAGGAAACCCTGAGTTTGGGCAGGCCAGGAGTGGGAAGGAAGACAGAGAAGAGCAGTTGAGCCAGGGAATCAGGAGCTGGTCGGGCAATATGGTGTAGGGTGAAACCCCAGCCAGAGCCGGGTGTCGGTACCGACAACCCCTGCCACTGGGTACCACATACCAGAGGGCCCTGAGCCCCAGCTCCCTAGGAGGTAGGCAGAGACACCCAACAGGCCTCCAGCTCATGGTGCCTACCATGGTCAATGGGGTAGACCTTCAGCCCATCCAGCTCAAAGAGCCGGCCTGTGATAGGCACATAGCTGACAAAGTGGAACGCCTCCATGGTCCGCACTGCACTAAGGCCATTCTGCTTCTCAGGGAGGTGGCGTGGCTCGGGCCTGGGGAAAAACAGAGTCAGGGCCCAAAAAATGATACTCCCCCTACTCCCACCCCACATCAGCTCCCACAGCTCCCACACACCTGGCATGGCTATTATGGGCCTTGGCCAACTCCGGGGCATTGCCAATCGCATATCCTTTGCTCTACGGGGAAGAAAATAAGGCCGTATCAGAATAATTTCTCCTCAGGTAGGACTATGGGTGGAAGGCAAAGCTTCAGAGAGCAGCCTGGAGGCATTCCAGGAATCGGAAGGAACACAGACGAACTTTCTTAAAAGGCTGGTGGGGGCAGAAAAGAGCTCTGGAGCCCCAAAGAGATGGACTGTGCTGGCCTTGCATGGTAATTAGTGGACACTAGGAAGCAACATGGCCTGAGAGGAAAAGTCCTGACAGAGAAGGTTCTGACATGGTCTGACTTAAGGAAACTCTCCTCCCTCCCTAGGCCTGTGTCCTTTCCCCGCAACTGCATCTAAAAACAATGGCCTTACACAATTTATTTAAGAGTCAAATGTAACATAAACAATCATTTGAAAAAGAAACAGCCTAATAGTACCCAATATCATGTGGTAGCATTCCCAGTGGCCCTCAGGGTCAGATCTGCCCAGTTGGCTGTGAGCCAGGATGAAGGCACTGCAGCCTACCTCAGGGCTGAAACCCTTGGTGAAGTCCTTCATGCGACTCAGGGTGGGTCCCAGGTCCACGCTGCTGCAGTTCAGGAGCACGCTCAGCAAGGCATGAGTTGCACAAGAGTTGGGTATCAGCTGTGAAACCAAGAATAGTCACCCATACACAGCACCCCTCACTGCAAGCCCCAAGCCCATATACATCAAGAATGGGGATCCAGAGCAGGTCAGTCATATCTGGACAACTCCCCTTCTCAGCTCCTTTCATCTTTGCCTAATGTTTATTCATTTAACAAGCACCTACCAAATACCCACTGGATATCTGAGGACACAGAGAGTGGACTCAGACACCCTCCTACTCTAAAGCTGTTCCCTTTAATGAATTAAGAGTTCAGTTCGTTCTGCCAGAGGATTTCTGTAGCTACCACCCCTAGAATCTGCCTATCTCCTCCTCCTGTCTTCCTCCATTTCCACTTCCCAAGCAAAAACATGGCAGCATCCCACCCTCCAAACAAAGCACAGAGTCCAGCAGACCTGGTGGGCAAAGAACATGTTATTCACAATATCATCATCAATCACGGACGTATCATCCACCAAGGTAGAGACCTTTCGCCGGGACCGGCGCTCTTCGATCCATTTGAACAGGAAGATAAATCCATATACAGGGCTGGGGGAAGTAAGGGGCAGAGCCAGATCAGCCAAAGGGGAGAAGACAATCAGCATTCCCTTCTTTCTCCCATTAATCCTTTGCACTGCGTCATCACTCAGGTGTCCTTGCTGTGATCCCCCCTCTCCCCTGGCTTCTTCCCAACACTGTGTCTGAAGTGGCCTTGTGCCCTCACACACCAAAGGCCTGCCACAGGCAGAGCAAAGCATAAGCCTCTGACTGTGATGCTCCAGGAGTCCACCCAGTCTCCTTATGAAGTCTATAGTTCTGGGTAAGAGAAGAAAAGCTGGAACTGAGGGCCAAGGATGGGACAGGGTAGGAACACAAAGTAAGACAAGAACAAAAACTCTGATGAGGAACTGAGGCACTCCTTCTCACTTGTGGGCCCCAATGCAGTCAGGAAAGCAAATGAACACCCACACCAGTCTCTTTTGTTCCAGGAAATTAAAGTAGACTTCTTGGTTCAGTCACGGTTGCTACTGTTGCTACTCTCTTACACATCTATTCTGCAGGACCACTGGGAAAAGACTCTAAGTGTGGGCACCCAGGAGGGGCCTTGTCACCCCAACCAATCAATACAGGATGACTTTGTGTCAGGATTAAAGCCAAGGACACATGGGCACACTAAAATTAATACATTACACAACTGCACAAAAGACATTGTGTGACCGGGGTCTTCCCGCTGCAAGGCCAGGAAAGCAGCTGAACCAAAGGATGCTTAGGGGTGGGGAGGGGGCTGCTACAAAAAGGGAAGCGCTAAGGAAAGTTTGGGAGAAAAGAAAGTATCAGTTTGATCAGGAGCGGGCACTCAGAGAGCAAGGCTGCTGCTTTCTGTGAGATTTTACAACGTAGGGTTCCTGGCACTGTCTTCCCTAAGGGGCCCTGTTCTCTGGGACCTTCCCCAGCACTCTGGGTGTAAGGGGCAGCCCTGGTGTACAGCCACTCACCCCTGACATTTGCTCTGAAGGTCGTAGATCTCCTCCACTTGCACCCCCTTGACACCTGCGATGAGGAAAGGAAAGCAGTAGGGAAGGACAGCCCCTGATGAGTGAGGGCGCAGGGGTGGGCCGCCACAGCCCCGGTCCGGCAGGGAGAAAAGGCTCTTACCGAAATCTTCCACGAGCAGGGTGAAGAGGCCTGGGTGGGGCGACAAGAGGAGGGGGTGATGGTCAGGCAGGCGCGTCCCGGGCCCATCCGGCCTCCCCAGCCCCTGGCCCTCCCGGTCCCCTCCTCACCTGGGTCGCTCTCCAGCTCCAGCCAGCCCTTATTCATCTTCCCGCGGGGCGGCCCCTCAGCGCCATGTCCAGGCCCTCCCTCCCCACCGCTGCCCCCACCGGGAGCCCCCACCGCCCCCGGGGCCCCTCAGTCCCACACACAGACAACGGGCCCAGTCGCGTCACCCGCCCGCGCCGGCGGCAGACGTCACCAAGGCGCGACGGCCCTGCTCCGCCTCTGGGCTCGTCTTCCGCCTGTCGGACAGCAGATGCGGGCATGCGCTCGAAGGCGAACGCGCACGCGCGGAGGGACGGGGGCGAAGGGGAGGGACGGGGGCGAAGGGGAGGGGCGGGGCGGGACGGGACGGGGGCGAAGGGGAGGGGCGGGGCGGGACGGGGGCGAAGGGGAGGGTCGGGACGAGGCGGGCGAAGGGAAGAGGGGGTCCGGGCGATGCTGAGCGCTGAGGCTCGAGAGGAGGGGCGGGACGGGCAGTACTAGGCCCGGGTGCTGCGAGGGGAGGGGCGGAGCGGGCGAGGGGAAAAGGCGGGGCCGGGAAGTGCTGGGCGCAGGTGGGGCGAGAGGAGGGGCGGGGCAGGCTAGGGGAAAAGGCGGGGATGGGCGGGGCTGGGCGCGGATGGTGGGAGAGGAGGGACGGGGCGGGGCGGCGAACGGAAGGGGCGGGGGCGGGTGTTGGGCGCTGAGGCGCGAGAGGAGGGGATGGGCGGGGCGCGCGGCCGTTAGCGCGCGGCCGTTAGCGGTCGGTTTCTACTAACGGTAGGCGTCGCCGCGATTCCCGAAGGTCATAGTCCGCGTGACCCACCCCCGTTTGCGCGCTCGCAGTCTTCGCCGGCGCAGTCACCGCGCAGGGCGGCCGCCCGGAGGTAGCTACCACGGCCTGTGTCAACGACTAAAGCTCCAGTACAGCGGCGCCCTCAGACAGCTGGGAGGGTGGCTCTGGCCGGGAGCGGCGGCCGGTGAGCTACCGCGAGGAGGAGCGGCGGAGGCGACCTCGGCCCGGCCCTGCACTGGCCGCCCGGCAGGCGCGACATGAGCCTGGTCTGGCATCCGCGGGATGCTCCTTAAGCCCCTTCTCCGGCTGTTAACCTCCGGGGAACGGTTGTGACCACACCGACACGTATTTTACAGATAAATCATTCTTGCGGCGGCGGGTCGAACACGTTTATTTATTTTTTATTTTCTCAACAAGCTTTTACCCAGCACCTGTCCAGTGAAACAACTTGATAATCGTTTCGAGGGGCGTCCGCCGGGTTAGGAAGCCACTGCCTGGCAGCTTGTGGAAGCCTCATTTGCAAAGCCACCCCTCAGATGTTTTGAAGATCGTGACGTCTTGTAACTAGCAGTGTGTGCACAGAATCCTACTCAAGGAACGTCTTGGCCCAGCGATGCAAAGAACTGAAGTTTCAAGGTTTTATGTCTATTGCTGGATGGTCGGGGTAGCCCCAGTAACTGGGAACTGCTCCGCAGTCCGCTCACGTGGACCCCTGTGGGAATAGCAAGGTCAGGACATGCCCTTCTCTCTCCTCTTCCAGCCTGTCCAGTGTTTTCCTTAAGGAAGAAGCCATCAGATGTCATTGCTTCTGCAACTCCTGGGTTAGAGGAGGAGACAGAACAAGCACAAAGAAGGGGAGGGCAGGGTGGCTTTGGTTTCTTGAACAGTAATTTCCTCAGTCGTCCTTATTCATGCAGAATAGTTTAAAGTCCCTGAAGATATTCCCGATCTCCAGCCGTGATCGGAGGCCATGGATACTGGAGTGTCTCTGGAGTGACCTGATTCACCCAGCCCTCCTTCTAAGAAATGCTGTCCTTCTCCTCTCCCCTGACTAGACAGTCCTTGCTTCACAGCGGTGGATTTTCTTTCGTTCCCGTTCACTTTCAGGGATCTCCCCGTTAACCAGTGAAACTGTACATTTGTTTTACAGTTTGTTTACTAATGAAAACAGGTAACAGCCGGAGTTGGCTGACATTGGAAATAGGAGACAAGGTACCTTCTGCACTTTTGGCTATTGTACTCGGCTCAGATGGAGACAAAGGTTGGGTACAGACCATATCTCAGTGGCCACCTGAGCCTAGGTGAAAAGAATTGATAGGAGAGGTCAGGCCTGGTGGCTCACGCCTGTAATCCCAGCACTTTGGGAGGCTGAGGCGGGAGGATCACTGGAGCCCAGGAGTTGAAGACCAGTCTGGGCAACATGGCAAAACCCTGTCTCTACAAAAAATTAGCTGGTGCGGTGGCATGGCACCTGTGGTCCCAGCTACTTGGGAGGCTGAGTCAGGAAGATCATCTGAGCCTAGGAAAGTGGCACTTTCATGCACTCACCCACTGCACTCCAGCCTGGGCAACAATGAGAGACCCTGTCTGAAAAAAAAAAAAAGTGATAGAGCCTAGGGGGTGTTTGTCAGTGTTACCTCTTGTCTCTCACTAGAGGGAGTTCTTGCTTTTAGGCAGCCCAAATCTCACAGGCTCCTTTGCTTAGGAAAAAGCTACCTTATCTAGCTTTCACTGGGTAGAATTAAGGCACCCATACTTAGGTGCAAAAGGAGCCTTTTTTTCCTGAGTGCTACTTCACGTATTTTTTTGTAGGCACAAAGAAACAACCATTTAGCTAGGTCAAGTAATGGTTCTAAGTTCTTTTGCTACTGTGTGATAGCAGTATAACATGAGAGTTAGTGTTGGCCTCTGGAGCCAGGCTACTTGAGTTCAGATCCCATCTATATCACTTACTAACTCTTACCTTGGGCAGGATACTTAAACCTCTCTGTGCCTCAGTCCCCCATCTTGAAAATGGGGATAATAATGGTACCTACTGCATGGCGTGTTTGTGAGTTAACACATGTCAAGTACCTAGAACAGTCCCTTTTATTCCATCACATGGGTTGGGAGGTGAAGTGCACCATTGCCTTGACCCTGGGGAACTTGATAACCAAATACAGAATTAAATTGCTTACCAAACCCCATTTATATTTATAGCTGGAAGAGCCTGTATTGTCCTCACAATAGTATAGAAGAATTCAAGAGAGGAGAGAGAGACAGCACCGAATGAAGACTGTAAAAGAAAAGAAGGAATGCCAGAGATTGAGGTAGAAGTAGTTGACATAGGGAATTTGGGAGAAATTGTCCAATGGCCTGTGGTATAGGCTGCACTTTTTGCCCCCTTTGTCGTAGTCTTGGGGGTTGAGGTTGGACAGTGTGGAAGCACACACGGAGCTGGGAGCTGTCATACCTGTCTTACCAGTGCTGTCCCTAGTAGCAAAGTGCTGACTCTGGAACCTTACTACCCAAATTCATATCCTAGCTCTGCCACTTGCCAATAACTGTGACAGAAGGCACTACATTTCTTTATGCCTCAGTTTCCTCATCTGGAAAATGTACATAATAATGGCATGTACTTTTTAGAGTGTTCTGTAGATTCATTGAGCTACTGTAGATTAATTGAGCCAATACATGTAAAGTGCCAAGAATAGTGCCTCGCAACAGGAAATACTTTTATCAATTTTGGTTCATTTCAGTATGCTTTGTAAAGGTGGTACCACCTGAGATTCAGAGTAGTTGGCAGAAGAAGCAGTAAAAAAGTAAAAGAGGGTTTGCTCTTGCATTCATTCAGTCAACATAGGCAGTACAGGCACTGGGGAGAGAAAGATGCTTACAATCCGGTTCCTGCCCTCAAATAACTCAGTGAGTATGTTTTGCACTTAAAAAAAATATGAAATATGGCCAGGTGCAGTGGCTCATGCCTGTAATGTCAGCACTTTGGGAGGCCGAGGCGGGTGGATCACCTGAGGTCAGGAGTTCAAGACCAGCCTGGCCAACATGGTGAAACCCCGTCTCTACTAAAAATATAGAAATTAGCTGGGCGTGGTGACAGGCGCCTGTAATCCCAGCTCCTCGGGAGGCTGAGGCAGGAGAATTGCTTGAACCCAGGAGGCAGAGGTTGCAGTAAGCTGAGATCGCACCACTGCCCTCCAGCCTGGGCAACAGAGCAAGACTCTGTCTCAAAAACATATATATGTGAAATATGAAAAGAAGCTGATGTCTTAGGCTTTAGATATGTTGGTCCTTCATCAGACCCATGAATGGCATTTTAAGAGAAATGTTAAAAAGGTTATCAACAAGATCCCCAAAGAACACCTTGTGCTTCTTATTTCTCTTGTATAGAAAATCTGCCAAGACTAGGAGGGTAACCCAGAGGAAACCGTCTTCAGGGCCTGGTAAGAAAGACTGGAGCTTGTGTTCGCCCACTGCCTCCAGCCCTCAGCAAAGAAGGCCACCTGTGTGGGGCAGTATACTTGCTTCTTCTCTCTCTCCCAGCCCTACTTCCTTCCTAGATTCTCTAAGATCTTGAGGACTCAGGAACTGCCATTTTAAATTACCATGTCTGAAGTTCAAGAAACAAGTTATTAAAGTCACTTTAGAACAAAACAAAACCAAAAAAAAATGAAGTGAGCAGTTGTGGCCAACTTTTTCATTGTAACCAGAATTATGTGACAGACTAATTGATACCACATAAGACCTCATCCCAACCTTCCTCCTTGCCAAAATGACCCTTTTCCTAGTATTCTACTCCTTCCTGACTTAGAGGAATGGTTACATTCTCACCCTTCTCTTCCATTCTTAATGGTCAATTTGAGCCAAATTCTGGGTGTCCTCTCTTCCAGTTTGCTGGCTATGCCTTCGAGAACCTGGGGATCCCGAAAAATTAGGGGAATTTCTTCAGAAAGACAATATCAGCGTGCATTATTTCTGTCTTGTGAGTATGAGGCCTCCTTTGCTTTGAATATCCTATGGCTTTTGGTGTACTGACTGTTCTCTGTTACATTCATCCTCATATCCACAGCCTTGTTTTTTTATTTTTCTTAATAGCTTTTTTGTTTTAAAATCTATTTTTAGGCTGGGTGCAGTGGCTCACGCCTGTAATCCCAGCACTCTGGGAGGCCGAGGCAGGAGGATCTCTTGAACCCAGGAGTTCAAGACCAGCCTGGGCAACCTTGTCTCTACAAAAAAATTAAAAAAAAAAAAAAAAAAGCTGGGTATAGTGACAAATGCCACTCCGGAGGCTAAGGCAAGAGGATCGCTTGAACCCTGGAGGTGGAGGCTGCAGTGAGCAGTGATCACACCACCACACTCCAGCCTGGGTGACAGAGGAAGACCTTGCCTCAAAAAAAGAAAAATATATGTGTCTGGTATAAAATCTTGACAGTATAAAGTAAGTTCAGTAAAAAAGTCTCTTCCCTAAACAATGTTCCCAATCCTTCTCCCTCTCCCCAGAAACAAATGCTGTCAAAGTTGTAACATCCTTCCAATTGCTTTTTCCCAGTATTTTTTTATTAGGTATAACTTTCATACTGTAAAAATCACCAATTTTTTTCTTTTTTTGAGAACGGAGTCTCACTCTCTTGCCCAGGCTAGAGTGCAGTGGCGTGATCCCGGCTCACTGCAACCTCTGCCTCCCTGGTTCAAGTGATTCTCCTGCCTCAGCCTCCCAAGTAGCTGGGATTACAGACACCTACCACCATGCCTGGCTAATTTTGTATTTTTAGTAGAGACAGGTTTCACCGTGTTAGCCAGGCTGGTCTTGAACAAAATTCACTAATTTTAAGGGTCCAGTTTGATAAGTTTTGATAAATGTATGTCCCCAAATAACCACCACCCCAATCAAAATAGGTAATATTTTCATCACCCCAGAAAGTTCCCTCCTGCCTCCTTTTCCAGTCAATCCCACTAGACGTAATCACTGTTCTGATCTATGGATTATTTTTGGCTATTCTTTTACTTCATATAAGTGAAATCATATAGTTTATAATCTTCTGTATCTGGCTTTTTTCTCCCAACACAGTGTTTTGGAGATTCATCCATGTTGTTGCATGCATTCATAGCTTGTGCCTTTTTATTACTTGGTAGTATTCGGTTGCATGAATAAGTTACTATTTGCTTATCTGTTCACCTGTTGATGAACATCTGAATTGTTTCCATTTGAGGACTATTATGAATAAAGCTACTTTAAGCATTCATGTACAAGTCTCTTTGTGAACATGTGCTTTCACTTCTCTTGTGCAGATGCCTAGAAGTGGAATTACTAGTTGTATGCTAATTAGATATTTAACTTTATGTGAGGTTGCCACATCACTGTCCAAAGCGGTTGTACCAGCTTACACTCCTACCAGCAATTTATAAGAAGTCCAGTTGCACAGTATTCTTGCCGGAACTTTGTTTTGTCAGTGTTCTTAATTTTAGCCATTCTACTGGGTGTGTATTGGTATTTCATTGTCGTTTTAATTTCCATTTTTCTGATGACTAAAGCTTCTTTTCATGTGCATATTGGCCATTCACATATTTTCTTTGGTTTTTTGGTTTTTTTTTTTTTTTGAGATGGAGTCTCGCTCTGTCGCCCAGGCTGGAGTGCAGTGGTATGATCTTGGCTCACTGCAGCCTCCACCTCCCGGGTTGGAGCAATTCTCCTGCATCAGCCTCCCAAGTAGCTGGGACTACAGGTGCCTGTCACCACGCATGGCTAATTTTTATATTTTTAGTAGAGACAGGGTTTCACCGTGTTAGCCAGGATGGTCTCGATCTCTTGACCTCGTGATCTGCCCACCTCGGCCTCCCAAAGTGCTGGGATTACAGGCGTGAGCCACCGCGCCTGGCCCGGCCCACATATTTTCGTTTGTTAAGTATCTGTACAAATATTTTTACCCATTTAAAAACACTGAGTGGTGGTCGGGCACAGTGGCTCACGCCTGTAATCCCAGAACTTTGGGAGGCCGAGGCGAGCAGATCAAGAGGTCAGGAGATGGAGACCATCCTGGCTAACACGGTGAAACCCTGTGTCTACTAAAAATAAAAAAATTAGCCGGGCATGGTGGCAGGCGCCTGTAGTCCCAGCTACTCGGGAGGCTGAGGCAGGAGAATGGCGTGAACCCAGGAAGTGGAGCTTGCAGTGAGCCGAGATCACGCCACTGCACTCCAGCCTGGGCGACAGTGCAAGACTCCGTCTCAAAAAAAAAAAAAAAAAATTGAGTGGTTTTATTATTGAGTTGTAGGAATTGCTTATATATTTCAGATACAAATTCTTTTTCAAATATATGTATTGAGACTATTTTCTTCCTAGTCTTTGGCTTGCCTTTTCATTTTCTTAATGGTGTCTTTCAAAGAACAAGTTTGTAATTGTAATGGAGCCCAGTTTATCCATTTTTTTCTTTTATGGTCAGTGCTTTTTGTGTGTTGCAAGAAATCTTTACCTACCCATAGAATTGCCTTGGTGCCTTTGTCAAAATCAATTGACCATATATCTGTGGATCTGGATAATCTATTTATGTCATTGATCTATGTATCTATTCTTACACAAGTCCCCACTGTCTTGATTATTGTGGCTTTATAGTATATTGAAATTCAGTATTGTTAAGTTCTACAATCTTTTCCAAGATTGTTTTGACTATCAGGTCCTTTCTTTATAAAGTTTATATTAAGCTTGTCAATTTTTCTTTAAAAAAAAAGTCTACTGGGATTGTGATTGGGATTGCATTGAATTTATAGGTCAATTTGGGAAGAATTGACAAAAAATATTGAACCTTCCAATCCATGGACATGGTATATTTTTCCACTTATTTGGGTCTTTTAAAATATATCTCAGCAATGTTTTGTTGTTTTGGTGACAAAGTCTTGTACATCTTTTGTTAAATGTATTCCTAAATATTCTGTGGTTATGCTATTGTAAATAGTATTTTTATTTCATTTTTAAGTTTATTGCTGGTATATAGAAATGCATTTTATTTTTGTATATTGATTTGTATCCTGTAATCTTGTTAAATTGAGTTTGATTAGTTGTTTTTTTATTTTGTTGTAAATGCCTTGTTACAGGATTCCCTATGCACATAACCATGTCATGTGTGAATAAAGACAGTTCTACTTCTTTCTCTCAATCTTTGCCTTTTATTTCTTCTTGCCTTGTTGTATTGGCTAGGACCTTTAACCTAACATTGAATAGAAGTGGTGTGAGTTGTTATCCTTGTCTTGTTCCCAACATCAGGGGACAGCATCTAGTTTTTCACTATTAAAGTATGTTAGCTCTAGGTTTTTTTCATAGATGTTTTTATCAGGTTGAAGATCCCTTTTATTCATATATAGTTTGCCCAGAGTATCATGAATGGGTGTTGAATTTTCTCACTTTTCCTGTATTTATTGAGATTATCTTGATTTTTCTCTTTAATTTTGTTAATGTAGTTTGTTACATCAACTAAATGCTCTAATGTTAAACTAGTCTTGCATTCTTGGTATAAACTCTACTTGGTCATGATGTATTGTCCTTTTTATATGGTGCTGGATTCAGTTTGCATCTGTTTTGATTTTTATATCTGTGCTCATGAGAAAGATTGGTCTGTGATTTTCCTTTCTTGTAAGTCCTATCAGGTGTCAGGGCTTAGTTATAATTTTGATGTATTTACAAGCATATACATTTTTTACATAAAAATTAAACATTATACAGAGTGCTTTGTATCTTGGCTTTTTTCCATCATATATATTTTGGAAATCTTTCTGTATAGAACATATAGATATAGTTTTTTCTTTTTAGTAGCTAATTTATTAAATCAATACATGCTTATTGCAGAAAACATGAATGATACTTAAAAATATGAAGAAAACAAATCACTCATCCCAAAGCCCTGAGATAATTAGTTTTAAAATATGTGTTTCAAAAGTTCAATTCCTTCCCCCATAATACAGAACAACAACAATCAAGAGATATTAAAACCCTGTTTTTCTTCCTGTATTACTCTGAGAAGAGTATTTTCTCTGTACTAAGAGGTGATGCAGCAGGAAGGGTAAGAATGGGGATTCCATGGGCCTGGGTGTGAATAGCCAGCTCTGCTCCTCCTTGTCCTATAACCCTGGGAGGCAGTGTCACTTGCCACACTGCACCTCAGCGGCCTCCTCTGTAAGATGAGCATCATAATAGCATCTGCCATTACAGGAATTTTTTTTTTTTTTTTTGAGACGGAGTCTTGCTCTGTCGCCCAGGCTAGAGTGCAGTGGCCTGATCTTGGCTCACTTCAACCTCCGCCTCCCGGGTTCAAGCGATTCTCCTGCCTCAGCCTCCCGAGTAGCTGGGATTACAGGCGCGCACCACCATGCCCTAGTTTTTGTATTTTTAGTAGAGACAGGGTTTCACCATGTTGGCCAGGCTGGTCTCGAACTCCTGACCTCAGATGGTCAGCCCTCCTCGGCTTCCCAAAGTGCTAGGATTACAGGTGTGAGCCACCGTGCCTGGCCAAGGATTGTAAGCATAAAATGAGTAAATACAAAGGAAATGTTTCCCCCAAAGTCCCAGCACACAATAGCAGCCCTCAGTAAGTGAGAGGCAGCCTAGAGCAAAAGTAAGAGTCCAGGTTCCAGAGTTCTGTGGCCTTGAGCAGGTCGCATCATCTCTCCTATAAAATGAGGACAATAATAGTACCTACCTCCTAGGGCTGTTGGGAGGACTCAATGAGTTAATATTTGAAACCACTTAGAGTATTCAACACATGGTTGGTGCCATGTAAGCCTTCATTAAATAAATTACCCTGTCAATGCATATATATTCCACCAAGCTCTGTTCTTTTTTTTTTTCTTTTTTGAGACAGAGTCTTGTTCTGTGGCCCAGGCTGGAGTGCAGTGGCACGATCTCGGCTCACTGCAAGCTCCACCCTCTCGGGTTCACGCCATTCTCCTGCCTCAGCCTCCTGAGTAGCTGGGACTACAGGTGCGTGCCACCACACCCGGCTAATTTTTTTGTATTTTTAGTAGAGATGGGGTTTCACCGTGTTAGCCAGGATGGTCTCCATCTCCTGACCTCGTGATCCGCCCGCCTCGGCCTCCCAAAGTGCCGGGATTACAGGCATGAGCCACCACACCCGGCCCAAGCTCTATTCTTTAGCTCTCTTACCCTGTCCTTCTCCTCACCTCACTGCACTGTTTCACTGATCATCATTGTTAACAGCCTGGTTCTACTGCCCCCGCAGATCTTATCTAGTAAGCTGCCTCAGAGGGGCCAGTCCAACAGAGGCTTCCATGGATTTCTGCCTGAAGACATCAAAAAGGAGGCAGCCCGGGCTTCTAGGAAGGTTAGAATCTCTTGAAATGAGGACCTTGGGGTAGGCCTCTTTTCATACCTCACCCATCATTCCTGTTTCTGTTCTCTTCCCTACTTCCTAGTTTAGATGTCAAAGGACTCTTGGATTTTCCAACTAGTCCTTAAGTCCCATATTCCTCTGGGGTATGGGTGTCCTAAGTGAGAAGAGGGAGAAACATCTTGAGAAAATAGGAAAGAACTCAGTGCTGCTTGAAGCTCAGCTTCCGGGTGCCCCAGAGCATTCAGGACCACTGAAGATAGGGAATGGCTATTATTTCACAAAACTTCCATTTAATAGAAAGATGTGCTACACTGTGTGTGTTTGCATTTCTTGGGGTCCTGAGCACTGTCTGGGAACTCATTTGCAGATCTGCTTTGTGTGCAAGAAAAAGGGAGCTGCTATCAACTGCCAGAAGGATCAGTGCCTCAGAAACTTCCATCTGCCTTGTGGCCAAGAAAGGGGTTGCCTTTCACAATTTTTTGGAGAGTACAAGTGAGTGAGGGAAGGGAAAAGTCTGGCTTCCTTTTTGCAACTTATTATTCAGCCACTAATGAAATCAGAGTCCAGTTCTCACAAGCAGGCCTGTTTTGATTCACCAGTGAATCTGTCCCTCCATTCAGTAATAAGAAACAGTGTCTTGACTTGGAGATTTCACAGGGGGTTCTTCTTGCTTCCTGACCCCTCCTTAAATTACAAACAGCTGGGGTTCTTAGACAGCTGCTCAGCACTAAGTGGGGCTTTCAGGAACGAGAGGCTATGGAGACAGTCCTGGGAACTTTGCTCAGTAGGTGAGCAGCCGTGAGAAGGCATGTGGCAGTTCTTCACTCTGCCTCTCCTCTTCCCCATGTGTGGAGGTTCACTGGGCACCAGCCTGGGTGGCTGGCTGCCCCTCCTAGAGCGGGCCATTGGGAAACTACATCAATGACAAACCAGAAACCAAGTCTGTTTACCTGCCACAGATCATTTTGTGACAAACATCGCCCAACACAGAACATCCAACATGGGCATGTGGGGGAGGAAAGCTGCATCTTATGTTGTGAAGACTTATCCCAACAGAGTGTTGAGAACATCCAGAGCCCGTGTTGTAGTCAAGCCATCTACCACCGCAAGTGCATACAGGTGGGGCTTTTTCCGCCCTGGGTCCCTTCCACCATTGCCCTAGTTCTCTGCCTGGAACCAGAGAACCCTGGGAATGCTCAGGTGTGCCTCAGCTTTGGTGCTCCATGCTGGAGGCCTGTATTGAGGGCTGGTTTCAGGCAGTTAGAGGAAAGTCAGTCCAGTCTGTGGTCATTCCTGGCCTATAGGACCTCACACATGATAAGATTTAGAATAAGCAAAATCTTCAGCATTGCTAGAGCAAATGGGCTCATCCCAGAATGAGCTGAGAAGCCTCTATGTCAGCCTCACTTCCTGGGATGAAAGAAAAGGGAAACATGTATCCAGGTGGCTGACCCCTACTCAGTACTGCCGAGCCCCATGGTCAGAGATGACAGCTGAGGCACTCCTGGGAATTCTCTTGAAAGTATTTTGGTCCCAGGTCTGACACCTGGATTTGCAGCCCTCACCCTAGCCCACCCAAACTCCTTTTCCTGTACCCTCAAACTCTCTTAGCAACATCCTCTTTGTAGGGGTGAGGGTGGGAGGAGAAAGAAGGTAGTCAAAGGGTTTTTACAAACACAGAGCTCTTCCCTGTTTCTCTTACAGAAATATGCCCACACATCAGCAAAGCATTTCTTCAAATGTCCACAGTGTAACAATCGAAAAGAGTTTCCTCAAGAAATGCTGAGAATGGGAATTCATATTCCAGACAGGTAGTGGGAACCCCAAAGCAGGAACTGAGCCAGGGAGTGGGTTGCCTAGATTTCTAGAGAGGAGGTGAGTGAGAGGATAGTTCAGAGAATGAGAGCAGCAGAGGCACTGATAAGAAGGAAGGGGAGGAGGGAGTGCTTTTCAATTATCAAAACAGAAGGGAGGGGGAAGAAGTTTGCGGGGGAATGGGGTGCTTGTTGCTGAAAAGGGCATTTGGGGAATCAGAATTCCCTGGGGGGTTGAGTTATTGGATTCCAGAGTGGAACTAAGGAACCTGCATGCATGTTCCATTCATCCTGCTTCAACCCTCTCCCACTGCCAGGCCACTTGGCCAGCCTTGTTGGAAGTGTTCAGGCAGCCTACTGAACTCTTGCTGTGCTTAGCTTGGGCTCTTCCTAACTCCTCCCTGATGGACAAAAGTTTCACCAACCCATTATGTTCTTATTCACTGTTTCTTCTCCCACTGCAGAGATGCTGCCTGGGAACTCGAGCCAGGGGCTTTCTCAGACTTATATCAGCGCTATCAGCACTGTGATGCCCCCATCTGTCTGTATGAACAAGGCAGAGACAGCTTTGAGGATGAAGGGTAGGGGAAGGCTTCTGGCTAGAAAGAGCTCTCATCAGTGCTATCTTAGAGTTAGACCTTGGCACAGTTATTAGAAGTAAGAAATTCACTCTTGTATGCAGACCTTAGGATAAACACGATTGCTAAGTCTCATTCTTGACCAGCCCGACTCACTTGTGTGCACGTGAACACGTCTCCCCTGCAAGGTCCGCTTCACCTTGTGCCCAGTGGAGAGACATTCAGAGCCAATTCCTTTCCTAATCTACCTTTCAAGGGGTTACGACTGATGGCAGGCTTCTGGGATCAGCACTCATCCTCTCTGAGCCATACATTCATCTTGGGTAAAATGTGCTGTAAAAAATGCCTGGCCCATAGCAAACATCCAAGCATGGCAGTTGGTGTTCTGTATGTCTCCACAACCCTTCCTGGGCTCTTCCTCTAGGAGGTGGTGCCTCATTCTGTGTGCTACATGCGGATCCCACGGAACCCACAGGGACTGCTCCTCTCTTAGATCTAACAGTAAGAAATGGGAGTGTGAGGAGTGTTCACCTGCTGCAGCCACAGGTGAGGCTGGAGGGATGGGCCGGCCTCAGAGCAAGGAGGGGGCTGTAGGGACTTGTGGTGCCTGGGAAAGGAGGAAGACATCCCACCAGAGGGGGATTAATAGTTGGTGCCTTTGACTTTGGAAGGAAAGTAGCTAGAGAGGAGCTTAAGGACCTGTGCCTGGGAGAAGCAGAGGCTTGAGTTTTCCTCTCCTGCCTTTCTCTCACCAGACTACATACCTGAAAACTCAGGGGACATCCCTTGCTGCAGCAGCACCTTCCACCCTGAGGAACATTTCTGCAGAGACAACACCTTGGAAGAGAATCCGGGCCTTTCTTGGACTGATTGGCCAGAACCTTCCTTATTAGAAAAGCCAGAGTCCTCTCGTGGCAGGAGGAGCTACTCCTGGAGGTCCAAGGGTGTCAGAATCACTAACAGCTGCAAAAAATCCAAGTAACACCTTCTGAGTAGCTGCTGTCCCACACAATAGGGTATGAAGCTGCGCTCCTCCATCGGGTTTGGGGAGGGAGCACTCTGGGACTGTGAGACAAGGAAGCAGGGCCAGCAGTGAGACTATGAGCCAAGCAAAGAGAAGTCTCAGTGGAGCATGAGGAGGGAGCAGTCCAGATGCCAACAAGGAAATGCGTTTATGGCTACAAGAGTGCCTCTGCTTTCTCCTCCTCTCCTCCCACCAAGGATTCTTCCACCTTAATCTTGTTTTCATATGCCTCTTCTTACTTCACCCATGTTTGTTGTTATGCAAATAAAGGTTTTCTCTCCATTGGTGTCTCCTTATAAATTCATTCTGAAATTTGTCTGGGTAGTAAAGATTCTACGGGGTAGAGTACGAGAGTAAGAAAACTCACCCTCCTAATCCATAAAATTTAGGGAATTAATGTAGAACTTTTAGCTTAGAATATAGACATGTTTCTTTGGAGGGAAAGAAACCTGTTTATACGGAAATTGGCATTACAGAGGTAGAGAATCTTCATCAATCATTGTGCAAATAATAAGTACACAGGTTCTCATTAGGGAGGTGAGCCAGCATAGCAGTCCACACTGGGTGGAGAATAGGCCCTTGTTGCAAGGCTTGGGGTCCTGGACTCAAACAGGTCAAGGACTACCATGCTTATACATGGGGCATAAGGGACTCCATTCTCTCCTGACTGGTGTGGGCTTCAGCACACCTCCACAGCATGAGTGAGCCCAGTCAAACCCTCACTGCCCGGTGGTTCGAGCATTTCCGTCCAGAGTTTAAATATGAATTTGCATGCCAGGACATTCAAATTAGGCAAGGTGGCCGGGCGCAGTGGCTCATACCTGTAATCCCAGCACTTTGGGAGGCCGAGGCGGGCAGATGACTTAAGGTCAGGAGTTCAAGACCAGCCTTGCCAACATGGTGAAACCCCATCTCTACTAAAAATACAAAAATTAACCGGGCACGGTGGTGGGTGCCTATAATCCCAGATACTTGGGAGGCTGAGGCAGGAGAATCGTTTCAGTCCGGGAGGTGGAGGTTGCAGTTAGCTGAGATCGCGCCACTGCTCTCCAGCCTGGGTAACAGAGCAAAACGCTGTCTCAAAATTAAATTAAAAAAACATAATCTTCCCGTTTTCGTTCACCTCAGATAATTGTATCACAATTTTTGTTAACTTTCAATGTTTATATTATTATGATGCTAGAAATACTGTTTACCACTGAGCCAGGCAGTACACTATGATTACCTTTCCTCTTTTGTACAATGTTTTTTTCTGAAATTAATAATTGCTTCTTTTTTGGTATATACCTATTGCTAATTCTTCTGAAATGTTGCAAATGATCAACAAAATGTCTCAAAATGCAATTTTCCTCATAGACCAGGCATCAGATCACTATCAGCTGGACTTCTTTTCCTGAAGACCTGCCTCCCAGAGCCGCCGCCTCCAGTGCTGGCTGCTCCTAGAGCTCCTGCACAGCTGTCCTCCTAGGGCTTCCCACAATTATGCCCTTTTTCTTCATTTCCTTTCTCTTGGGTTTGACCACCCAATGCTATCCTTGCTTATCCGGGCGTCCAGGGAAATTTTGTCAGAGCTCTGCAAGTAACAGGAACATTTTTTAATTGTGAGCTTTCATATAAAACACAATATTTAACCCATTCTAAAGATTCAACTCTTGCAGTGATAATTCACAACTGAAAGATGCTCCTTAGATTAAGACTTTAGTTCTAAACCTAGAGTTTCTGTAACTTGGGTCACCAGGCATATTTTTAGGGATCTGTGGTAGTATTAATATCTTTTCTTAAGGAGTCTATTTGTATACCCAAGTGTGAGAAACACTATCTTAACTGAGAGTAATGGCCCCTAACAGTGCCCTCTCGACTTTAGCTTCAGTGGGTAGAAAGGGAGCTTGGGAGGGGGCAGTTTTTGTCACCTAGATGTCAGCTGCCCTACCTCTGTGTACAGTTGACTTTGTGGATACTTGCTTAGCTAACACGACAGTGCATGCATACACACACACACACACACACACACACACACACAGCTATTAACTATTTCTTACTCTTTGTATTTTTAGTCTCCACTGATGTTAATAGCCAACCCTATTTTTATAGGCTGGAAAGTCCAACTTTGAAATGTTCTATTCTTCATCTGGGCCTAATCAGTCATTCTCCACTAAATAACTGGCTTCTTTTTTTTTTTTTTTTTTTTTTTTTTTTTGAGACAGAGTCTCTTTGACCTCGTGATCCACCCACCTCAGTCTCCCAAAGTGCTGAGAATCCAGGTGTGAGCCACCACGCCTGGCCTCTTTTTGCTTTTCTTTTTCTTTCTTTCTTTCTTTCTTTTTTTTTTTTTTTTTTTTTTTTGAGAGGGAGTCTCACTCTGTTGCCCAGGCGGGAGTGCAGTGGTGCGATCTCGGCTCACTGCAACCTCCACCTCCCGGGTTCAAGTGATTCTCTCCTTCCTCAGCCTCCTGAGTAGCTGGGATTATAGGCACGCACCACCATGCCAGGCTAATTTTGTATTTTCAGTAGAGACGGGGTTTCACCAAGCTGGTCAGGCTGGTCTCGAACTCCTGACTGCCTCGGCCGCCCAAAGTGCTGGGATTACAAGCGTGAGCCACTGCACCCAGCCCCTTTTTTTTTTTTTTTTTGAGTCAGGGTCTCACTCTGTTCAGTGGCATGATCATGGCTCACTGCCCCGACCTCCCTGGGCTCAGGTAATCCTCCCACCTGAGCCTTCCAAGTAGCTAAGACTATAGGCATGCACCACCATGCCTGGCTAATTTTTTTTATTTTTTTTTAAGAGATGAGGTTTCACCATGTTGCCAAGGCTGGTCTTGAACTCCTGGGCTCAAGGGATCTGCCCACCTTGGCCTCCTAAAGTGCTGAAATTACAGGTGTGAGCCACCACACCCAGCCAGCTTCTTTCTTAAATAAGCTTTTAATTTAGAATAGTTTTAGACTTACAGAAACATTGTAAAGATAGTATAGAGTCCCCATATATCCCAAACCTAATTTCTCCTACTATTAACACATTAGTATAGCAAATTTGTCACAATTAAAGAACGAATATTGATACATCATTATTAACTAAAGCCCAAATTTTATTGAGATTTTCTTGTCTTTTCTGTTCCAGGATACCACATTGCACTGTGTCGTATCTCCTTCGGTTCCTCTTGGCTGTGATGGAATGGCAGACTTCCCTTGATTCTGAAGACCTTGACACTTCTGAGGAGTACTGGTCAAGTATTTTGCAGAGTGTCTCTTAACTGGGATTGTTCTGATGTTTTTCTCATGATTAGACTGGGGTTATGGGTTTTGGAGGAAGACACAGGAGAAGTGCCATTTTCATCACATCATATCAAAGTTACATAGTATCAGCATGACCTGTCACTGTTGAGGTTGACTTTGATCATTTGGCTGAGGTAGGTTTTGTCAGATTTCTCCACTGTAAAGTTACCCTTTTTCCCCCTTTTCTTTTCTTTCTTTTTCTTTTTTTTTTTTTTTTAGATGGAGTTGTACTCTGTTGCCCAGGTGGGAATGCAGTGGTACAATCTTGGCTCACTGCAACCTCCGCCTCCCGGGTTCAAGCAATTCTCCTGCCTCAGCCTCCTAAGTAGCTGGGATTACAGGTGTGCACCACCACACCAGCTAATTTTTTTTTAGTAGAGATGGGGTTTCACCATGTTGGCCAGGCTGGTCTCGAACTCCTGACCTCGAGATCCACCCACCTCAGCCTACCAAAGTGCTGGGGTTACAGGTGTGAGCCACCGCACCCAGGCTTTTCCTCTTTTCATACTGTACCTTCCAAAGGGAAGTCACTATGTGGAGCCCACAGTTAAGTAGAGGTTTTTATGCAACTCCTCCTTGAGGATGGAGTATCTACATAAATTATTTGGAATGGTTCTGCATGGGAGATTTACCTATTTTATTCTCTCCTGCTTATTTATTTAGCCAATCTTTTTTTTTTTTTTTTTTTGAGACGGAGTTTCGCTCTTGTTGCCCAGGCTGGAGTGCAGTGGTGCGATCTTAGCTCACTGCAACCTCTGCCTCCCGGTTTCAAGTGATTCTCCTGCCTCAGCCTCCCAAGTAGCTGGGATTACAGGCATGCGCCACCATGCCTGGCATTTTGTATTTTTAGTAGAGAAGGGGTTCACCAGGTTGGTCAGGCTGGTCTCGAACTCCTGACTTCAGGTGATCCACCCACCTCGGCCCCCCAAAATGCTGGGATTACAGGCGTGAGCCACCATGCACAGCCTATTCAATCATTTAGTATGGACTCCTGGACTTTGGGTTACAATGTAATAATACTTTATTTTGTTGCTCAAATTGCTTTGGCCACTGGGTGTTCATGTGTCCTTTTCACACATCCCCATCACTGTGTGTCTGGTTTTGTTTTGTTTTGTTTTTGAGCACTTTTTTACTTTCTGACACTGCAAGATGCCCCAAGCTCATCTTCTTTTAAATGCCTGTTTCATGACAAACACATGTTTAAAATTTTTAATACCTATTTTCATAACTGATGTGTCTTATTAGAATTAATTACTGTTTCATAACTTAGGAGCTGGGACAAATCAGTTCACTTAGGGATAGTAGAAATAGATGTTAAATAAAACTTTCCCAAAGCACCTGCTCCCCTTCCTCTAATCATTACCTTTACGGGAACCGTAAACTAAGGCCAGAAACCTCAGATTTTCCTTCAGCTTCCCTCTCTGTTCAGCCAACCTCTTTGTTGTCAGTTCGACTGTTTTTCAAATGTTTGCCTTCCTCTCCTTCCCATTGTCAGTGCTCAGCTCAGACCTTGATGCCTCATAGGATGGGCAGCAAAAGTCTGCATGGTTTCCTGTGTCCACTTGCTTCTCTGACACATCCACCCTTTTCCCTTCTGCCAGTTACCATAAAACATGTGCTAACTCTTTGCTCAGGATGGCCCTGCTGAGATTGGCATTCAAGACCTTCTACAAACAGGGCCTTCCATAGCTGCATCTCCCAGGACATCCCACCCACAGGCCTTCTTCTCTGGCTGCCTCAGAACACTGGGCCCGGGCCTGGGGTGCTCAGCCTGGAGAGTCCTGGCATCCATCTTCAGCCTGTTAAACACAGCCTAAGGGCTACTTCTTCATCTCTAGGCACTCTTACTGTCTCTGTTTGTACCCCCTGTTATAGCCCATGTCATTCTCTGTCTGTCCTACAGTTATGGGTCTGTCTTTCCTGCTAGATCAGAAGCTCCAGGGACCTGTCTGTCTTATTAACCTTTCTTCCCCTCATGATGCCTGGCCCAGGACTCCACGTTCAGAGGCAGTTTAATGTCTACAGAACTGATGGATGCTCCATACCCTGTATTCATAAGCCTGTGTTTTGCTGCCAAACACCAGAGGGCACTGTTAGCATGTCGATGAAGATTATAAACCCTCAGACCTGGAAGGCTGGGAAAGGCTTATGAAAATCTTGCTTCTGTTTTGGGATTACATAAGACTTATTGCGCCTCAATTGTTCTAAACACATCTGTTCGAGTTTATTCATGAGGCACGTTCCTGTTGGGGTTAGAGATGAGTTTGAAAGCTCCCCGTCACAGGTCAAATCCTTAGACAAGACTGCCTTCATAGTCTCTCCAGACCCAAAGTGGCTCTCCTAACCCACCAAAAATATCTCCCAATTACTCATTGAGAGGCATCCAGATGCCCTCTCCTCCACCAAAAATGGCGACTGCCAGTCCCAAGGGGGAATGTGTGATATGGTTCTATTCCTTTTCTGCCCCACCCTCCTCCCACATGCACACATGCACAGGTACCTGTCCACACGAATGCACACTCACTGCCATCAGGACCTCTGGGTGGTGGCTCAAACGGTGGCTCAAAGGCTCTAGCCTCTATGGGCAGGGTGGGAGGATGCTATGAGAAGCAGCACCTCCACTGGCCCTGACCCCAGGGAGACAGCATCAGTTTCCCATGTGCTCCCAGTCACAGCATCATGGGGGCCCCCAGGTGTGAGAAGTCTCCCTAGTGACTAAGCCAGGGAGCTCCATTCCAAAGGAGCTGGCTATTTGCAAAGGTGTCATGGCTTGTACATTTTTCCAAAAAATGACAGAAAAACTGAAGAACTGATTTTTTTCCCAAAACAAAAAACCCTTGCCCTCACTTCTCCCTAGCAAACCTGCTCTAACCCTGGGATCCCTGAGCAACATGACAGCATGAGGTCCAGATGGAAGGGGTAAGCCCCAGGAGCCCCTTCCCCTTGTCTTTGGTGTAAACTGGCTTCTTGACCCTGCCCTGCACACACCCCTAATAAACAGGAAGGCATCCGCGCCATTAGTATCCATCCTTTTCAGAGCATCTGAGACCTGTCTGGACCATCAAAGCCATCCCCAGCCCCCAGGAGCCTACTGGAGGAGACACCAGCCTCGCCAAAACAATTCTCCATTGTGTTCTTCCCCTTAGAAATCATGGGTTTGTAAACAGGCCCTTACATTTCAGCAGGTCCTGCCCTGGCTTTGTGCTGGTGTGTTGTTTTTTCTTCCCTGAACAATGTCCTTTCCAGTAGGGCCAGCCGTTCACACCATTGTCTGAGACCCTTGGACTACAGGAAACATCACCAGATTCTTATCAGTTGGGGGCAGGAGTGGGGGGGTGAACAGATGAGATCATGTCCACAGAGCAAGTGGCTGGTGTGCCACGTCATTCCCCATGCCTTCATCTGTGAGAGCAGAGCCCGCTCGCCCTCCATCAATCTGGGCTTCATGTGTCCAGAGTCCAGTCCCCTCTATTTGGTGGTAGACACCTGGACTCTGTTCCAGGCCTCTGTTGAGTCACTTTGGAATCCTATCAGTCTGCAACTGTCCCTTTGCCCTGGTCATTCCTCACAGCAGTGAAACAGGCCCTTTTGGGTGGATTAGGGGGTACTCTGGTCATCATACTCTCCGGGGTAAAGAGGTCAAGACTGGTCAGCTGAGTCCTCCCATCAGCAGTGTCCCTGCGTGCAGGCTATTAGCTAGCTGCTGGAGGCCTGGCCCAAAGACAGCCCCATATCCCTTACACCGCCTCCCTGGAGACTTTGCAGCAGCCCTCATCCTCAGTGGAGAGTAATTTTTTTAAAGGCTTCATGAGGAACCAGGAGTTTCCTTAATGGAAGTCCAGCAAGGAAAGTGAAAGGCTTCATTAGGATGCAGTCTCTAAGGGAGAGGGGCCCAGTAGTGGTACCCCCAGCAAAGGTGGCCAGGGACTGGGCAGTGGGAACGGGCACAGGGCCACAGCTGCCTTGCCTCGTCTCCTGTACATCCGAGGGATGGCTGAGTACGGAAGGAGAGCCAGGGTGCGGCCCAACAATTCCCAGGCACCTTATCAGATTTTTATCTATTTATTTATTTATTGAGACAGAGTCTTGCTCTGTTGCCCAGGTTGGAGTACAGTGGCGTGATCTCAGCTCGCTGTAACCTCTACCTCCCGGGTTCAAATGATTCTCGTGCCTCAGTCTCCTGAGTAGCTGGGATTACAGGTGTGTGCCACCAGCTAATTTTTGTATTTTTAGTAGAGAAGGGGTTTCACCATGTTGGCCAGGCTGGTCTCGAACTCCTGACCTCAGGTGATCCACCTGCCTCGGCCTCTGAAAGTGATGGCATTGCAGGTGTGAGCCATCGTGCCTGGCAACCTTATCAGATATTGTGTCCAAACCTAGCCCTACCCACTGTCCCTCTTTCCGAGTTTAGAGTCTTAGAAGACCCTGGGAATTTGTTCCTGGTGTGTGTTGAACTTTATTCTTGTAGAACCCACTGCAATCCAAGACTTAGGTGAGGCTGGGATGGGACCTTAACTGGGATGGAAATTGGGCTATTTCTGAGCAACTACCCCCTAGCTCTAAGATGTGGTTGGCCAGAGGTGCCTCTGTTTGCTGGATTTCCAGAGGCATGTGAGCCAGTCTTCTGGGGCCCAACTGGCTGGAGCTGCAGCTGGACCCCCTGCCAGCCCACAAAGAGGACAGGCTGGCTGGAGGTACACCAGGTTCTTGGGGGCTGCTACCTGACCATTCCTCCAAGCAGGGGATTCTAGGGCTGTCTAGGACCTGACCCCAAGCTTAGCCAATGAAAGAAAAGCCCAGGAGTCATTTGAGAAAGTGGAAACTGCTGTTTTCCTCTCTTATTCTGACTCCTTCCTGCCCCTCACCTTCTTAGAAACGAGTCTGTTGGATGGAAGGACAGCCACAGACTAGGGGTGAATGCTAGCCCTCCACAGAGGACCATGACAGACACAGGAGGGGCCAGAAATAGGCTGGTTATGGGAGCACGAGAGCCGGGAACAGAGCACAGTCCAGGCCCAAAGGGCAGCAGATTGGCCGCTTGGCAGCCCTGTCCCGGGGTAGCAGAGTCTACTCTGGCGAGGGTCATAGGAAACCAAGATATGGCTATTCATCAGGAGGCTGGGGCTTCCAGAGCCTACAAGCTGGGAAGGCAATTACTAATTAATCAAGCTCACATGTTAAGGGAGGGAATTAACCTAATCAACATTTTTCCAAAGTGTGTTCTTCAAAATGTTAGAAACATGAGATGTTAGCTGCTCCATGGGAAAAAAAAAAAGAGAGAACCAAATGTTTTGGAAAAGCACATAGCACATAGTAGGCATGCACATTAGCAAGAGATCATCACAGGACTTCTCAGGGCCTTCACAGGGCAAGCCAGCAGGCAGCATTTCAGCTCTGTCAGGGCCAAAGGGGCAGAACACGGGGACCACGAGATCATGGAGGGTCCCGTGGGATTATAGTTATCTCTTGGAACCACTGGGCCAGTCTCATTCTCTAGGCCCCTTTCCAGCTCTAAACCTGTTTGGGAAGTCATGGAACAGAGTCCCAAAGAGCAGAGGAAGCATTAGACGCAGAGGAAAGAGCTGTGACAAGACAACAGAGAGAGGCTGAAATCGCTGAGGCAGGAAATAGGGCTTGAGATGGGAGGGGGAGGTGGTGTGGACCAGGAAGGGGTCTGGTCCAGAGGGGTCTTCCGGACCACCCTTGGGAGAGTGATGCAAGAGGGAAGAAGGGGGCTCTGGAGGCCGCCTTCGCACACCCTTCCCAGCCCAGCACACTGTGCCAGGTGGGTGCCCTGGTGACACTTCTCAGTCAGAGGTGATGATGCTTCCTGGGGTGGGGTGACAGGGTTTCAGGTTCTGTCAGGCCTAAGTGATCGTGGAGGGGGCAAGGAACAAAAGGAAAGGCCAGCTCCAGGGCCCAGACTGCAAGATGAGACTTATGACTGACCTGTTAAGACCCCTAGTCTACAGCATGGATCGAGGGGCCTGTTCAGGCAAGAGGCCCAGGGAAGTCTCCCTGGGAAGGTGGGGTTATGACCCTTCCATCTTCCTCTAGCATCAGTGGATTCTGCTCTTTGGGCTGAGGTGTTGATGTCAGTGGGGAGTGGGAGCCATGCCCAGACGGACCTCCTGCAGTGTGCCCAATAGGTCAGATGTTCGGGGCCTCCCCTCCTTTCCAGAAGCCACAGTCCCCACAGCACAGCCCCAGTCCCCCAGCCATGAGGACTTAATATCCATTGGTATGTGGCTTGGGATGAAGGCAGGAACCATGCCAAGTGTCACTGTGACAAATGTCAAGTGTTGTTGTGAAAAAGGAGCAGAGCTGCCTACGGGCCCAGCTGCCCTTTGCCAGTGTTTTTTTTTTTTCTTTTAGTTCAAGATCCTCCTGAAGTCCCAAGAAGGTCAGTCTTACAAGCCCACAGGCCAGGATGTTCCTCATTTAATGAGCAATCTCGGCTTTGTACAAAGCCCTCTAACTCCTTCCTTCCCCTGATACCCATCTTCCTCCTTTCTAGAAAGCACCACCCAGTCTCTTTCTTTAAGTCCTTTTCCAGCTCTAAAACCTGTTTGGGAAATCATGAAACAGAAGTCACTCAGGGTGACCTTCTTTCTCATGGAATGGATGGGAGGGCTCTTCATTTTCAGCTCATGTGCGCAGCATCAGTCCATTTAGTACAATACACAGATACACAGTAATGATATAATTATGTGATGCAAATATTAACTTCATCCCTTTCCTTGTAAATTCAGCTTTTCTCACCAGAGCTCAGGGGCAGTCATGACAATAAAAATAACAATAGTAATTACAAGAAATGTGCTCTGAGTACAGAGAAACCACAAGGCCCATCTCAACACACAAATACAAAAACAACTCGCATTTACGGGGCGTTTCCAGGAGTTAATAGCATACAGTACCATGGGTAGGGTGTGGTTGGCAGAAGCTGTCCACTTTTTCTAAGTGCAGGTGTTCGTTGCTGAGGATCTTGTGCTCCTCCTCCCTTCGTTTTCTAGAGTAACTTCCCAGAGGACCCTGCCTGGAGCCTGCCAAGCCAGAGTCCAGCGTAAAGGCCCGGAGGGCTGTTTGTGTCTTTCTGGCCTCCCTAGGGTAGAGGGCAGAGCTGGCTGCAGCTCTGATACCCTTTCCTGGAGCTCTGCACTCTCTCCTCCCCTCTTTAATCCCCTCTGTCTCCCCTCCCTTCTGCTCTTCAGCCCCCATCCTTTCCTCCTCTCCTCCTCTGCCTTGACCAGCTGACCTCCCAGCAGACAGCACCGCAGGCTGGAAGGCTTCTCAGGGCGTTGATAGGTTAATCTCAGTGCTTCTGGTTCATTTATTACATGGTCAAAGGGGAGAACGGAGGGACTATTTCAGGTCCCAGTTCTCTGGAGGTGCCAGGGGTAAGGGAAAGATAAAACCCAAGGCAGTCTGGGTTTGAGTTTCAATAGGGCAGGGAACCCTGGCTTGCTTTTTATCTTTTTTTCCCCTCCTTTCTTTGTCTTGGTTGTTTTAATGGAGGGAATCTCAAACCCAGTGCTCTTATCTCCTTCCAGCCAGTTTTGTGTGTCATGAATGTGTTCATGTGCAGGCTGGGAACAACTTTTCATTTAGTCCTC